>NC_000010.11:96658246-96961277 GCF_000001405.40 Homo sapiens | reverse complement strand
GAAACCATAAAATTACCCCCCAAACGGTTGCAGAATTAGCTCATGTTCTATTGTCAAATCAACATTAATTAGCCTCGATTCTCATTTTTAAACAATGTAAAAGATTTTTCTATCAAATCAAGATGGCCTAACTTCACCACATTATCTTGTGACTCATTTTTAGTATTATAGGGCAGAATTTTTAGCCTCTTCTCAGAAGTCTACATGCTTTTTCCATCCTACTCCACCCTCCCCACCCCAATCTCCTTCCTAACACTTAGAGTTTATAGCTACAGTGTTGTGTTACAGGGCTAATGTCTGCTTCTTTAAAAGGTGACTGCAAGATTATTCAGGAATGAGGGTACACAAATAATGTCCTCTATTTTTCTTTCCATCACCATGTTCACAAATCCTATTCAAGTCTCCAGTACAGAATTAAACCAAAATAAACTGAGAAGAAAGAGCCTGGAGATCTGTCTTCTTTGTACCACAATTATACTTTTTTCCTTTTCAGATTTTGAAAGCAATTAATTTGAAAAAAAATCCCTAGATAGCTTAATAGTCTCCTAAACGGGCTGTTCTGCTGAAGCCATCAAGTTTTTAGTAATGCTAGCCTGACCAAAGCATTAATGAAGACCAAATTCTAATTAAAGGTAACAAGGAAAACAATCTTTGATATCTTCAAGAAGGCCAAAATTTAACCTATAACTTTCAATATCTCCTAAAAAACATAAAGTGGAGCACAATTCTGTCTATTGCCATATTCTATCACCAATGACAGCAACCTGAATATACAGAAAAGAGTGATTAATATGAAAACAACCTCTGGCATTTAATGAAAGGATTATAAAAGCAAAAATACATGTCTCAAAAGGAAATCTACAAAGATAAAAGCTGTTAAAGAAAATGATGCCAATCTCTCATATAACTGTTAAACTACTCAAAATATTTTCAACTTCTGACATCGAGCTGACTCAATTTGTCTTATGAAAATAAATGAATCCATGCTTCACTATTATGGGTCAATGAGATGTAAGAGAATCACAAAGGCTTAGAACCAGGCCTGGCACTGTGTGCTTACTTGGGGGTAGGGGGAGAACAGATAGCTCACTAGCAGCTCAAAGGTTGCTATGTACTGCCTAACGACAGAAGGTAGTTATGATATTGGTGTTAACAGGTAGTTGTTTTTAGTCTAATTTAGAGTTCTCTCCAAAACTTGGGAACTAAACTTCTCATTGTGCCTTTTATAGTTTTACCATCTGATCCCACATAGCTCATATTATAGCTAAGGTAAATGTTGGGGAAAAGAAATGCCAATTGGTTGAGGTAATGGTTTATATAAGATAACCAGAGTTCTAAAAGCACTTCGATATTGTAAAGTAAAAGTGTACCAAATAAAGCTAATACACACTTCACACTTGTTGAGCTTGCTCACCAGAACTGAACAGTAATTAACTTCACATAAGGACCCCTATTATCACACAAAGCCTTACTCATATTCATGATCTGCTGCAGCAAAGGTTTATCAAGCAACATCTAAACTTCAGAACAACAAACTTAATATTAAAAAGTATTATACACAAATATAAATTATTTTTCCTGAAAGAGTGACCTTGTCCTTCATGGTATTTGGGGAACAGAAAAAAAGTGTATAGCTCATCACAAACATAATTCAGAGTCACTTATAAGCCCACTGAACAAAGTAATATACTACATTACCATCAAGCTGGATGACTATGCTGTCTCAGAAATGAGAAAGCTAAAGATAAAAATACCAACTAGATATCCTTCCACAGAATTAGTGTTTTTGATTTTATAGTGCCATAGCTTATCTACCCTATAACATCAAGGTCTCTGAAAATGCAAAAAATTATTTTAAATACATTATTTCCTATCAATAGTTCCAAGAGTGTTATATATTAATAATTTAAGTAATGTTATCTGCCTACTGGAAAATGTGAGGAAAAACGGCTTTCGTGACAAAGACAGTTGTGAACTACACTTTCCCATACCATAAAAATGGTCAACTGTTGTTTGGGCCATGCAAAACTCTGATTAGCAGAAATTAAGCATGCTAATAGACCAATCTCTATTACACATTGTGAGGACATCCCCAAACTAGAATATCTACACTGAAAGTGCCAATACAGAATAGTGGCAAATCAAGAGAGAAATCAAATATTAAGGAATCACTGCGGCACCAAGACTGCCACCAGCCGTGTGATGAGCCACCTCCGAGAAATACATGGTATAATGGAACTCTGAACACAAAATTTAACATTAAAAGTGCACCTGAATATTACAAACTAACTTTACAAAACCTATAATAAGGTAAAATATATATCTTTTGAAATATTCCAGCAGCTTTTTGTTTTTTTTTTTTTTTTTTTTTAAGTTTTTCTTTTTTGAGAGGCTCATGAAATTCAAAAGGGACCACTAGCTAATTTCAACCATGCTTCACAAAACAATAATGGCTATTTTATATTGCAGTTACCAATGTAATGCAATTAGTGCTTTAAAATAATCTACACTCAAAAAAAGAGAGAGAAAGAGAGAGACCTTTGGAGGAAATATGCTTATTCAAAAGCTTCTTGGAAAAGAAAATTTACCTGAATATCAAGTCATGACTGATCTCAAGTGTAATGTTTAAAAGCTTCACAGACATGAATATTACAATCTTCAGGTCTCAGGACTTTTAATCTGAGAAAGTTTAGAGTTTGGTTTGTTTTTTAAATTCACTTTCTAACCAAAACAAATAATAGAAGTACTCAAATTTTCACTATTTACAACTCTCAGCCTACAATCTGAAATGACACAATACAAGTTCTCTTAAACTGCAGCATTAAAGGGTAGGCACACCATTCTTCTGCTGCTCGATTGTCATCCACTGAAACACACATAGAAAATATTTATGTTAGTAAAATGATCACTCCATGTACACTACAATGACAAAATTTACATAACTCAACTCATACATCACTTATATAGACTACCACATAGGATTAAACCTCTCTGAACAATAAACTCTACAAAAGTTGAACTTTTAGGGCCAGATTTTTAATGGGCCTTTAGTGATGTCTTTCTGAGAGGGGATAAAAGCAAGCACAAATTAATTTTCTCAAAGGACCTTTTTGTAGCAATCCTGGGCTACTGAATATCCCAAACATTACGCAAAAAGGTACTATGGCTGCAATTAATTGTGTGCTGACAAATTCTTGAGTGTGTAACAAAGGAGGCATTCCTTCATAAGCTTAGCCCTTTGCTTTCAGCAAACTTTCTATGATTTCCTTCAATTACAGATGAAAACCATATATTTCATAAGGAATTTTTATTGCAACTTCCAGCTAGGTGACAAAATATTGTAGAATCATAAAATGCTATTGAACCCAAACTGTTTTTTCTGTTAAGAAGTCTAGAAAGCTAAGAGGAAACAGGCTCAGTTATCCACTGATTAAACTGCTACACAAAATAACCAAAACAAGAGGAACCCACACCCAAGCTATGTCAAGAATGAGCAGTGCATGTATTTTAGTAACAGCAATGGTGTGCCTAACCTTTGAACACACAGGTTGCTGAGGGAAAACTTAACCTAATTTAATTAATTGCTCCAAAGTTTCCAGGCAAGAATTTATGCCTTGGAAATATCTGGACCTCCCCTCAAACTGTTAGTATCCATCTGAAATCAATCTAACCAACCCTCCAATTTTAATTTTATTTTACACTGAAACTCCAATAATGTTTGTTTTTGGTTAAGCATTTAGAAGGGCCTGACCACCTTTCTCAGCAGATTAGAATATACAGTACATGTGGTGTGGAATTTGTTTTGCACAAATAGTAATTTTAATCTGATCACAATGAAAAATTAAATTCCATGGGCTTTGCTTATTCTTGCAAAAACCGCAGAAAATAAACTTCCCTTATTATAATTTTAAAAGCCCATCTCAGAAAAAGCTTAGATATTCTTCAAGGAGTGCTTATACAAACATGATCTCAAAGGTCCTGAACTGTGTGCTAAACAACCATGAATATCAGCTAATTATCAGAAAAAGTCAAGAAGGGGGGTATTATGTAGGATGCCAAAAACAGAAAAAAATTCTAACCAACAAAATTAAATAAAAACTTAAAAAAAAAACCCAACACCTCTCCCTCCCCCTTCTACTAGTATTTGGATCAGTTAAAAAAGGAATTCCAATGAGCTTGACTTCTGATTGAATTGTTAGAACTGATATGCATCCTAAATCATATCGGGTTACCTTGGGGTTTTTTTCTCTCACTACAAACATGGATCCTTCATTAATGTGGACACTGGGCAGACTACTGAGGCTGTAAAATCTAAGTATCACTTTTGCAATATCATAATTACTTATACACATTTCTTTCCCTATTTCTCCCATCCCCAATAAAGAGATCTTGAATATCTTAGTCTAGTTGCTGCAATGATATTCAGTTAGCACATCAATTCTGTAAAAGGACTGAAGAATACAAAGAAACCTAGTTTGCTAAAATGAGGCATCCTCCATTGTTTTATGTAATGTACCCTGACTGCTCCTGAGTAAATACGGAGCTCGTCCTCCATGAGATAAGGCTATATCCTCACTTGTTGGTGAGACCAAATTCTACCCTTAGAAAATCTCAAATGAAATTACAGCAAAGGTAGTGTTCAAAGTAATTAACTGAAGCATTTCTGAAGGTAGTGTGTGCACATTTTCCACCACCTTCCCCTCTGGGTGAGCACTAATAGCTTGCTAATTTAAATAAATTTAATAGTGAGAAGAAAATTATAAAATGTAACTATAAATGACCCAATAATTATGTCAGTGAATAACCAAATTTCTCAAAGTCAAAGGTTCATTGTTCTTCTTAGTTTTTTCTTTAGTTTAATCCTTCGATTAGTTGAATCGTAGATGAAAAATGTGAATAATTTTGTATAAGATGGCTTTCCAATTTGCAGTGATAAAGCTCCCAGTATGACAGACGTAGTTTCTAAAAGGGGGCTTTGTTTCCTCTTCTTTTTTAAAAAGTAAAAACAAATATAACTTAAGAAAAAACAACAACAACAAAAAAAAACAAAAAAGCATGCAGGCTCTACAGGCAAGGAGTCCACTTCCATGTATCTGTTCTCTGTGAGGTAACTCAATTCTCTTTTGTAGAGAAACATGCAAAAGGCCAAACATATTCCGAGCCATACTGCACATGAAAAATTTAAAATATGCAACATTCAGAATGCACATTTCATCTCTGTACACACAAGTCAATGCAAAATCTGCAAAGAAGCAAGTGTCACAGTAAATGAAATTACGTGCAAGCAATGATAGCTGAACAATGATGCAGTAGTGCTCACCCAGTTTGTACAGTAATTGGCACTCTACAGTATTCCTACTCGTTTTTTGATTCATTTGCACTTTGTGCTGCCTCTCCCTGGGGATCTAATTCAATCTTTACAGAAACATCTGGCCCCTCCGACCTCATTAATTTCATCTTTTTCTTTGGAGGGTTTTTCAAAGTGCCCAGCCTCTCCTTTACTTTGTACTCCAGTGTACTGTGGGGAATCCCATAAATACTCTGAGCTTTGGAAACACTCATTTTTCCACTCATAACCACTGAGATTGCTTCCTCCAGTATCTCACTGTTGTACTGTCTGTAACGCCCTCTTTTCTTCCGAGGCTGCTTGGAGCCAGGGTCTCCTTCTTGATCCGATGTGGGATATGGCTGTCCAGAGGTAGACTGCTCAGCATCTGAGCCCCAAGAATCGGGTCCAGCATCTAACATGCTTTTTCTACTTTGTTTTGGAAGAATAGCCCTTAATTTTTTACTAAGCGCGCTCTCCGTTTGTGAACCCATTACCAAAGAGCTATAGCTGTACTGATCACCAGTGCGAGACTCCCAAGAAAGATCCATTCCTCGAACTTGTGGTATCTTTAAATCTACAGGAGATGAATGGCTCACATCCTTTTTTCCATCTTGTTTTGCTTGAAGTGCCATTTTTGGAAAGGCAGAGTTTTCTGCAAGAAAAGGAAGGTCACTGATGTTGCTGAGTGCACCATTTCCCCTGAACTTCATACGGCTGAGGTTGAACTCGTAATGTGGTTTTGCCCAAGAGGCTTCCCTGGATAATATTAAGTGTTGTCCATGATTCTGTAATCCAGATGGCCCAAGGCTGGCAGCTGTGGACAATTGGTTTCTGCTCAGTAGTTCTTCACTAATCTGCAGGGATCGAGCCAGTGGAACTTTGAGTGATGTGGAGTGTCCAAAACCTTCCCTGGTTCCATCCTGTAAGCTTCTTGGAGGTACCCCATCACCACTCCGAAGTCCGTCTGGGCGGTACTGGCTGGGTCTCCCAGGTCGCCTAATTGGATGGAAGGAAACTGATGTGAGCAGGACTTGCACAGGTAGGGAGGGATGGGTGAGGGGACCACTCCTTTATTAGAAGGCCTTGCTTGGGTAACATCACTTTGTGTTATTTATTTATTTTTCTCTAAAATTAAAAAAAAAATGGTCTCAGCAGTTAGTTTTAAAACTTGTTCACAAAAAAAGGAAAAAGGAAAAAGAAAAAAAATCAGGAGCTTTTTGGGCAAAGAAAAATTAAACCTGTCAGCCGGTCTCTGGTTGGGTTCACAAATTTTCGGAGAAAAAGTTTCGCGCAACTGTCTGAAAATAGCATCTTAATTATTAATTACAAAGTAATCATCAGTCTCCATAGATCTACACAGAATTGTGTTGCCAATGTGACGTTACCACTAAACAAGTACAGTAATAAAAGAGTAAGCCAAATTATTTATTTTAATTCAATGTATTCAACATTCATGACAACTAGTGTTAAAACTGAAACCATATACATTACTGGAACCCATAAATAATTGCTCATTTATCCCACAAACAAGTTGATATTCATCATCAAAAATCAAACAATTCCAAGTAACATTTCTTATTTTGCTTGGGGGGCGGGGGGGAATACATATATATGGCTAACAGCCCCAAGGGAGAAAAAAAAATTCCCAAATAAACCAAACCAAAAGACCCACTGCATTATAACTTACCACACGTCTTCATTTTAAAACACTACTAGTTGCAGATACATGAGTATCATGATTTTCCATTTGAAATAATCCAAGCTTAAAAGAAATTACTCTTTATTTACCCCTTAAGTTCTACTCAAAGTAATTACTGTCAGAGGGATATAAACAATTTTTTAGCAGTTTTCTCTGGCTTAAAAAAAACTTCCCTTCTTGAAATACCAAACACCTATTTTGAAATTTCAAATGGACGGCTTTCAAACAATGTTTAAAAAGTCAACTACTTAGACAAAGTTAATTTGTAAGGTTTTGACTTTCACAATAAGAAAGATTATCAATATTAAGACTGACATGTGGCAAAACATGCCCAAGGGGATGATTACATTAATTAGGCACAAAATAGGGCTTTGCAGAAATGATAAACCAGTTATGTTCTACAAAACTCTATGGGGACTACTATCATCAGTAACACAATAAGGATAACACTGAATATTCAACTAAAAGATGGGCAATCCTATTGGTGCATTTTTCTTCCATAAAACAAAACCAGTAGAAAACACTTTCCATTCAGAGGGATAAACACAGCAACTTCAACCATATAATACATGAACCTGGTAGCCAAGTTTACAGAGAATCTTAAGCAAAGGATTTGTTTATGCAAACTGCACATGGACTTCTACAGGTGTCCTTAATTACACAACTCAAGTGTTTTTTGTTTTGTTTTGTTTTGTTTTGGAGACAAGGTCTGGCTCTGTCACCCAGGCTTGAGTGCAGTGTTGTGATCATGGCTCACTGCAGCTGTGACCTTCTGGGCTCAAGCGATCGTCCCACCTCAGCCTCCTTAGTAGCTGGACTACAGGTGCACACCACCATGCCTGGCCAATTTTTGTATTTTTAGTAGAGACGGGGTTTTGCCATGTTGCCCAGGCTTGTCTCGAACTCCTGACCTCAAGTGATCTGCCCGCTTCAGCCGCCCAAAGTGCTGGGATTACAGGCCTGAGC
This sequence comes from Homo sapiens, assembly GCF_000001405.40. Lineage (NCBI taxonomy): Eukaryota > Metazoa > Chordata > Mammalia > Primates > Hominidae > Homo > Homo sapiens. The sequence goes on along the minus strand of NC_000010.11, from coordinate 96,953,283 downwards.
CACCACGCCCGGCTCAAGTATTTTTTGATATATAAATAGAACCCAAAGATTTGGGAACATGCTGACTTATATCTAGTATAAACCATAGTGAAAAGAAGGGGTTAAGAAAAAGATTAGTACGCATAATGGATTAAATTAATACTTTCTGGAAATGAAAAGTTTTGGAATTTTAGAGAAAATAAAGGGAGATTTTAGAAGTCTGTAAAGGAATCCTTCTATTTGAAGGTAGTTAACAGTAAGTTGGAAAAGGTTAGTCCACTTAGCATCCACTTGTTCCTTTAATATCTAAGTAACTCCCCCACATTGATAATCTGAAAGTTCAATAAGCCTAAGTATTAGCTAATTTAAACTTACCAGTTATTTTTCATATCTAAAGTTGATTTTTTGTCACACAGTTTTATAGAAATGCTTTTTCAACATGGTATCTAAATGTCTTAATATTAATACCTGACTTTTCTAGTTGGTTATCAGATACACATAGGGAGAAGACAGTTCTTATACTATAAAATTAGGGTGTCAGAGAATTTACTTTAGACTCCTAAGAGTTATCAAAACTGAGCAAGTAATAATGTCTTGGTAGCCTAAGATGGTTATGCATCAACATCTACCATCAGTCTTTCAGAAAACTACATTTTCTGAACTGCCAAAGTACAGTTCTCCATCACCAAAACCAAACCCAAAAGAAACAAACAAAAATGAACACACACACACACACACAAACCCCACTAGAGATACCAAGTATTGGAGTTCAATTTTCATTAAACAGCTTCAGCACACATAATACTGTCTTTACATCTAAACTTTAGAATTATTTGAGTATCACACTCCAAAACATGCCACAACAAAAAGTCCAAAGAAATAATTGCCATATTCATGGTTATTTACTATTTGTACTAAACTGACAAAAACTCATCTGTACTAGCCAATTTTACATTGCACAGATTATATTTTTATTTGATCTATGGTCCATATTTATAAATGACTTACTTAGAAGGGTTATTTTTTAAAATGTAAAAGGGAGACTGGCATCAACCTTTGATGAATTATCTATATGAAACTGTGTAAGGCTACAAATATTCTCCCTTACCCGTTCCCTTGAGTACTGGAGCAGCCTGGAGAGTGGCTCAGGGAAGTGCTGCCAGCACATGGACTTTTCTTAGTGGACAGATCAAGTACACCGTCTGCAGAGACACAAAGAAACACCTGAGGATATTAAAAGCTAGGAGCAAATGTAAACTAAATAGGCTAAAAATGAAAAAGCAGTTAAGCAGGCTTATTCAACTAAGCAGATATGCTAGTCATATATTTGAGTTATAAAATCAATTAAATCCTGAAGCAACATAAATTTAGCAAGGCATGTTATACTTAATATCCTCAAGGGCTAAATATATTATTAATGGGGCAAAAGAAAAGGTAAAACATGTTACTGAAGATGTTAAGATATAGTGAAATACTAGAAATAGCAGTTCACATAGCATGAGGTCCTCTGTTATCAGATTTTTTAAGACTCCATTTTCTAAATTTTCCTTGATCAAAGCATACAAGTTTTTAATGTCCCACAATGGCATACAAACTATAGAACCAAATCCCTCAAGAGCTAAATCTACCTGAAACTCCAAAAGTACATACAAATTCGATATAGAAAACTTTAAATAAGATATAAAAATTATTTTTAAATGTAAATTTATGTCATTAAAGTACATGTATATACTAAACAATATGGTCTGTAAGATGAATCAGTTAATGATTTATGATTTGGGTGTGTCTAATAGTTTTCTAGACCATCTATAAAAAATGTATACTTATATTCAATCCTTTAAAAAAATTTTGCAGAGATTCAAAATTCAATTGCTGAATTTTATGAATGCAAGAATTTTTCAATTAAGAAGACAATAAAAATTGGTGAAGAAAGTTTAAAGAAAGAAGAATGAAACTGTCTTGATACTGATGAGAGCCTGGAAGTACAACCATTTTTTACTACAACTAGACCAAATCACAAATTCATGTTATTAATATATAAAATTAGAAGACTTTCTTTTCCCTCAAAGACGTTTTTCTCCTTGTTGAAATACCTGGAAAAGAAGTCTTTTAAAGCTACCACTCTGTCCAAAATTAACAGAACAAGATAATACACAATGTCTTTAATTTTCAGTTGGCCAGTAGAGGGGTCGTGCTATCTAGTTGTGTTAAAAATCACCCCAGAGTAGAAGCTACTTACAACTTGTATCTGAGGACATTTTATTTCCGGCTGTTAGAAATAAACAGGCAACAGAGTTTGTAAATAAAAAAACCCCACACTCATAAGAAAGAGTTTTGTCCTTTACAGTCACTAGTACTTCTAAAAATATAATTATAAGCTTATAGAACCAATTATCCTATTAGACATCTAACCCAATTATACATCTAAGAAGCAAATGTACTACTGCTTACAACTTTTCCAACCAAAGACACTATTATTTAAACGCAAGTCAAATAGACAATTTGTCTAATCAAACAGGCAACATATTTTAAATCTACCACTAAAAATATTGTGGTTTTTGGCTGAAAACACATTCATTAAGGAAATATAATTTAAAATTTTTTTACTTCATTTGAAGTCTACACACTATAATGCTATCATGTAGTTCAAATTCCTCTTTTTAAGAGCATGCTGTCAATACAATGTATTGATCTCTTAAGTGTAACATTAGTTATAACAAGTTAAATTAGATTAAGTGGTATCATTTTATGTTAACCTCCATTAATACTTTAAATATTATTCTATGTTGTCATTCTCCTAATATAAACCTGAAACTTCTGATGCAATATTTAGAGTGAGGAGATCTTTAATGAAAACTACCAATTTGTGGAAAAGAAAACAGTCATCAATAAAAGATACAACTTTGTAAATATGGTAACCAAAGGAACATGAGCAATGTGAACAAGTAGGAGGTCTCCTGTCAAGAAATCTCTCAGAACTCAGATGTTTTGTTTGCTGTTCACCACACAGGAAAAGGATAAAAGCAAAGGAAAACTACTCAAAAGAAAGTTCATTTCAAAGAGGTTAAGAATTAAATTTATTTTCCAAAATAAACATGTATTTCTCACCAATAAATCCAATAAATAAAGGTTACAATAAATCTCGTAACCTTTCTGTATACTCAAGATTTCTATGACAATAAAATCTCATTAGTACAGACATCACCAATTTACAATTCGTAGTGGTTCAAACAGTGGCTGAGTTGAAATGCTTGCTTCAATTTTTGTGAAATTAAAGGTAAAATGAGATCACAAAGCAACAGGAATATCTACTGAAGAAAATAAACTTCAGAGACTCAAGAAACATTTGCTAAACAAAACTAATAACCTCTTAACTTCATCACTTAATTAGTGTCCTCATCAACAAATTCCCTTTTGGAAATACTTTCAAGTTAGTCAGTGGATGTGTGTGTTTATATATGTGTTTCTGTATTTATAAAACATTGAATATATTTAACAACCTAAAGTATGTTCTGCTGCTTTCTCTATTTGTAACCCTAGCAGTTTCTTTCTCAAAATTCGAATACATGTTTTTCCTTATGATCTCATTTGCAGAGTATATAACTTATACCTGCAAGTAGAGGCATATTTCTCAGACAGGTGCTAGTCCTAGAAAATTTTTAGTTAATAAGAAAACTTACTTTTTCATAGGAGTTTTAAAAAACATAAAAATACTATGGAAAATATAAAATGCTTATATAAATATCAAGTAACTGAAAGATTAGTGACAACTGTTAACCACCTGACTTTCCTGAGTGGTACATCAATCATGACTATGAACTGCTGACAGATAAGGCTGTAACAACTTTAGCTGTACTTCTCCATCACTGCATAGTAAGAAATAATTTAAGAATCACATTAGTTTTTATGCTATTATTGCTGCTGATGCTCTACTTGCCAATGCTTTTTTTTTTCTCCCCAAAGTAAAGTATTCTGATAAGATAGAGGAGACCTTGACATCAAACCATACCTTGTTCGCTAGGTTCTGACTGAGACTTTCTGACAGTAAGGTCCAGAGGTGAGTCTTGGTCAGCCATGAGAAGTTTGCTGAGCACAGGGTTCTGAGTAGTTGCAGCCGTGGGAGAGGTGGTGACTGGAGATGCTTTCGGCAGGCTTTGGTTCTTTGTGCTATTGGGCTGGCTGGGGTCCTGAGTAGAGCTATTTTTTGAGGTATATTCAGCAGCAAATTGTTGGATCATTCGCTGCATGATCTCACGGGCCACTAGGGGAATATTGGGGTCGGAGACCCAGGGACTGTCTGTAAATAAAGATTTATTTACTTTTAAAGTGGGACAATGTACTAAAAAAGACAGCTTTCAAGTAAACATAAAATTTCATTTTATTTTTCTTAAAATGCAGTTATCTTAAAAATAGTATCTCCCCTTTGACTTATGTTTTCTAAGCTTTTGAGTTGTCTATTTTTAAAAATAAAATTTTTATTAAAATAATTCTAAACATCTTCCCCCATATAATAATTGAATATTATGAAATTAAATAAAGGGATAACAACTAGAATATCTTATGGGCAAGAATCACTTACCTGATACAGAAATCCCAAAACCCTTCACTTAGGAAATACTCTCATGTTAACACACCTATAGGTCACATCAAGTAACCCTAGACTTTTTCCTCAGCCACCTTCTCCTAAATATTTGAAGAATGCATTACTGAGTTCATGAGTGCTTAATTTACTTTATATTAAAGACAGAAGGCATACCAAGATTATAAAAGGAGATACTTAATTTTAAGATCCATTTTAGGCTAGGGCAATCATTCTCACACTTTAATGTTCATCAGAATCACCCTGACAGCTTTGCAAAAACAGCTTGTTGGGTTCTCTCCCCAGAGTTTCTGATTCAGTAGTTCTAGGGTGGGCTCAAGAACTGGCATTCTAACAAGTTCTTAGATGCTGCTGGTCTGGGGACCACAACTGTAGAACCTCTGGGCTAGGTGTTTAAATGTCAAATCTCAAAAGCCTAAGAAAAATCACATATTTTCCAGGAGTACTTTAAATAAACTCTGCCAACTAGTAAAAAAAAATAAAATAATGAAATAAACATCTAAATTATCAATTTCTAGTCAATGTTAAGTTTAAACCATAAGAACTCATTAACTCGAAGAACTTTTAGCACTGGAAGAGACTTTGAAAGGCAAAAGAGGTTAAGATGAAAGGGAAAATGACTTGTATAAATATATTATCATCATGCCTCTATAATTACCACACTATAATAGTCAATCAGGAAGACTAAGCTTCTCAAGAGCTGAGACTGTGTTTGTTTACCTCTGTGTACCTCTAAATACCTAATCTTGCCTGATTTAAAGTGTATTCGATTTAGCTGAATACTAAATAGGTCAATCAAATCAATCACCATGAAATAGTCCTTTTAAAAAAATAAAATGAGGGAAATGTGTTTGTTTACCTCTGTGTACCTCTATATACCTAATCTTGCCTGGTCTAAAGTGTGTATTCAATTTAGTTAAATACTAAATAGGTCAATCAACATGAAATAGTCCTTTAAAAAAAAAAAGGGAAATGTGATCAAAAGAGTAAGTGGCCACTACAAATTTATATAGGTGATTAGTGATAAGACTCTCAATTAAAACTCTTCCCCTGATCTTACTGTTTTACCTGTGACCTTTGCTTCCCACCACACTTTTGAGGTTTTACAAGACAGTTCTCAGAAAACCAAGGTTTCTTTAGTCTTTTAAAGATTAGCTATAGAAGGCAAATAACTTTACCCACAGTATTTTGGGGCTGTAAGGAACTTAAGAGTTTAATTTATAAAGTTAAAGAAAAACTGACTCTAATTACTAAAATCTAAAATCTCCATAATAAACAACAAACAAATACATCATCAAAACCTCACAGGACTCCTAAGAACAGGCAATTTTTTCCCCCGAAAGGACGATATTCAATACCAGAAGATGGTCACAAAGTTGTGCTATTTATTTCATCTTCTGGAGTTTAATGAGGCTTACTCTACTAGTAATAACGCTTCTGTCACACTAAGGAGTATTTATAACTCTAACTTTCCTCTCTATAAATAGAGACTATAAGTATTCCCGGTGGTTTAAAAATAAAGGTATGGAACTAGGTAAGGTTCAGAAGTTGCTACAGTTACTGAAAATGGTTCCTCAGTTGTTTTAATTAACATTTTATCCATACACTGCTTTTTAAATATCTCCATCCATTGAATTTTCCAAACAGTCATTTAACGTTCCAGTTAAGACCCACTTTTCTCCCTACATAAATCTCCATATGAACTATTGTATAAATTTCAAGTTTTAGTACATTAGTTTACCTTTCCACCCCTGAATATAGTTGGGAGAATATGTAATACATAAAGGAAATTTCCATATAAAAAGTAAAATAAAATTTATGAATTTATGCGATGCCTCTGTGTTTAAGTAGTATTAATAAACATAAAGAGCTCTGTGAAGAGTCAAAGATATTAGAACAAGGACCACAGACCACTATCTTTGAGCACTCAATGTCTGCAGTATCTTGTCTCTTTATTGAATGAAAACACAGTCATGAGACAAGACAGTGTTTATGAATTACATCTCTGCCATTTGAATTTCTCTATCTTGTGGAAGTTTATTGAACAGATTTCATTCTTTGACATACTTAAAATACACATCTACAAACATATCCACACCCAGGGGAACACAGCACAACTGAGTCAAATAAAAGCAACAAATCAGATGAAAAATAAAACTGCAGAAAAACATGTTACATCACAGCCACCTGTGTATCTTAAAATGCAAATCTAACTTTTTTAATACAAGTGACAACGCAAGCTAAAAAGAAATGTCATTATGACATTTGTAGAAGGTATATTGTTCTTGAAGTGAAATTATGGATTCCATATCCTAAAAGCTTACTTTTATTCCATCTCTGATTCTACTTAACTATACATAATCCTTACACAAATTATTTAAAACATATAATTTACAATACTTTGAAACAAGGGACCAAATCTAAGCATCTGAATTATTAAAACAAAAGATTCTCTTCAGACTAAAATGTCCATCATATCCCTGGATACTAAACATTTTTGGTATTAATTTAAAGAGTACTAATGGCTATCTTGGAGATGGTTACAAGAGGATTATATCTAAACATAGCAATATTAATACATAAAGGGGAAGAAAATGTCCAAATTCCAAAGGAACAGTTCTTTCTCTGAGCATCACATGCCTGTACATAAACAAATAAACTCAACTTACAATTTCAGAGCATTCCCATCTCTTGAAATCTATCCTAAGACCAATTCCAAGGTAAGAATTCCTCCCCTAAAGGTTATAACCCAAAAGTTTAATTTCTTAAAAAAAAAAAAAGAAAAACTTTATAAAAACTTGAAAGTTATTCCTCTATGACAAAGGGCTTAGGACTAGCAGAAAAGTACGACAGAATTTTTCTGTAGGAGTCTTATGATTGACTTTATTAATGTCCCCTAAGCAAAGAGTGGATGAAAAGTGGTTCCTCCATGTAAATTAGGGAGAGGAAGTCCTCTTTTCAGATAATGAAGCTTGCTATAACAACACAACAGATCAATGACTCTGTGTACATCCTTCAGGAGAGGAGCTGTAAAGATATTTTATTTGGTAAGCAAACTGATAGAACTGCTCTATAAGTTGTTTATACTTAAATTTGCTTTTAACAATCAGATGTTCATAAAACTAAGAAAATGATTATTTTGAACATAATTTTAGAATTCTGAGCAATGTGCAGGGATAATAAGACATAGGAGACTCAGCTGGGAGATTTAGGTCAGGAGGTGCTAGTGGGTGTTTACAGAGAATTAAGGATGTACTAAACAATTTAATTCTGCCTAGGGATCTAATGGAAGAAAATGGGAAAAAAAGTGCCACAGAAAATAATCTCTGCATTTCTTAATTTTATATGACACTACACTTCACACCGCCTTTTGGAAATACTGATCACATTAAGCAGAAGCCCAGCTAGTGTCCAACTGTAAAGAAACCCAACAGAACCAGCACTTATCAGACTTTTAACCAATGTCAAAGGGAAGGAGGGAATTTCCAGAGGAATGAGAGGTGTAAACTAGAACATATGAAGAATTATTAAAGAAAATGGAATCACTGAGTCTGCTGAAGATTAAGTAAGAATATTTAAGATTATCAAGAGTTTGTATGAAACTTTTTTAGAACCCATCACAGTAACCACCATCTTGGAAATGGAGGAAAAGTGTAACTAAGAAGTATAAATCCATTTAGAATTTCTTAAAAGTAAAGACTCCTCACTAGAAAGGAACATGAAGGGAACTTTCCTGAAGGTTCTGGCTGATGGTAATTATGCTTTGTGAATAAAGAATAAACCTGAATGCCTCTATGAAGGATTGATAAGCCTCAAGACTCCATGACTGAAGAACTTTTCTGTATTTTGAAAGAAATGTAAAACAAGCCTACAAAAGTTTCAAGGAAAAAGATAAATTTTAAAAATGCAAGAGGTTGAGCTATTAAATGCCACCTCAAATGCAGGGGGAAAAGTTTTACTACATAATAATTATTTCCCTAATTTTAATTAATATAAAAAATTTTAGTGAAACAAGACTATATCAGAAAAAAATGCTTACAAATCTAATTTTATAACTACATTTTCTCTCCAAATGAAATTTCACGTTGAAATTACTAAAAAAAAAAAAAAAATCACACAGTTGGATTTAGTTATCGGTGATTAAAACAGTAACTGTCTCCATAAGAAAAGTTGTCTAACAAAATGTAGTACTACTGAGAGCTTAAAATTTTCAGAATTTCCTAATAATTTTCTAAACTATTTAATTAAAACTCACCATCACATCAGAGCCTAAATGTGGGGAACAGGGTTTCCTTAATCCTAATTCCAATTTGAACTTGACCCAAGGTATATAGAACAATATAAATTATATCAATAAAGAAAAATGTTTTTAAGAGTAACTTTAAAAATGACAATGAAATTAAGGAGATCAATAATACAAGACAAGCAGATGCTAAATATCATCTTCACTGAAACCAACCTTTTCTATAAAAGACTGCATTGAGGAATTCTTCTGCTTGTCTCTCGAATCGAATGATTTTTGCTTGCTCTTGTTTAAGCAGAGCTTCTTGCCCAGCTCCCGAAGCTGGTTCATCCAGACCGACTAAGTGTCCCTGCAAAAATACTTGGTGAAATAGTTGCACACACGTCTTTCCCCATTCAATAACAAAAGCATAGACGAAATCAAAGTTAGTAGCAAATAAGGCAAATTAATTTGATGCAATTAAAATATTTTAAAACTTCAGTATAAATTTTATGAAAAAGTATACAAGCAAAATAAATGTAAACATATTCTTCAGCTGGATTTTATCTACTTCTTTTTTTGACTATGAGTTTTGTTCAAAATTTACTCTAACTAAACTTTAACTGCCAGAGGGATAATTTCCTTGAAAGCACTCAAATATATTGGTTCTATTATACTATAGTTATTTTTCACAGGCAACTCAATTCAGACAGAAGGCTTTTTTTTTTTTAATTTACCAAAAAAAAAATTTTTTTTGAATTCCAAATCTCATTTGAGGATCATGTTTGCTTTCCAAGTATGAGATCTGTTTTTCACCAGACACAAAACACAAACACTTTTAAAAGGCCATTAGGAAGAAAAACTCAGAATACATCTGAATTCACAATTCTGTCTCTAGATTACTATTTTTAAAACTGTGGTTCTCAAACCTTTAATGGGTTGTAAATTGATTAAGTGGTCAAAAGTAGCATTAGCAAAATGAACTGAAAAATAGAATGCACTGCATGTTCTAAGCATAAGCATTGCATTATCTTTTGTTACAATACATCTATGTTTGAACAGCTTTGAAATATAAACAGTGAATCTGACCAGGCGAGGTGGCTCATGCCTGTAATCCCAGCACTTAGGGAGGCCGAGGCGGGCGGATCACTTGAGGTGAGGAGTTCGAGACCAGCCTGGCCAACAATGGTGAAACCCAGTTTCTACTAAAAATACAAAAATTAGCTGGGCGTGGTGGCACGTGCCTGCAATCCCAGCTACTCAGGAGGCTGAGGCATGAGAATCGCTTGAACCCAGGAGGTGGAGGTTGCACTTGAGATTATGCCACTGCACTCCAGCTTGGGTGACACAGCAAGACTTTGTCTCAAAAACAAACAAAAAAAAGTAGGTCAGAAAGTTTCTCTGACCAAAAAGTTCCAATATGCTGCACTATAATCATCCCCGAGATTCCCAGCCTCTAATCCCAGACTGCAGGAGCACTGGACCAAGTTGGCAATACCTTGCACCTACCTCCACTCTTGTATCTTACAATAACAGAAAATAAAAGTATTTTTAAGAAGCTAAATGCATATTTAAGTGTTAAGTTCTAGTGCATATAATTTATTTGAAATCACTTTAATGTATGAATTAATGTCTTTATTTCCATATATAAGTGTTCTAAGTAAGAAAATGGGACATATCTTGGCACAATGAAAAGGAATTAAACAACACATTGAAGACATGTTATAATGCACAAATGATTCCCTCAAAAATTTAAAAAAATACCCACTGATATTTGCAACCAGCTTTCTATGATTTCCCATCCTAAGATTTATGTTAAAAGCACAACCAAAATATGTATTTAGCATGGATTATATATTGTAAAAAGCTTAATATGAAGAACTCACTGGCATATTCAAATTAAAATAATGATCCTTAAACACTGCTATATAAGGCACAGTAAGTTTGCTATATAATGTATTAAAAAATTTAACTGAAATATTTTAAGTCTTATAAATCATGACCGCTCCCTCTCCCTCTCCCTCCTCTCCCTCTCTCCACGGTCTCCTTCCACGGTCTCCCTCTGATGCCGAGCCAAAGCTGGACGGTACTGCTGCCATCTCAGCTCACTGCAACCTCCCTGCCTGATTCTCCTGCCTCAGCCTGCCGAGTGCCTGCGATTGCAGGCGCGCGCCGCCACGCCTGACTGGTTTTCGTTTTTTTTTTGGTGGAGACGGGGTTTTGCTGTGTTGGCCGGGCTGGTCTCCAGCTCCTAACCGCGAGTGATCCGCCAGCCTCGGCCTCCCGAGGTGCCGGGATTGCAGACGGAGTCTCGTTCACTCAGTGCTCAATGGTGCCCAGGCTGGAGTGCAATGGCGTGATCTCGGCTCGCTACAACCTCCACCTCCCAGCCGCCTGCCTTGGCCCCCCAAAGTGCCGAGATTGCAGCCTCTGCCCAGCCGCCACCCCGTCTGGGAAGTGAGGAGCGTCTCTGCCTGCCCCCCCATCGTCTGGGATATGAGGAGCCTCTCTGCCTGGCTGCCCAGTCTGGAAAGTGAGGAGCGTCTCTGCCCGGCCGCCATCCCATCTAGGAAGCGAGGAGCGCCTCTTCCCCGCCGCCATCCCATCTAGGAAGTGAGGAGCGTCTCTGCCCGGCCGCCCATCGTCTGAGATGTGGGGAGCACCTCTGCCCCGCCGCCCTGTCTGGGATGTGAGGAGCGCCTCTGCTGGGCCGCAACCCTGTCTGGGAGGTGAGGAGCGTCTCTGCCCGGCCGCCCCGTCTGAGAAGTGAGGAAACCCTCTGCCTAGCAACCGCCCCGTCTGAGAAGTGAGGAGCCCCTCCGTCCGGCAGCCACCCCGTCTGGGAAGTGAGGAGCCCCTCCGCCTGGCAGCCACCCCGTCTGGAAAGTGAGGAGCGTCTCCGCCCGGCAGCCACCCCGTCCGGGAGGGAGGTGGGGGGGGTCAGCCCCCCGCCCGGCCAGCCGCCCCGTCCGGGAGGTGAGGGGCTCCTCTGCCCGGCCGCCCCTACTGGGAAGTGAGGAGCCCCTCTGCCCGGCCAGTCGCCCCGTCCAGGAGGGAGGTGGGGGGTCAGCCCCCTGCCCGGCCAGCCGCCCAGTCCGGGAGGTGAGGGGCGCCTCTGCCCGGCCGCCCCTACTGGGAAGTGAGGACTCCTCTGCCCGGCCAGCCGCCCCGTCCGGGAGGGAGGTGGGGGGATCAGCCCCCCGCCTGGCCAGCCGCCCCGTCCGGGAGGGAGGTGGGGGGGTCAGCCCCCCGCCCGGCCAGCCGCCCCGTCCGGGAGGGAGGTGGGGGGGTCAGCCCCCCGCCTGGCCAGCCGCCCTGTCCGGGAGGTGAGGGGCGCCTCTGCCCGGCCGCCCCTACTGGGAAGTGAGGAGCCCCTCTGCCCGGCCAGCCGCCCCGTCCGGGAGGGAGGCGGGGGGGGGGTCGGCCAGCCGCCCTGTCCGGGAGGGAGGTGGGGGGGTCAGCCCCCCGCCCGGCCGGCCGCCCCATCCGGGAGGTGAGGGGCGCCTCTGCCCGGCCGCCCCTACTGGGAAGTGAGGACCCCTCTGCCCGGCCAGCCGCCCCATCCGGGAGGTGGGGGGCACTTCTGCCCGGCCGCCCCTACTGGGAAGTGAGGAGCCCCTCTGCCCGGCCACGACCCCGTCTGGGAGGTGTGCCTAGCGGCTCATTGGGGATGGGCCATGATGACAATGGCAGTTTTGTGGAATAGAAAGGCGGGAAGGGTGGGGAAAAAATTGAGAAATCGGATGGTTGCCGGGTCTGTGTGGATAGAAGTAGACATGGGAGACTTTTCATTTTGTTCTGTACTAAGAAAAATTCTTCTGCCTTGGGATCCTGTTGATCTGTGACCTTATCCCCAACCCTGTGCTCTCTGAAACATGTGCTGTGTCCACTCAGGGTTAAATGGATTAAGGGCGGTGCAAGATGTGCTTTGTTAAACAGATGCTTGAAGGCAGCATGCTCGTTAAGAGTCATCACCACTCCCTAATCTCAAGTACCCAGGGACACAAACACTGCGGAAGGCCGCAGGGTCCTCTGCCTAGGAAAACCAGAGACCTTTGTTCACTTGTTTATCTGCTGACCTTCCCTCCACTGTTGTCCTATGACCCTGCCAAATCCCCCTCTGCGAGAAACACCCAAGAATGATCAATAAAAAAAAAAAAAAAAAAAAAAAAAAAAAAATCATGACCACCTTTATTATAGTTGTATTTGCCAACATTCTTTTATAAATTTCCGTATCACGTTAACTATTTTGAGGAAAGCTGAACCATTTTCCAAAGCAGCTACACCATTTATATTCCCAAAAACAATGTATAAGGGTTCTGACTTCTCCACATACTCATGAACACTTGTTATCTTTTTTATTATACCCATTTTAGTAGATAAGAAGTGGTATTATCTCATGGTTTAAGGTTTGTATTTTTCTAATTGACTAATGATGTTGAGCATCTTTTCACGTGCTTATTGGCACATTATACCTTCTTTGGAAAAATGTCCATTCAGATCCTTGATCTTTTATTTTTGAGACGGAGTCTCACTCTGTTGCCTAGGCTGGAGCGCAGTGGCATGGTCTTGGCTCACTGCAACCTCCGCCTCCTGGATTCAAATGATTCTCTTGCCTCAGCCTCCAGAGTAGCTGAGACTACAGGCGCGTGCCATCAGGCCCGGCTGATTTTTTGTATTTTTAGTAGAGACGGGATTTCACCGTGTTGGCCAGGATGGTCTCGATCTCCTGACCTTGTGATCCGCCCGCCTCGGCCTCCCAAAGTGCTGGGATTACAGGCGTGGGCCCCGCGCCCGGCCTAGATCCTTGCTCATTTTTTATTGAGTCGTTTACCATTTTATTGTTGCATTGTAAGAATTCTTGATATATTCTGAAACAAGTCCATTATTAGATATATGATTTGCAAATATTTTCTCCCATTCTTTGAGTTTTCTTATTATTTGATAGTATTGATGGTACTGTTAGCAGCATGAAAGCTTTAATTTTAATGAATTCCAATCTATATATTTTTGGTCACTTGTGCTTTTGATGTTATACCTAAAAAACTTGGTCATGAAGATTTAACCCTATGCTTTCTTCTAAGAATTTTATACTTTTAGGGCGTACTTTTAGGTCTATAATACATGTCAAGTTAATTTTGTGTATGGCGTAAGGAAGGGGTCCAACCTCATTCTCTTCCATGTGGATACTCAGTTGGTTCCAGCATCTTTTGGTGAAAAAACAATTCTTTCCCCCAACGAACTGTTTTGGAACTCTTGCCAAAAGTCACTGGCCATACATTTTACTTCTGGACACTCGATTCTATTCCACTATTTATATATCTATCCTCAAGCCAGCATCACATTAAGCTGACCAACGTTGTTTTGTAGTAAGTTTTGAAATTGGTAAAGTGTAAATCCTCCCAATTTGTTCTTCTTTTACAAGACTGTTTAGACTATTTGAAGTCTCTTAAATTTTCATATGAATTTTAGGACCAGCTTGTGAATCTCTGCAAATAAGTCAGTTGGGATTTTGGTAGAAAATGCACTGAATCAGCGTATCAATTTGGGAAGTAATACCATAGTAACAATTTTAAGTCTTCTGATCCATGAACATGTCTTTCCATGTAATTTCTTTCAGTAACATTTTGTAATTTACAACATACAAGTCTTATATTTCTTTTATATTTATTCCTAAGTGTTGTATTATTTTTGATGCTACTGTAAACAGAACTGTTTTCAAACTTTCATGTTCATATTGTTCACTGCTAGTGTATAGCAATACAATTATTATTTTTTTTTAATGACGGGTATTCTGAACCTTGCTGAACTTGTTAAACTCTAATAGTGTTTTGTAAATTTCTTGGGATTTTCTATATACATCATCATGTCATCTGTAAAACCAAGACAGTTTTACCTCTTCTTTTGCAATTTGAATGACTTTGGTTTCTTTTTATTGTCTAATTTCCCTGGCTAGAACCTCATGTACAACGGTGGATGTACATGGTGAGAGTGGACATCCTGCCTTGTTTCTGATCTCGGGGGAAGCTGTTCCATCTTTTAGCTGAGTGTTTTTGTAGTTCAGATTTAGAAAGTTCTCTTCTATTGCTAGTTTGTTGTGTTTGTTTTTACATCAAGAAAACGTGTTGGATTTGGCCAAATGCCATTTTGGAGGGTGTCTACGGAGATGATCATGTGGTCTGTGTCACTTACTCTATTAACACATTGTATTACAGTAATTAAGAGTGTTAAAAACCAGCCAGGTACAGCGGCTCATGCCTGTAATTCCAGCTCTCTGGGGAGGATCGCTTGAGCCCAGGAGTTCGAGACCAGCCTGGGCAACATAGGGAGACCCCCGTCTCTACAAATCAGTTAAAAAATTATTAACAGCTGGGCATGGTGGTGCACATCTGTGGTCGCACCTACTTGGGGGCTGAGGCAGGAGTATTTCCTGAGCCTGGGAGGTCAAGGCTGCAGTGAGCCATGATTGTGCCACTGTGCTCCAGCCTGGACGACAGGGCAAGACCAGGGCGAGACCCTCAAATAATAAATAAATAAATAAATAGTTAAACCAACTTTGCACTCCTGGGATAAATTCCACTTGGTTGTGGTGTATAACACTTTTTATATGTTGCAAATTTTGATTTGCTAATGTTTTGTTGAGGATTTTTTTGTGCTGGTACTCATAAATGGTATTTGTCTGTAGTTTTCTTGTGATATCTTTGGTTTTCGTATAAATAATACTGGCCTCCCAGAATAAGGACGTCTTCTCTCTTCTCCTATACTTTGAAAAAGTTTGTGAAGAAATGGTATTAATTTGTCTTTAAATGTCTGACAGAATATGCCAGTGAAGGCAGAGTGTGGTGGCTCACACCTCTAATCCCAGCACTTTGGGAGGCCGAGGCGGGCAGATTGCTTGAGCCCAGGAGTTCAAGACCAGCCTGGGCAATATCATGAGACCCCATCTCTATTTAAAAAAAGAAAGAAAAAATATATATACCAGTGAAGATACCTGGCCATGGGCTTTTCTTTGATGGGAGTTTATAAATTACTAATTTAATCTCAATACTTGTTCTAAGTATTAGTTCCCTAGGGGTGTTATATTTTATCACAAACTGGGTGGCTTAAAACAGCAGAGATTTATTCTCTCACAGCTCTGGAGTCCAGGCACCCAAAATTAGGGTGTCAATAGGGTCATTTTCCCTCTGAAAGGTCTAGAGAAGAGTCCTTCCTTGCCTCTTCCTAGTTTCTGGTGGTTGCTGACAATCCTTGGCATTCCTTGCCTTGTGGCAGTGTAACTCCAATCTCTGTCTCCATCTTTACATGGTCCTCTTCCCTGTGTGTGTGTCTGTGTCTCCAAGTCTCTTTCTCCTTATAAGGCAACCAGTCATTGGATTTAGGGTCCACTCTAATCCAACATGACTTCATCATAAATTGATTACACCTGCAAAGACCTTACAGTGGTCCCCTCTTATCTGCAGTTTTGCTTTCCACAGTTACCCATGGTATAGTACAATAAAATATTTTGAGAAAAGAGAGAGAATATTCACATAACTTTTGTTATAGTATATTGTTATAATTGTTCAATTTTATTATTAGTTTTAATCTCTTATTGTGACTAATTTACAAATTAAGCTTTATCATAGGTATGTGTGTACAGGAAAAAAACATAGTATATATAGAGTTTGGTACGATCTGTAGTTTCAGGCATCCCCCTTATAAGGGGGAAGACTACTGTATTTCCAAATAAGGTCACATTCACAGGTACCAGGGGTGGATTCATGTTTTAGGGGGACACAATTCAATCTGCATCATAGATTTATTCAGATTTTCTGTTTCGCCTTACATCAGTATTGGTAAGTTTGTAACTTTCTAGGAATTTGCCTATTTCATCAAATTCTCTAAACTGCTGGCATACACATTGTGTTCACTGTATTCCCCAATTCTTTTTACTTCTGACTTCCTATATTTCATTTGTGATTAGTAACTTGAGTCTTCTATTTTTCTTGATCAGTGCTAAAGTTTACCTAATTTGATATTTTAAAAAAACCAGTTTTTGGTTTTGTTGATTTTCTCTATCATTTTTTACATTACTTCATTTCTTTCTGCTCTCGCATCTTTATTATTTCTCTCTTTCTGCCTGCTTTGGGTTTAGTTTGCTCTTCTTTTTCTAGTTTCCTAATGTGGATGATTAGGGTATTGATTTGAGATATGCTTTTTAAACACACATCCTCTAAGTACTGCTAAGTACATCTCATTCGTTTTGGTAAGTTTTAAAAATTCATCTGAAACTAGTTTCTAATTTCCTTTGCCTGATCCAATAAAAGCTGGTGGGCCCCTTTGCAGGGGCATGTTGTTGCCAGTGTTTGAGGTTTGCTCCAACCCCAGGAGGGCTCTTAGCTGTCTCTTATTCTGATTATCTGTTAAACGTCTAACAGGGGAATCTCAGAGCCTACTGTGGCTCGGGAGGCTGCCCGATTCATGAATCAAATAAACAAACATTTAATAGGTCTGTCATTTCACCTGTTGCTACGAATATGATGGACCTTCCAGGTGTCTCTTAACTATTCACACAGATCTTCATCATTTTCAACACCTTTAGGTGTGAGATTTTCTAAGCCAGAGAGTTCTGGAGTTCTCTGTTTTTGTCGTTGTTGTTTGTTTGTTTAAAGACAGGATCTTGCTCTGTTGCCCAGGCTTGAGTGCAGTGGCACAATCACAGCTCACTGCAAGCCTTGCCTTCCTGGGCTAAGGCCATCCTCCTGCCTCAGCCTCCCAAGTGGCTGAGATTACGGGTGTGTGCCACCACACCAGGCTAATTTTTAAAATATTTTGTAGAGAAGGAGTCTCACTCTATGCCCAGGTTGTTGCAGAACTACTGGCCTCAAGCAATCCTCCTGCCTTGGCCTCCCAAAGTGCTGGATTACAGGCGAGAGCCACCACACCCTGCTGGAATTCTGTTTGTAAAGTCAACCCTTCCAATAAAATGAACCAGTAAGAATAAAAAAGTTTGTATGACATACAACTAACAGAGCTAATAAAATAGCCAGGAGATGACCAGGCGCAGTGGCTTAAGCCTATAATTCCAGTACTTTGGGAGGCCAAGGCAGGCTGATCACCTGAGGTCAGGAATTTGAGATCAGCCTGGCTAACATGGTGAAACCCCATCTCCGCTAAAAATATAAACATTAGCCAGGGGTGGTGGCACGTACCTGTAATTCTAGCTACTCAAGAGGCTGAGGCAGGAGAAATGCTTGAACCCGGGAGGTGGAGGTTGCAGTGCGCCAAGATCATACCACTGCATTCCAGACTGGGTGACAGAGTGACACTCTGTCTCAAAAAAAAAAAAAAAAAAAAAAAAAAAGTAAAATAGCCAGGAGATAAGGAAAAGTTAAAGAAACCAATTCATGTCATCTCCCCTCAGCTGAATTCTAAAATAATACATTATTGTATAGTATGGCAAATAACAAAAAGATGCAAAATCTTCTGTAACTCAAAAACCATTTTCTTTGCATTTATTATTCCTAATAAATTTAGGAATATTTATTATTAAAGAACAAGTTGTTGGCATAAAACTAAATAGGAGTAAAGTTGGAGATTCAGACCAGGTGCGGTGGCTCACGCCTGTAAACCCAGCCCTTTTGGAGGCCGAGGCGAGCAGCTCATTTGATGGCAGGAGTTTGACACCAGTCTGGCCAACATGGCAAAACCCTGTCTCTACTGAAAATACAAAAATTATCCAGGTATGGTGGCGCATGCCTGTAATCCCAGCTACTCAGGAGGCTGAGGCACGAGAATCTCCTGAACCCAGGAGGCGGAGGTTGCAGTGAGCCAAGACTGCGCCACTGCATTCTAGCCTGGGTGACAGAGTGACACTCTGTCTTAAAAAAATAAATAAAAATAAAGTTGCAGATTTCAACTGGAATTTCTATCTCCTAGGAGGAGTTGCTTCCTTCAGGATGCAGAGACTGGGCCACCTAGATTGGCTGGCTCATAGGCAGAAGTGGCTCTGTTATATAATCTACTGTGAGCTTCTTAGGAGCATATATGCCTAGAAGTCCACAGAGCTTATGACTCTATAGCTCTAGGGTAGAAAGCAGTCCTTAAGCTTTTTAAAAACTCTCTCCTTAATAAACAACTGAAAAAATGAGGGAGGGATGAGAGTAGAAGAATTAAGGCATTTGTTACAGTGACACCACCATTAACCCAAAGGGTTTCCTCCATCTCTCATAGTCCTATACTGTTTACTTAATGGACTTTTGGCTTAAATTCAGTTACACAAAAACAATATATGTAATCTTACCTAGAGAATCCATTTAAAGATTATAAAGCTTATTACCATCTTATTTGAATCCTCTGAATCTGGATTACTTTAAAGATAACTTTATTATTTTCCTACATTAAATAAGAGTTGTTGTATTTAGAATTAAGTCTCGCCAAAGCTGTGAAATTTGCTAAGGTGAACATCACAACTTTTTTCCTGACAAAACACTTAGCAGAAAAATATGCTAAACAAATGCTATAAAACTCTTCAATCTATGGAACTTCAAGAAACTAGACAGCTGTAAATTGTTGAGTCAGAAGTATTTTCAAAGTGAATTATTTCATGAACTACATAAGAGAAATCAATATTGAAAAATCCAAGTGTATCTTTTTATTTGTGTTTTAATCTATTAAGAGTCTTTCGGCCAGGCACGGTGACTCATGCCTGTAATCCTAGCACTTTGGGAAACTGAGGCGGGTGTATCACGAGGTCAGGAGTTCAAAACCAGCCTGATCAACACGGTGAAATCCCATCTCTACTAAAAATACAAAAATTAGGCAGGCGTGGTGGCATGCACCTGTAATCCCAGCTACTCAGGAGGCTGAGGCAGGAGAATTGCTTGGACCCAGGAGACGGAGGTTGAGTGAGCCCAGATCGTGCCACTCCACTCCAGCCTGGGCAACAGAGCGAGACTCCATCTCAAAAAGAGTCTTTCCATCTGTAAATTGAAACCAATTCCATTTAAGCTACTAACTTTATATTAACTTAACCAGGGACTTGTGTTCTTTTGTCTTTTATTCCTCTATATAAATAAAGGTTTCACCATTTATCAATAAAAATTTATAAGCCACAATCATCTATAGTTTCATTTTTCTTAAAGCAAATATATTGCACAGAAATCCTACAAGGTTTATGCTTTTATAAATAATGCTTGTTCTTCTCATTCTCTGGAAGATCCTGAAAAAAGCTACCTTGTACACAAAGCTATAAAGAGAAAGTAAAAACAACTAGTATTCTCAACAATCTTAGCTATGAACTGCCAATCATTTGATATATTCCCCTAAAAAACACATACGCAGACATATTAACTTAAAAAAATTAAATGAGACTCACACTGAAGATCATTTTACTTATCCTCAATTAATATTAGGATTTTCTTTCTTACATTGTTACATATTCTTCAAAAACACTTATCTTAATAAATGTACCATAATTTGCAATTAGACCAGTTTTTTATTTTGTTACTATAACTGTGCATTTTAATGAATTTGTTCCACATTCTCATTATTTCCTTGGGATAGATTACTATAAGAGAAACCATCAACCAAAATAAACAATTTCTTCCTTTCTTGAAACATATTCACAAACTTTTTTCTAAGGAAAAGTTATACCAATTTGTATTCCCACTTGCAGTGTTCGGGGTACTATGGTGCAACACTTGTAGACATCAGATTTCATTGGTATACAATGATTCTTTGGTCCAGGCATGGTGGCTCATGCCTGTAATCCCAGCACTTTGGGAGGCCGAGACAGGTGGATCACAAGGTCAGGAGATCGAGACCATCCTGGCCAATATGGTGAAACCCCATCTCTACTAAAAATACAAAAATTAGCCAGGTGTGGTGGCGTGCGCCTGTAGTCCCAGCTACTCGGGAGGCTGAGGCAGGAGAATTGCTTGAACCCGGGAGGCGGAGGTTGCAGTGAACCAAGATCGCACCACTGCACTCCAGCCTGGGAACAGAGCGAGACTCTGTCTCAAAAAATAAAAATAAATAAAATAAAATAAAATAAAATAAAAAAGGTTCCTTGTTTCAATTTGCACTTCTCTGATTACTGGTAAGGATCAATATGTTTTAATGGTTTATTGTTCTTATATAGTTTTTTCCTTTCCTATGAGTTTACTGGAAGCAATATAATGATTAACCAATAATAATTCTAGCACCATCTACTGAATAACACTTAATTTTCCAAGCAATGTTTGAGGGTACTTTTTATAAAATCATCATAATAGTTCTATAAACATTAATTTCATTTATTGATTTATTTTTCAAATCTATCGTCAGTGGCATATTTTTAAAATTACATAAGTCTTAGCATTTAGGAAGGAAAATCCCCCTCATTATTTATATCTTTAAGATATCCTGGCCATTCTAGCTTTATTCTTCAGATTATATTTAAAATCACTTATAAAGAAAGATCAAAGACCTAGATTAGTGAATTCTGCTATCCCCCCAGCAAAAGCTCCCCAAAGACATACAATGTGTTTTTGATCACAATAGCATTATACCTAGAGAGTAATTCAGAAAGAGTAATATCCTTAAAACATTCAGTCTTCTCTTTTAGGAACTGTTTAAATTTACCCAAGTGGACTTTAATGGATTTCAAAGTTTATTCACACAGTTCCCACGTACTTATTATCTTACTTTTTTCTTGTCATTATGAAAAGGATTTTTCTTTTACTTCCTAACTGCTGCTGCTGAAACAAATGAAGAATGTATTTACATATGTTTGTATATAAAATTTAATTTTGTATACAGCTTTCAGGAGAAAGTGTAGGTCCATCTATCTTCAGGTTGTTATGTTCTCTGGTAGACTCACTACTTTGCGTCCACTTCCCAATATCCTTTAAGTAATTTCTTTTAAAGGAGTTGTGGAAGGTGGTAGGGAGAAGCAGAAAGAAAAAGAGCTATAGAAACTACCAATGCTGCCAGGCGCAGTGGCTCATGCTGTTAATCCCAGCACTTTGGGACACCGAGGCAGTGGATCACTTGAGGTCAGGAGTTTGAGACCAGCCTGGCCGACATGGTGAAACCCCATCTCTACCAAAAATACAAAAAAACTACCCAGGCATGGTAGTGTGCACCTGTAGTCCCAGCTACTCAGGAAGCTGATGCAGAAGAATCACTTGAACCTGGGAGGCGGAAGTTGCAGTGAACCAAGATGACACCACTGCACTCTAGCCTGGGAAACAGAGCAAGACTCCATCTCAAAGAAAAAAAAAAAAAAAAATACCAGTGCTTTGTGGTGTCACCATCCATCACCCAAAACAGGGGAGGAAATACAATACTAAATGGGCTGAGATATTTTCCAACAGGAAAAGCTTTAATAATAATATTATAAATAATATTTGTCATAATTTGTAATAATAGTAAAAGCTTTACAAATATACACTTTTATTATCTAATAGGAGCCTTTATTATGTTTTCTAGGAAGGGCTATAAAGTATCTAAAATACATTTTCAAATATGGAGTTTGTCTAGCCCATTTTGTGCTGCTATAATAAAATTCCTGAGAGTAAGTCATTTATAAATAACAGAAGCTTATTTTCTCACAGTCTGGAACCTGGAATTCCACAATCATGGCAACAGCATTCGGTGTCTGGTGAAGGCCTTCTTGCTGCGCTCTCACATGGCAGAAGGCAGAGAAGGGCAAGTAAGCTAGCCTAACCCTACACCAAGCCCCTTTTTTAATTCCATTAAGGAGGAAGGAGTCCTTATGGCCTAATCACCTCTTAAAAGGCCCCACCTCTTAATACTATCACATTGGCAACACCTGAATTTTGGAGAGGACCCATTCAAAGCACAGCAGTTTACTCTACGCTTTTCTCCACAATTTAAAGTAGCTCTCTCTCAAAGCCACTAGAAATGCTTTAGGAAGTTATTCGGGTTGAAGGGAAATGACAGTATAAAAACACTGCTGAGAGAAAGTAAAAACTAATACAGGTGAGATAAACTATGTAAACTGAAATACCACTACTGACGTGGCAATTCTTTCCAAATTAATCGAAGTTTCAATACAATCCTAATCAAAATCCTCAAAGGTTTTTTCAAGAATTGGTAAGGTGATTATAATCTTTATAAACTTTATAAAGAAAGATCAAAGACCTAGATTAGCAAAACAAGTTTGAAAAACTAAAAAACTGGAAGACTCATACTACTAGATTTCTACATTTAAAGATATAATAAAGACACTGTGGTACTGGTGTAAGGACAGACATATAGATCAATGGCATACAACACAGGCACACCTCACTTTATTGCACTTGGCAGATACCGTGTCTTTCACAAATTAAAGGTTTGGGGCAACCCTGTGTCGACCAAGTCTAGTGGTGCCATTTTCCCAAGAGCATATGGTGACACCACTTGGTGTCACATTTTTGTAATATTTGCAATATTTCAATCTTTTTAATGGTTACTATTCACAGTGGTGATTCCTAATTAGTGATTTTTTATGTTACTGTAGTGAATTATTTTGAGGTCCCACACACTGCACCTGTATAAGATGGTGAACTAAATTGATAAATGTTAGGTGTGTTCTGATCCACTGAACACCTGTTCCCTTGTCTTTCTCCCTCTCCTTCGACCTCCTATTCCCTGAGACACAATATAGAAATTAGGCCAGTTAATATACTTTACAATGACCTCTAGTGTTCAAGTGAAAGGAAGAGTTGCATGTCTCTCACTTTAAATCAAAAGCTTGAGCTTTTGATTTAAATGATTGAGCTTAGTGAGGAAGGCATGCTGAAAGCTGACAGGTCAAAACATAGGTCTCTAATGTCAGTTAGCCAACTTGTGGATGTAAAGGAAAAAGTTCTTAAGGAAAATTAGATGTGCTACTCCAGTGAACACAAAAATGACAAAGTAAAACAGCTTTATTGCTTATATGGAGAAAGTCTGAGTGGTCTGGATAGAAGATCAAACCAGCCACAACATTCTCTTAAGCCAAAGCCTAATCCAGAGCAAGGCTCTAACTCTCTTCAATTCTATGAAGGCTGAGAGGTGAGGAAGCTGCAGAAGAAAAGCTGGAAGCTAGCCGAGGTTGGCTTATGAGGTTTAAGGAAAAGAAGTCATCTCTGTAACAACAAAAGTGCAAGGTGAAGTGGCAAGTGCTGATACAGAAGCTGCACCAAGTTATACAGAAGATCACTCTAAGATCACTGATGAAGGTGGCTACACAAAACAACAGATTTTCAATGTAGACAAAAAGGCCTCATACTGGAAGATGTCAGCAAGGACTTTCATAGTGAGAGAGGACAAGTCAATGCCTGGCTTCAAAGCTTCAAGAACAGGTTGATGAGATTGTTAGAGTCTAATGCAGTGGTGACCAAAGTTGAAGCCAGTGCTCATTTACGATTCCCCAAATTCGAGGGCCCTTAAGAATTATGCTAACTCTACATTGCCTGTACTCTATAAACAGAACAACAAAGCCTGGATGACAACACATGTGTTTATATTATGGTTTACTGAATATTTTAAGTCCCCAGTTAAGACATACTGCTCAGAAAGAAAAAAATAAAGATTCCTTTAAAAATATTACTGCTCACTGACAATCCACCTGGTCATTCAAGAGCTCTGATGGAGATGTACAAGGAGATTAATGTTGTTTTCATGCCTACTAACACAATACCCATTCTGCAGCCCATGTATCCAAGAGTAATACTGACTTTCAAGTCTTGTTACTTAAGAAATACATTTCGCAAGGTTATAGCTGCCATAGCTGGTGATTCCTCTGAAGGATCTAGGCAAAGTAAATTAAAAACTTTCCGGAAAAGATTTGCCATTCTAGATGCCATTAAGAACATTCGTGATTCAAGAGAGAAGAACAAAATATAAATATTAACAAGAGTTTTGAAGAAGCTGATTCAAACCCTCACAGATGACTTGGAGAAGTTCAAGACATCAGTGGAGGAAGGACCTGCAGATATGGTGGAAATGGTAAGAGAACTTGAAGTGGAGCCTTAAGATGTAACTTAATTGCTGCAATCTCGTGACAAAACTTGAAAGGGTGAAGAGTTGCTTGTTATGGATGAGAAAACAAAACAGTGGTTTATTTTTTTTTAAATGAGTCTACATCATGTTTTGAAGAAAGTGGTTTCTTACGATGGAATCTACTCCTGGTGAAGATGCTGTCAACATTGTTGAAATAACAACAAAGGATATAGAATATTAAGCAAACTTAGTTGATACAGCAGCAATGGGGTTTGAGAGAACTGGCTCCAATTTTGAAAGAAGTTCTACTACGGGTAAAATGCAAACAGCCTCACATGCTACAGAGAAATCTTTCCTGAAAAGAAGTTAATCCATGCAGCAAACTTCATTGTTGTCTTCTTTCAAGAAATTGCCACAGCCACCCCAACTTTCAGCAACCACCAACTTGATCAGTTGGCAGCAGTCAACATCAAGACAAGACCTTTCACCAGCAAAAAGATTCCAATTTACTGAAGGCTCACATAATTGTTAGCAATTTTCAACAACAAAGCATTTCTTAGGTTATATACATTGTTTCTTTATATATAATGCTATTGCACACTTAACAGACTACAATATAAACATAACTTTTATATGCACTGGGAAACCAAAAAAATAATGTGACTTGCTTTATTGTGACATTCGCTTTATTATGATGGTCTGGAACCCAATCCACATTATCTCTCAGGTATGTCTGTAGGGTCCAGAAATATACCAACATGTATATGGTCAAATGACCAAACAAAGATGTCAAGGTAATTCAATGTGGCAAAAGACAGTCTTTTCAACAAATGGTGCTAGAACAAATGGATTTTCTTTTGGAATATAAAACCTCAACTCCTACCTCACACCATATAGAAAAATTAAATAGAAATGGATCAGAGATCAAAATATAACAGTTACTACTAAACTTTTAGAAGAAAACATGAGATTTTCTTTTGCATTTGGTATAGGCAAAGATTTTTTTGAACAGGACATTAAAAAACATAAATTTTAAGAGAAAAAGATTGATAAACTTCATTGAGATAAAAAAAAAACTGCTTTTCAAATGACGCAAAGAAAAAGACAAGCCTCAGAGAAAATATTTGTATAACATACCTGACCAAAGGGTTTATACAAAATATATAAAGAATTATTATAACTTATAATAATGTTTTCTAAAATTGGTAAAAGATTCAAACAAACACATCACATAAAATATATAGATGGACAGGATGCTCAACCTCACCAGTATCAGGGAAATAAAAATTAAAACCAAAATGAGATACCACTACACACACCCACTAGAATGGCTTATGTTAAAAAGACTGATGATACCAAATGTTGGTAAGACGAGGAACACTGGAACTCTCATACACTGCTGATGGAAACACAAAATGGTTCAGTCACTTTGGTAAACCGTATCATAATATAACGTTAAACATATATTTACAATACCACTCAGCAATTCCAACTCTAGGTATTGATCCCAAAGAAATCAAACAATATGTCCACAAAAAGATGTACACAATTAAGTCATAATAATCAACATCTGGAAACAACTCAAAAGTCCATAAAAAAGTGAAATGATAAACAAACTGTAGCATATCCATGCTATGGAGAACTACTCAGCAATAAAAAGGAACAAAAGCTTATATACAAAAACAAAAATAAAACCCAAAAAATTATGCTAACAAAAAGAAGTCAAACATAAAAAAACTATGTATTTTATGATTCCTATTATATAAAATTCTAGAAAAGGTAAAACTCATAATTGTGCAGGTCTGGGAGTCTGGGAAGGGGACTGACTATAAAGGGCACATACAAACTTCTTAGGGTGAGGGAAATGTCCTGTGTCTCTCACTATGCTGGTTAGACAACTGTATACATTTACCAAAATTCATCCAAATGTACTCTTTGGATGAATTTTATTGTACATAAATACTATCTCAGTGCCTAAATATCATTAAAAATAGGTTCAGGGTATTAAAGATACTGAATATATCACTGACTTTCAACTCTTGAACTAATCACTTGAAATCAAAGAAATGATTTTTGCTTGTTATTTGTGTCACAAAGATATGTCACAAAGATATGTGATTATTTTCAAAACTTCACTTGACTATCTTTCCCCTAAAAAGCAAGCATACATTTAAGTTGAAAACCTATGTATTTTACTTTCCATAAATTTCTTTGCACAATATTCTGAAAGGATATGCTGTTAGTGGCTATGAGTTAACGACATTTCAGTATTTTTGCTACCACCAAAAAATGCAAACCAAGATAAGGAGGCTACTGCCCAATGGCTGATGTTTGTGAATGAAGCTGTATGCAGATGGGCAAAAAAGGGGGTATGTGTATCAACAATTCCTCACCAAAGGAACCAGATCTCTTTAGAAAAATGGATTCCATTGTTAGAGCAGGAAAAGGACAAGATGAATTTAGAACATCTTGTAACAGAATTTAAGAGGTGCTCATAAAAAGCCTGGGACATGTCAAAAGGACACAGGAGGTGGCCTGAAAGGGGCTTCCACTGACCAAATATGAAACATTAACAGAAAACTTATTGCATAGAATAAGAATCCTGACTTCAAACTGATACAGGAAAGGGACAGGTCTTCCTCAAAGTATAAAGCTAACTAAAAAATACAGAAGAAAAAAAGGGGTTAAGAAATTACCATTTTCCATCTATCAGAGCAACTGATTTAGGCAAGAAACTATCACTGATACTAAAACTAAAATGGATCAAAGTTTGATAAGATGTTTATACAGCCTCAAAGTATCTCCCCACAAATAACTTATTTATTATAAAGGGGAAAATAGTAATATTTCAGTGGAGAAACCTGGCAGACATCAACTCACCAAGTGATCAAAGTTAACATCACACATACACACACAAAAATAAAATAAAATAAAATAAGTAAAAACAAAGTTAACATCACCTGATTAAACTGGCATTGTATGCTTCATGATATGATGCATAAAGGAGGATATATCACTTATTTAATAATTTATCACTTATTTAATATTATGAACTTAATCATAAAGAAACATCAGAAAAACCTAAATTAAGAGAAATTCTACAAAATAAATGTTCCATCCTATTAAAAAATGTCATTGTCATTAAAAATAAATAAAAGGGCTGGGCCCAGTGGCCATGCCTGTAATCCCAACACTTTGGGAGGCCGAGGCAGGTGATCACCTGAGATCAGGAGTTCAAGACCAGCCTGGCCAACATGGTGAAACCCTGTCTCTACTAAAAATACAAAAATTAGCTGAGCGTGGTGGTGCACACCTGTAATCCCAGCTACTCAGGAGGCTGAGGCAGGAGAACCACTTGAACCCGGGACGCGGAGGTTGCTGTGAGCCCAGATTGCACCACCGTACTTCAGCCTGGGCAACAGTGAAGCTCCATCTCAAAAAATAAATAAATAAATAAAAATGAAAATAAATAAATAAAATAAATAAATAAATAAATGGTTGAGGAACCATTCTAGACTAAAGGAGACTAAAGAGTAGTGGAAATCAAATTTAATGAGTGATGCTAAATTGGATTTTAAACTAAGAAGGGAGAATATAAAGGTCACTGGGATAATCGGTAAAATTTGAGTAAGATTCATATATTAGGTAATATTATATCAGGGTTAACTTTCCTGACTTTGGAAACTATATAGTGTGGTTCAGTAAGCAGATATCCTTGTTCTTAGGATAAAGGGAAATACACACTGAAATATTTAAGAGTAAAGAGGTCTGAGGGGTGTGATGTCCACAACTTATTTTCATATGGCTCAAGAAAATGCCTGCGTTGTAAGTAGTAATTATGACAAAGAACAAAAATGACTAAATAATAAGGCAAATATGGCAAAATAACAATTGGTGAATCTCGGTGAAGGGTATATAGGTATTTTTGTACTAGTCCTGCAACTTTTCTGTAAGTGTGAAATTACTTCAAAATAAAAAATTTTTTAATGTGGCTGGGCGCAGTAGCTCACATCTATAATCCCAGCACTTTGGGAGGCTGAGGCGGGTGGATCACTTGAACTCAGGACTTTGAGACCAGCCTGGGCAACATGGCAAAACCCCATCTCTACAAAAAATACAAAAAACAAACAAACAAACAAACAAACAAACAAACAAAAACAAATTGGCTGGGCGTAGAGGCACACGCCTGCAGTCCCAGCTACTTGTGGGGCTGAGGCTGGAGGATGACTTGAGCCCAGGAGGTTGAAGCTGCAGCGAGCCGAGATCACGTCACTGCACTCCAGCCTGGGTAACAAAGTGAAACTGTCTCAAAATAAAAGTAAGGTGGACAAAGATGGAGCCCTACTTTTCTCCCACAAGCCAGTTTCCTTTGTTTCTCCTCCACCTTCTCCTCCATAATCCCAGCCGTCCTGCCATTAACTTATATTTGCTTGTGGTACAGGTACTGGTACCTGATTTGAGGATGAAGAGAAAGAGAATAAAAGCAGCATATGGAAGTGAATGACTTTCAGACTTCTCTTAATATCTCGAGAACCTGGTGAAGATATTAAAAACAGAGTACACAATTTTCTGTCAAGGGCCGGAGAGTAAATATTTTAGGTTTTACAGGCCAGATAGAGTCTCTGTTGCTTACTCTGAGTTGCTTACAACTCTTTAGCTTGTGGGTATTATAAAAACAGCCTGTGGGCTAGATTTAGTGACAAGTCTTAGTTTGCTGACCCCTGATAAAGAGAACTGTTAAGATTCCTCCAAGAACTGTAACAGAAATAGCTCCAATGGTCCCTGAAATAGCAAAGATATCACTGAATAAACAAAGCTACAAAATTATGTCAGCATGGAATCTAGTCCTTAAGGCAATAAATAGTTAATATGGTTAAATTTTTAACAATAAAGATGAACATTTCCGAAAGTTTCTTTTGTAGCTCTAATATCTGTCACCTTGTGAGTTTAGATGTGTTTTGGGTGATAAGATTAAAGGAGGAGGATGCTTACTTACATAGTGTTACTTATTTTCTATTTGAGAGGTAAGACCTCAAGAGAGGAAACAGAGGATACAATGCAGTTTCAATAGGAAAGGGTAGGATGGCCTAGACTGCAGAAGTGTGACAATAGGATGACATTTTAATGCCACCCCTGTCTAAACTCAGTGCTTGGATTCTCCAAATTTAGGTAATATTGTTTTAAATTCATACTATAGGATAGAGAAAATTTGGGAATTAAAAGCGTGTGAACACATGCAGGTTTTGTAATAATTATGTTAGCAAAGACTCCCCGAATAGACAGATCATGGGCCTACAGCTACAGCCATATCTGCTACTGACATTTCAAGCAATGAGCTAAAAAGAGCTGACATGATGCAACTCATTGATTTAAATGCCACTTTCCTACATCTTATTACTTTAAATGCCAACAAGTCTTAGGGGAAATGTCTCCACCATTTAAATGTCCATACACTTTAAGGTCAATTATCTAACAGAAAACCTTACTTTGCTTAAATTATTGCTTTTTACATAAAGTATGAATTGTGCTTAATATAATCTTTGCCATATGTCAACGTTACCACTGACTGTTAAGCAGACTATCAAGTTAATGAATAGAAAACCAAAAAGTTTGACACTAGACACACTTGAAGAGTTAAATACGGCATTCAAAATGTACAAACCTACCACAAATGACTCTTGTCAATATATATATTACTGCTCATAGAAATTAAGCCTAAAGGGTAAGCAGCAAATGGCTATTATTACTATTACACTAGTTAATTGACCAGTATCTATAATCAGCATTTGCTGTTGATAGTTTTATCCATTATACATGTATAGTTTTTAACAACATTAAACGAAAAAAGCAAACCACCCCCACAGACAATAGCAAGCATTTCTTTATGCCTCTATTGGTTGGAAATTCAAAGTTTATACTACTCCCAATATTCATGCTCAGCCCAATCTCAATCAGAAGGTTCCCTGAATTTCAATCTGCTCTTCATAATGACTTTGGCTAAGACTATTACAAATGCAAGAATATCCAACTGCATATTTGAGGCAATCGCATTATAAAGCCTGGTTGAGAGTAATTTTGCCATTTTCTAAATTCCTATAGGACTTTCTACTATTCTGACAGCAATAGTCATTAACTTGTGTATTTACTTCTATTTTTAATCTCCTCCAACAGACTGTAAATTCCTTGAAAATAATATCTGTGGCCAAAACTTCTTTCTTTCACTTATAGCATCTTTATTGATCCCACAGTGGCTGGTCCTTCTGATGTAGGAAGAACGAAATATATAGTTGTTGATTTTAAATTTAGAAAAAAAAAACTTAGGAAATTTTATTTTTAAAAATATATAAGAAATAAAAAGGCAAAGACTTAATATTGCCAGCTGATACAATCCAAAATGATCTACACATTTAATGCAATCCTTATCAAAATCCCAATGGCATTTCTGGCAGAAAAAACATCCACCCTGAAGTTTCAAGAGATCCCAAATTGCCAAAACAATATTGAAAAAGAAAAACATTCTGGGTTTGACACCTCCTGATTTCAAAACTTATTACAAAGCTACAGTAATCCCTCCCAGAATGTGGTGCTAGTAGACATTCAGACAGACACATAGACTAATGAAACAGAAATAGATAGTCCAGAAATAAACGCTCAGATGTGGTCAGATGATTTCCTACAAGGGTACCAACACGATTCAATGGGAGAAACAATTCTTCTCAGCAACTGGTGTTGGGAAATGTGGTCATCCACATGCTGCTAATGAAGCTGGGCTGGGGGCCGTGGCTTACACCAGTAATCCTCGCTCTTTGGGAGGCCAAGGCAGGTGGATCACTTGAGGCCAGGAGTTTGAGACCAGCCTGGCCAACATGGTAAAACCCCATCGCTACTAAAAATACAAAAAAATTAGCCAGGTGTGATGGCATGCATCTGTAATCCCAGCTACTCTTATGGCTGAAGCACAAGAATCGCTTGGATCCAGGATGCGGAGGTTGTGGTGAGCCAAGATTGTGCCACTGTACTCCAGCCTGGGAGATAGAGCGAAACTCCGTCTCCAAAAAATAAAAATTAAAATTAAATAAAGAATGAAGCTGGATCCTTGCCGTACACCGTATATAAAAATTTACTCAAAATAGATTGAAGACCTAATTGTAAGAGCTAAAACTATAAAACTTTTAGAAGAAAACAGGGTTCGGAAAGCTTCACGACACTGGATCTGGCAATGATTTTCTGTATACAACTCCAAAAGAACAGACAACAAAAGTAAAAATAGATAAATTGAATTAAATCAAATTTTTAAATTTTGTGCATCAAAGGACACAACAGAGTGAAAAAATAAATTATAAAATGGGAGATAATTTGCAAATTATATATCTGATATGGGGTTAATATTAAGAACATATAGGCTGGGGGTGGTGGCTCACACCTGTAATCCCAGCACTTTGGGAGGCCAAGGAGGAAGGACAGCATGAGCCTAGGAGTTCTAGGATTCTAAGAGTTCTTGAGTCTAGGAGTTCAAGACCAGCCTGGGCAACATGACAAGGCCCCATCTCCACAAAAAATTTAAAAATTAGCCAGGTGTGGTGGCAAGTGCCTGTGGTCTCAGCTGCTTGGGAGGCTGAGGCAGGAGGATTACATGTGCCCGGGAGGTCACGGCTGCAGCAAGCAGTGTTTGCACCATTGTACTCCAGCCTGGGCAACAGAGTAACATCCTGTCTCCCGCCCACCACCCCCCCACCGCGCGTGTGTGTGTGTGTGTGTGTGTGTGTGTGTGTGTGTGTGTATACATATATACACATATATATGAACATATATACATATATACACACATATATGAACATATATACACATATATGAATATATACATATATACATATATACACATATATACACATATATGAATGTACATACATATATACACATATATGAATATACATACATATATACACATATATATGAATATACATACATATATACACATATATATGAATATACATACATATATACACATATATCTGAATATACATACATATATACACATATATATGAATATACATATATATACACATATATGAATATACATATATATACACATATATACACATATATATGAATATATATACATATATACACATATATACACATATATATATGAATGAAGAACTACAATTTAACAAGAAACAACCGAATTCAAAAATGGGCAAAGAACTTGAACAAGACATTTCTTTAAACATGATATACAAATGACCAACAATCACATGAAAAGCTGTTCAGCACTATGAATCACTAGGGAACTGCAAACCAAAACCACAACGAGATACTACTTCACGTTCATTAGCATGGCTACTATTAAAAAAAAAAATACACCCACGGAAGAAAACAAATGAGGGCAACAATGCGGAAAAATTGGAACCCTTTAGCCTTGCTGGTAGCACTGTAAAATGATGCAGCTGATGTGGCAAAGTCTGATAATTTCTCAAAAACTTAAAAACAGGATTACCATATGATCCAACAATTCCATTTCTAGGTATACACAAAAAAGAACTGAAAGCAGGATCTCAAAGAGGTATCTGTATACCCATGTTCATAGCAGAATTATTTATAACAGCTAAGAGGTGAAAGCAAACCAAGGGTCCACTGATGGATGGATGAACAAAATGGGATATATACATAAGTGGAATATTGTTCTGCTTTAAAAAGGAAGGAATTCTGACACATACAACAATATAGAAAAACATAAGGACACTATCTTAGGCAATACAAGTCAGTCACAAAACGACAAATACTATATGATTCTACTTATATATCTGGAATAAGCAAACTCATTGAGACAAAAAGTAGAACAGTGGTTGCCAGGGGCTAAAGAGAGGAGGAAATGGGAGAGTTACTGTTTAATGGACAAAGAGTTTCCATTTTACAAGATGAAGAGAGTTCTGGAGACTGGTTGCACAACAATGCAAGTACTTAACTACTCATCTTGTACACCTAAATATGGTTAAGATAGTAAATGTTATGTATATTTTACCGTAATTTAAAAAAATAAAAAGATACAATCCATGAAGAAAATGCAAATAATTTCAAAAAAGATGGAGACCTAATAAAAGGGGAAGGGGGGAAGAGAAGCAGAACAAATACAAGCTTTCATAATTGAGGGGAAAGAACAAAGAAAGTCTAATGTGCAAATACCAGTTCATAAGAAAGGAAAGAAAAAAGTGAGACCTACACTCATGGGCAGAAAGAAAGAAAATACTGACTCTATTAAGACATTCAAATGAAACACTGAGGCTCTATGGAACTCTAACCCTAATTTTTATATAAGTAGGCATATTCTAAACTTACTCAGATCACTGATTAATTCTAAGAATCTCCTTAAGCAAGCTATCGAAAACAGATTTTCAGAGAATCATATAATTTTACAGTTGAAAGGTACCTCAATGTGTATACATTTCAACTGCCTCATGGTTTTTACACTGACAAAATATAAAATACAAAAATAAGATTTTGTTTAATATCTAGACTTCAGTAGTTTTTTATACTTAACGCACTGCTAGAGATAACGAAATCTTATTACTTTTCTTGAAACTTTACCTTTTTTGTTGCTGATGTAACTAGAAAACTTTGAGCAGTGCTGCAGATGAGAGAAGTACAGTTACTACGGCCTATTCCACCTTACTATTGTGTTAAACAATGCTTTCATATCTAACAGTTTCTCACCAGTCACTGCTCTCACTGTGAGGGCAAAGTCAGTTGGCCACGGTTCTTATATTCAGGCATTCATGCCTGATTTAATTCCTACCAACTGTAACTCCTGAAGTTACACTGACTGTATTCTAATTCCAGTAGGAATCTCCTACCAATGTCCAGTAACTAATACCTTGTTGGTTCTCTTACAATCTTGCCTTTTCCAACTGTTCCCTCCTTTTAATTTCTTCATCTCAGCTTCTTCTATGAGTATAGTACTTAAGCTTCTCCCTTTAGCTCTCAAAATCTTTACTTAAATCCTTTGCCTATTCTTCTATGGTGCTGTTTTCATCATTCCTTTCACTGACAACTTTTCAAGCCAGTAGCGTGTATTCATTTCTTAACTCCCACCAACACCCACATATTCATCAATGCTGTCAGACTTATAGTCTGTCCCTCACAACCAGAATTCTTGAGAACCTATTCTCTCAAAGCCCATTGTAGTATGTTTGGAGGGTACTTGCTCAACCCATCTGAGGTCCATTCTGGGAAATGGTACAGGAGTCCACATTAGTTTGACAAACATGACAACCCATCCCCCCTGTCATTATAGAGTATGGGGCCAGGAAGACAACTGATGCAAAATGGGTAACTCATTTATTTTATGACTCTATCTTATTTTTAATCTGATTCTTACTTCCTAAAATGAAGGTCTTCTATAAAACTCAGTATTTTGTGCTTTACTCCTTAGAAACTTCGTTTGCTCAAATAATCCAATCATGTTTTCAGAAACCCTCTCCAATATATCTTCACCCCAGACCTTTTATTTCAACTCATTTCCCACAACCCTGTCTACTGGACACTTCCAATTAAATGTTCACTCTCACCTCAAAATGCTTTGAGCTATCTCCATTCTCTCCTCATAAAACTGGCCACTGCACCAAAACTTTCCCTTCTCTCTTCTTGACTTCTAATTGACTTTTAATTTCATGCCAAGCCATCTGGGATGGAAGCCTAACGTCAGTATCACTTTCCTCTCCCTTATTTATATATTTACGTAATCACTAAGCTTCGACAACTCTTTATTCCAGATTCTCTACGCACATCTCTTCCTTATGCATCTTCACAGCCATGACTCTA
The DNA here is from genome assembly GCF_000001405.40 of Homo sapiens. Classification (NCBI taxonomy): domain Eukaryota; kingdom Metazoa; phylum Chordata; class Mammalia; order Primates; family Hominidae; genus Homo; species Homo sapiens. Next base: position 96,917,713 of record NC_000010.11, on the reverse strand, counting down.
GAACAGTTTCATTTTGTGAATTATTATAAGACCCTCCCATAATTTTCTCGCTGTAAATCCTTCTGTACTACATCCTAAAAACAATTACCAAACCAACCACTCTAAAACACACACAGATCCTTTTAAAGTTCAGTTTGAGTTCTAACTTCTAGATTAAGCAACTCCAGTGTCATCTACTGCACCTCTCAAACTGCTACAGTACTTATATTTTCTTGTATTAGCTACTATCTCTAAAATACTACATATGGGAATGAGCATGGGATTTTACTTTTAATGTTCCCTGCATATATGAGAATTCTGGTTCTGGATGCACAGCATGGATGATTTAAAACTCCTTATAGATTACAAGTCTAATTGCTTTTGCCACTCATAGTTTCCCCAATATTCCACAAGCCAAGAGGGGACCAGGTCTTTTACTTCTCTGTTATCTTCTCTGGCCAAACACAGAACCACACATTTAATAAACCTGCCAAATGATTAGTCTATTCATTGACTCTGACCACATAAAACTGAACAGAGCAGTCACCAATTAATGATTTCTCCTTGCCTGTGTTTTTTGCAAACAACTCTACGAACTGGGAGACAAAAAATAAACTCTTTGATATTTCATGGAATCTCTTACTGAGCACTGATTCATATCAAGCAGTTTTAATCCTAAATAATCTATACCAAACGTCTCTGGAAATTTAACAAGGTTAGACCCAGCAATTTAGATTTGTACAATTAACTGAGCACCTAATTAACACGTATTAATTTGTGATATCTATTTCACTCTGCATTCTATTAAATCTCACATAGAGGCTGGGCACAGTGGCTCACGCCTGTAATCCCAGCACTTTGGGAAGCCAAGGCAGGCAGATCACTTGAGGTCAGGAGTTCAAGACCAGCCCGACCAACATGGTGAAACCCCATCTCTACTAAAAATACAAAAATTAGCTGGGTGGGGTGGCGTGCGCCTGTAGTCCCAGCTACTCAGGAGGTTGAGGCACGAGAATTGCTTGAACCCAGGAGGTGAGGGTTGCAGCGAGCTGAGATCGTGCCACCGTACTCCAGCTTGGGAGACAGAGCAAGACTCCGTCTCAAAAAAATAAATAATCATATATATAGATATATATATATATATATAGCCTTTAAATATCTCATATGTGTTTCTTTCTCACTCTTGATAGAAACTATATTGAAATTTTTTCTTCCATAGTTCCTTTTATATCACAGGTAAATACTTATTGATTTGTAGTATTCTGGTGTAAGATGACAGGCAAGTCACATTGAGCAGGTTTGAATATGCCCAAAGTATTCAACATAAATACATGTTGAAGAATACAATATAAAAGTAACAACTAGATTTATCATCTGCTTGCTGTTAATATAAACTTTCAAGGGGGCCGGGTGTGGTGGCTCACGCCTGTAATCCCAGCACTTTGGGAGGCCGAGGTGGGCGGATCACGAGGTCAGGAGACTGAGACCATCCTGGCTAACAAGGTGAAACCCCATCTCTACTAAAAATACAAAAAGTTAGACGGGAGTGGTGGCGGGCACCTGTAGTCCCAGCTACTCAGGAGGCTGAGGCAGGAGAATTGGGTGAACCCGGGAGGCGGAGCTTGCAGTGAGCCCAGATTGCGCCACTGCACTCCAGCCTGGGCAACAGAACGAGACTCCGTCTCTAAATAAATAAATAAATAAATGAATAAATAAAAACTTTCAATGGGAACAGTGTGAAGAAGAGGTGAGAATGACCCTTGGACTACCAAAGGCCACGCACCACTGCATCCTGCGCCTAGCACCTACATCCTGCCGCCGTCGCTGCCAATATGCCTAGAGAAAGGCTGAAGGGGATGCTAAAGGAGATAATGCCAAGTTAAAGGACTAACCACAGAGAAGATCTGCAAGGTTGTCTGCTAACCCTGCTCCTCCAAAGCCAGAGCCCAAGCTTCAAAAGGGCCCTGCAAAGGAGGGAGAGAAGGTACCCAAAGGGAAAAAGGAAAAAGCTGATGCTGGCAAGGAGGTGAATAACCCTGTAGAAAATGGGAAATGCCAAATCAGACCAGGCACAGAAAGCTGAAGGTGCTGCAGATGCCGAGTGAAGTGTGTGCATTTTTGATAACTGTGTACTTCTGGTGACTGTATAGTTTGAAATTCTATTTTTTACCAAGTTTCATAAAAATGCAGAATTTTGTTTTATTTATTTATTTAGGAGACGGAGTCTCACTCTCTCCCCAGGCTGGAGTGCAGTGGCGCAATCTCGGCTGACTGCAACCTCCGCCTCCTGGGTTCAAGTGATTCTCCTGCCTCAGCCTCCCAAGTAGCTGGGACTACAGGCGCACGTCACCACGCCTGGCTAATTTTTTTGTATTTTTAGTAGAGACACGGTTTTACCATGTTGGCCAGGATGGTCTCGATCTCTTCACCTTGTGATCTGTCTGCCTCGGCCTCCCAAAGTGCTGGGATTACAGGCGTGCACCTCCGTGCCCGGCTTATTTACTTACATATTTTTAAAAGCTATGCTGTGAGCACACAGAATACTTCATTGTCGTTTTTGGGGGAAGGGGCATAGGTCACTAATAGAATGTCTCCGAAGCCAGACTGTTGTGGGGAAAACACCTTTCCCTCCTAGTTTTGAGAGACTTCCTCTTGGCTTCCAGGAAGTGGGATTCCCTGACTTTGATACACGTGGGCACCATGGCACAAAAGCCTTGTGGTATAGAAAAACAAATGCATCTTTATGTCTTCTTCTCCCTTTCCACCTTTCAACACAGACTTAACTCCCTTAAATCCAGACATCTGTTGGGACCTGACCCCCAATAATTGGTTACCAGTGTGTCAAGCAATCTGGACTTCCCAGTGATGCACTGAGATGGCACCCCTCAAAAGAGCAGTGGTTCCATTTCTAGATAGTGGATCTTCAGATAAATACTGCCATTTTCATTTCACTTCCTTAAAGTCAGGGTCAGCTCTTGAAAATTTGTCAACCCTCACTCTAAACTTTACCCATTCAGAGCATTAGATAAAGACTTCATTCGGTTTTATAGTGGCTTTCTGATTTTTGGTAGTCCACTGAAGAAGGGAGTTTGAAAGTTCTTCTATACTGTTAACAACTGTCTGCCCATGTCCTGCTTTTAAATACTACAATTGTTTATCGAAAGTATCTTTAATAAAGATGGATACAGTTTGGCTTTGGGAAAACAAAAAACTTTCAATGTATTAAAATAGCAATAAAGGCCAGGCGCGGTGGCTCGCGCCTGTAATCCCAGCACTTTGGGAGGCCGAGGCAGGCGCATCACCTGAGGTCAGGAGTTCGAGACCAGCCTGACCAACATGGTGAAACCCCATCTCTACTAAAAATACCAAATTAGCCAGGTGTGGTGGTGGACACCTGTAATCCCAGCTACTCAGGGGGGCTAAGGCAGGAGAATCGCTTGAATCTGGGAGGTGGAGGTTGCAGTGACCCAAGATGGCGCCACTGTACTCTAGCCTGGGCAACAAGAGCGAGGCTCCGTCTCAAAATAAAATAAAATAGCAATAAAACTAAAATGTTAAAGGGATATAACCAAACAATGCATATTCACGAATTGGAAGAAATTAAGAAACATTCAGCAAAATATGCTGATACAATGAAAAAGATCTAGTTACATGACTCCTGAGCTAGCTGGGCACTGAAAGGTATCTATTATCTGGCTCCAACCATATCACTGGTTACTTCCAAAAATAAATGCCCTGTTCCAACCAGGATGTGCCCTTTCATCTCTGCTCATCCAGACTTATATATTCTTCAAAAACACAGATCAAGTTCTAACTTCTTTTTTTTTTTTTTCCAGACAGTCTGTGTGTGTCGCCCAGGCATGATCTCGGCTCACTGCAACCTCCAGCTCCTAGGTTCAAACGATTCTCGTGCCTCTCAAGTAGCTGGAATTACAGGCATGGGCCACCACAGTCAGCTAAAATTTTTGTATTTTCAGTAGAGATGGGGTTTTGCCATGTTGGCCAGGCTGGTCTCAAACTCCTGGCCCCAAGTGATCTGCCTGCCTGAGGCCTTCCAAAGTGCTGGGATTACAGGTGTGAGCCACTGCACCCAACCTCAAGTTCTAACTTCTTGAAACACTCTCCTAATATGCCAATCAAATACTAAACTTACTTTAGTCTTAAACCTAAGTGCATAAACTAATTTTATATTTTGGTATAACATCCTACTCTCCCATCATCCTTAGTGAATCATCCATGTTATCTGTACTTTACAAACAGCCATCTCTATCCCAGCCATACACAAGAACAGACTGATCACTGAAGCAGTCCGTTTTTAGGAATTAACTACTAAAAGTAATTTCTCATCCTTCCCATCTCTCCCCGACCCTCTCACTACTACTGGATTAGCTCTTCATACTATCAACATATCTGTAATCAAAAAATCTCAGTGGATGGTTTTTCACTGATATATAAAATAACATAGCTACACATGTATTTTAGTAAACATACATGTTTCAAAGCAATGACACTCTAGTACCAAGAGTACATACACCTAGTACCGACACCTTGAATTCTTACACAGTTCTCTGATTAAAAGGAACTAGAGTTTTTTGGAGAAATCCAGGGCCGGGACAGGGAAAGTACATGTTAAGACTGGAACATCTTTTAATGCCAAAAAGTGAAAAAAAAAAAGTGCTTTAAAAAAAAGAAAGATGTCAAAAAGGACACAACAGCCAACTCCAAAGGGCCCTAAATGGCCTAGGATAATTTGAACTGCTAAGTAAACAAGGACTGTAATGAATTATAATCCACAGAATGAAATAAGAATCCATGAATTCGTACTGATATATTAAAACAACAACATAGGGAGAAAAGAGAAGTTCTTCCTTACAGTAGAATTCCAACTCATAAATGTAGAAGAAATTATGGAAATAGAAAATCATTTGGTCAACACCACAGTAATTTTTTTTCAGGCAATGTTCATCAATGGATGCTAAAATTAGTGCATGAAAAACTAGTATAATTAAAAAAAAGAAGATATTTACAAAACCTCAAAGTACCTCCCCCAACAATGTAGCCATTAACTACAAAAAGGAAAAAGAAGGAAAGGAAGGAAGGAAGGAAGGAAGGAAGGAAGGAAGGAAGAAAGGAAGAAAGGAAGATCTTACAGAAAAGAGGCAGACAGCACCTTAACTAAGTGATCAAAGTAAACATCACCACGTGCTTTCTGACATGATGCACGAAGAATGATACAACATCAGTCAGACTGTAATCCTGGACTGGATCTTGGACCAGATAAAGGACACTAGTGGGATAACTGGCAAATTCGCAAAGGTTTGCAGATTATACTATTGTATCATTGTTAATTTCCTGAACTTATAATTGTACTGTGGTTACATAACATGCTAACATTTGGAGAATCTGGTTAAAGAATATACGGGAATTCCTTTTACAATTTTTGCAATTGCTTTATAAGGCTAAAATTAATTTAAAAATTTGAAGCTTAAAGAAAGGTTAAAGAAGGCCGGGTGCAGTGGCTCACACCTGTTATCACACTTTGGGAGGCCGAGGCGGGTGGATTGCCTGAAGTCAGGAGTTTGAGACCATCCTGACCAACATGGTGAAACCCCGCCTCTACTAAAAATACAAAAAAATTAGCTGGGCGTGGTGGCATGTGTCTGTAATAACAGCTACTCGGGAGACTGAGGTAGGGGAACTGCTTGAACCAGGGAGGTGGAGGGTGCAGTGAGCCGAGATCATGCCTCTGTACTGCAGCCTGCGCAACAGTGAGACTCCATCTCACAAAAAAAAAGAAAGAAAGAAAAGAAAAGCCTCATGAATAAGCAGTACACAGAGAATTGTGTATAAATGTAAACACTCAAAACAGCTATTATAATTTTCCAAGTTTATTAAGCTTCCTGACTTCTTAGTCACTCATTTAATAAATATTTTAGAGTGCCTACTTTATGCCCATAAAACAGAAAATGGGAGGAAGGAAAGAAGTAAGCAGGTAACTGAGGCAGTCAGGCAGTCAGTCAGTCAGTCACTCACAGATTCCTAACATAGCTAGAATTGGTCATTTCAAATACACTTTCCCTCTTTCCAACTGAGAAATTTCCAACTGAGGATTCCCTCCCTCTTTCCAACTGAATTCCAAGACCTACTTAATTCTTGCTCTCCACTTTCCATGTTCCTGCTCCTACTGTTATCAAAATGCATCTAAAAACATGGATCAAATCCCAGCTATGTAATTTTGCCCATAACTGAACATCTCTGACCCTTTCCTTTTCTTTATTTATAAAACTAGGATGCCTTTAATCAACTTTATAGGATTGTTTTGAAGATTAAATAGGAGTGGCAGGGCGTGGTGGCTCACGCTGTAATCCCAGCACTCTGGGAGGCTGAGGCGAGTGGATCACTTGAGGTCAGGGGTTCAAGACCAGCCTGGCCAACACGGTAAAACCCTGTCTCTACTAAAAATACAAAACTTAGCTGGGCGTGTTGGTGCACGCCTGTAGTTCCAGCTACTCAGGAGGCTAAGGCATGAGAATCGCTTGAACCCAGGAGGTAGAGGCTGCAGTGAGCCAAGATGACACCACTGCACCCCAGCCTGGGCAACAGAGCAAGACCCTGTCTCAAAAAAAAAAAAAAAAAAAAAAGGGAACATGTAAAAATAACTGGCACATAGTAGATGCTCAGAACATGTTAGTTGCCTTTCCCTTACAATTACATTCTCTAACTTCTGCGCGATCCTGAAGTGCAGTTCAAAAATTTTTACTAATCTCTAGGTGAATCCCTGTTCTACTTCCCAAAGAGGCTACTTCGTATTTTTCACCTACGTGTTTTTAAAGGTAAATATAAATAATGTATTTGCTTTATCCATTCTACAGAGTTAGTATTTACTGAAAATCCAACTAGCTAAAAGTATGCATAGCTGCTGCTTCCCAAATATCAGGTCAATATTTCTAAGTGCTTTTCCAAATACTACCTAGATTATCTCACCATGCCAATCTCAAACTCAAGATCCAGTACCATGCTCTATGCTGCCACCTATTGGCTATTACCATATTCTCCAGATAGTTCTTTCTATTTTAGAATCTTAAGCCAGCCTTAAAATGCAAGCCTCAGTCCAACGGATATAATACATTTCCAAAAAACAAAACAAAAAAAATACTTAATTTCCAGACTCTAGTCCTTCTCGGACAAGATGCTCCAAGTGACTGCAAAGAGTTCCAATATAAACACTTTAAGTCTAACACAACTAAAGAAATACTGTAAATCTGACAATTCACATGATATAGGCTTTCTCTTTTACTATTTTCCATTACAGATGTATGACTGTCTCCGAAAATAATAAATGCCAAAGACAGGATATAGTATCTAACGGAGAAAAATAGCTTTCCCAGAACCAGCTGAGCTGTCAAATGGAAAAATTATTTCTATTTAGAAAACCAACTAAAAACTGTAGAACTACAAACAGTAAAACAGTTGTTTTAAGTGCTTCACCATTTCATGACTTTCTCTATCTGTATTTTCTTCTAAAAATATTCACACAAGCTGGGTATGGTGGCATGTACCTGTAGTCCTAGCTACTTGGAAGGTTGAAGAAGCAGGATCACTTAAGTCCAGCCTGGGCAACACAGTGATACCCTGTCTCTTAAAAAAAATTCATACAATATTTTACCCTCATACAGCAAAGGAAAACTCTCAATCATATTACAAGAATATACTATATACAACTACCAAGCATAGAATGGCTCTCTTCCTCATCCTAACCTGAAAAAAAAATTAGTAACTGTTTCTTCTTTTTATTTTTCAAAAATTCCTATTAAATGGCTTGCTCAATAAAGAGCCACCAGAGACACACACACACACACAGAGTTTAAAATTATGAACTTCAATTTCACTGGAAGTTTAACTCAAAACAATGTTGCTTTCTTTTCTAGTCTCTCTTTTTGGAGCCAGATTAAATTTTAAAACACGTTCTTCCTCAATTCAACAAAAACAGACCATTCCAAATAGAGCAACAACTTTTTCATGTAGAAAACAAGAAAAAGAAGCCATACAAGAAGAACATGAAAAAGCACTTATGTTGGCTACACGTTGGCTTTCAAATTTTAAAGCAACTTGCCAACACAGATAAATAGTGATACAATGGTTATATGCAGGGGTACAAGGAAGCATACAGCATGGTCTGTCTAGTTTTTAGCAGTTGACAATGTAGTAAGGAACAAAAGATTCAAATATGAAAAAGGATGAACAAAATAAGGCAGAATATTAACTGACAAGTAATTGGCACAGATAATATTGACAACAGTGTGAAAGGCTGAAACAGCAATAGAAGCAGAGGAACGATGGGGCTTAAGAGTAAAAACAAAGGAATTTCTAGCTATAGAGAAATAGCTTAGTTGAAAGAAAACTGTATAGAAGACAAGTGGGATATCATTAGAAAGAAAAGTGGTTAAAATGTGGAGGGTACTGAGGCACTGTTAGGCTAATGAATCCAGAAGACAATGAGAAAGTCATCAAAGGCTAAGTATAAGGTAACATTTCTACACCATTTGAGGGGTGAGGGTTGGGAGGAGTTTAACCTTGTAGGAATATTTAAGAGACTGAAGAAGACTAAGAGAGAACTATAGTAATGATTGTGGAAATGAAAAAAAATGAAATTCGTTGTGAGGGAAAAACTGATAAAATCTGGTCAATGATTTAAGTTAAGAGTGTATAGGACAGAAGAAGGCCGGGCGCGGTGGCTCACGCCTGTAATCCTAGCACTTTGGGAGGCCGAGGCGGGCGGATCACAAGGTCAGGAGATCGAGACCATCCTGGCTAACACAGTGAAACCCCGTCTCTACTAAAAATACAAAAAATTAGCCGGGCGAGGTGGCGGGCGCCTGTAGTCCCAGCTACTCGTGAGGCTGAGGCAGGAGAATGGCGTAAACCCGGAGGGGGGAGCCTGCAGTGAGCAGAGATCGCGCCACTGCACTCCAGCCTGGATGACAGAGTGAGACTCCATCTCAAAAAAAAAAGAGTGTATACGGCAGAAGAAAGCATTTTCAAGGCTTTAAAACAGGGAATGGATGTACCATGAAAAAAAAAAGTAGTAAACCACTATTAATAAATGTTTCCAACAAGTGAAATGTTTTCTAACAAAATTCTGTTTATGTTTAAAACAAAGCAATAAAACAACAAATACACAAAGGTTCACCCAGTTTATACAATTAAAAATAATAGCATTCATGCCCAGATATTATGAAGAAGTGTCTTAAAGTAGAAACCATAGTATATCATCATCTACATGAATTAGTAACTGCTTGATCCAGATCTACATTACTGTTCTTTTTGTACTAAAAATAACTCCCATTACTTGAATTACCACACATTTCATTTTTTAAATAAACACAACAGTTTGAGACAATTAATTATTCTGCCTAGTGAACTATATAAATAAAACAATGCATGGGCTGGGCGCGGTGGCTCATGCCTGTAATTCCAGCTCTTTGGGAGGCTGAGGCAGGAGATCACTTGAGGTTAGGAGTTCAAGACCAGCCTGCCCAATATGATAAAACCCTATCTCTACTACAAATACAAAAATTAGCTGGTGTGGTGGCAGGTGCCTGTAATCCCAGCTGCTCGGGACTGAGGCAGGAGAATCGCTTGAACCCAGGAGGCGGCGGCTGCAGTGAGCAGAGATCGTGCCATTTCACTCCAGCCTGGGCATCACAGAGAGACTCCGTCTCAAAATAAAAAAAAAACAAAAAAGCAAAAAAACAAAATAACAACAATAAATGCATGGTAGGATATAGGTTTCTTAATAGGCTAATCAACAGGATGGAAATAACTTAAATTGCAAAACCCAGGATTACTATCAAACTCTTTCATAACTAAGTATGAAACCATACCTTCCTTTTCCTACAAATCCTCCAACAAAGTAACACAATGTTTTAAAAGATGAAAACTTTAAAATACTACACTAAATAAAAGTTTCACAGGCTTCTTAGTTACCTTTACTTTATCTCTTCTCAAGCAACAGAATAAACAGTTTTCATCAAAAGTCCAATCAGAAATGCTTTCAGGTTCACAGTCTGCAAAAATAGTAACAAATTAATAGTCATAAAAGAGAATTTTTAGGAAAATAAATTAGAATTAATTTCAAAAATATTGTTTAACAAAAAACTAAGTAGTTAGGCCATATTTGTCTTAAAAATTTTAACTCTTAAATTCTTAAGTCTTAACTGCTCACTAGTTAATACATTATTCATACATATATTAACAATATCAACTAAACACAAAAAGATGCTTACATGAATATAGCTTTAACCCACATGAAACCGTGAATAAAAAGGAGACTGAGGCTTAAAACACCAACGTATCATGTATGGCACCAGGAAGAATTTGAAATACCAAAAATATTTTGAATACCTTTAAATAAACTGAGATCTTTTAATAATGCAGGTCCAAACAGCCCTTCAAGAATACTTTCAAACCCTGAAAGGATAAAAACAAAATCCATTACCACAATAATATTCATTCTAGTATTGAATAATCTTTGCATAAAAAAAAAAAGATGGTGTTTTCTTCCAGTTCTCAAGGATCCTGGATTACTACTGAAGGGATGCTTAGAAAAAGAGTGTCAATGACAAATCTAAAAGGAGCATTTGCATTTCTGTCAATGATTAACATTCAACACAAATTCTGAGCACATTCAAGAACAAGACCAATGAAGGAATGGAAATTCACAGGTTTTCTCACCATTTTACAAAATCCCAAACACCTCTTTGTACAAACTCTCAGGCTCCATTTTAAAAGGTACTTTTCTCAATGAATGAGTCAAAAACTGCTTCAAAATTTCCACAACTTTCTAAAATAATCTAAATAGCATTTTTCAAAATACCAGTTGAGACAACAGATTTTGAGTTAAGTTTATGAAATATTTACTGAGAAAAACTACATCACACAAACACAAGGTGCAAGACTTTTGTAAAGAAGGTACAAGACTTTTAAAAGACTTTTGTAAGTATTTAACATTGCCACAATAACTATGTACTGGTTCCTTTATAAACGTAAACCCCACTGATTGTACATACAAAAAAAAGAGAAAAAAATCAAATATACTTGTACACAAATGTTTAAATTATTATGTCCTTCTACCAGTGTGAAAAAAGTAGAAAATGAAAAAATCAAAAACTTTTTTTCTGGCTTATTATCTCAAATACTGATGGATCTACTGAATAATTTAAAAATATCTTTGCCATCTTGCAATTTCTTATGGGTCAAGAGAGTAAGGAGGAAAACAAGAGCAGGAATCAGACTGTATCTTTATACAACATACCAGAAATAACAGATTAAAGCAGTGGTTCCCAAAATGTTTGCCATGGACCTCACCGGGAACTCAAATGGTTATTACAAACAAGGAGTCTATGAATCCATATGCACTCTCAGTGCGGCCTCGAAATTAACGTCTTGTGCATTCAGTATACATACTACTTTTCAAAGGCATAGGATTACTGCAATAAAGTAAATATAAAAAGTGTTACTGAATTCCTAGTAGCTAGGGGCACTGTGTATTTTGCCACATAATCTGTCACCTAGGGGTTTGCGATTTAATTGTTAAAAAGCACTCCCATGCTTAAAAGATAAGGTACCCCTTAATTTAAAATACTATATCCTGCCGGACACATAAGGCCCCCTCACATGTATCAATTTTTGACCACAAATACAACCACAGAAAAGGATTTAGAAGGTAAGGGGGTAGAAATGATGGCCTCTGAAAATGGCATTTTGTTTATCTGGCTATAAGAAGAAGAAGATGGTAATGTAAGGGATTTCTTTGCCTTGGTATTAAGCCATAATTTTCAGTAATCTCTAGTTTGTGTTATTTACACTGTAATTAGAGAGCTGGTTTTTCTATACTATATGATATATCCTAGATTCCAGATTTTTTATTTATTGTTAGGGAGCAATTGTTTTTCAACTCTCTTTAATTCCCATCAAGATTATTCCAAGGACATTAACAAAATCAAACTACCCACTCAAACAAATGGGAGGTATCTATGTCTATTATTTACCTACTAAAATTAAAATATATTCCACTAAATTGCTATGGTCCCCTCTCTTCCACACTAGGGAGGAAAAAGGGTTGGGGTAGGGCTGTGGGGGTGGGGAGGTAGTGATAAGAGAAGAGAAGAAAATGCTAGATACTGCCTATTTTGGCCCTGGAGATCAGATATTTTCAGAACGATCTGACTTAAAAAAATAAATAAATCCCACAGCCTATCTCCAATTCTTAAAGCCCCCCTACCTGCCCTCCCAAAAGAAAATCTGATTTCACAAATAATAAAGTATTTCAACACCTTGCAAGCATCAAATACACAACGCAAATAGCTAAAGGAAATTATTAAGTAGGTCTTATCCTGAAGAGCAAATCTAATATTCTTTCACCTGGGTTTATATAAAATTGTAACAAATTCCAAATTTTCGGGCTGAGCGTAAATTCTTGAAAAGGAAAAAAGTAAATATAGCAAGAAATAATGCCAGGAAAGAAAAATGCAAATGAAAGCTTTGGGAGATAAAAATTTTAAAGAAGAACAGAATCTGACATAAGAAAATTGGGCAGAAGATCAATAATACTAACAAAAATTTGAGTCACAGATGAAAAAGCAATGACAAAGAACAAAAGCAAACAAAAAAAATCTGGTTATAAACACAAAGATTTAATCACAACTAATTTTGCTCAAAATAGCAACTGTAAACAAGTCACTCCTCTTTTGCTCATATCTGCAACAATACATTAAACCTAACAAATATTATTGATTAGATACTGTAAAGTCGTATTTTGCTACCCTCTGTTCACTGGATGTTAATGCCACTCAGTTTTATTAATACTAAATATTGAATTTAGCAGTTGCATAGCAACAGGGAATGTCTGACGTGCTATGCTTGACATTAATGAAAGGCAAATAAGCGAAGAACAAATATATTCAAAATGTATACCATGATATCACAGAAAAGCCAGAAAGATCAATAACAAAATGCCATGGAAAACTAAATACTGAAAAAGACAGCCATGCCGTTATGTTCAATCACTAAGGCTTAAAAACTACCTTTACATATCACATATAAAGAAAAATTATTTATTTTATCGAAGTTGACTACTTTTGAAAGAATTCCTATCCAACATCACAACTAGTCTCAAGGTTGAGCTCTAGTTTCTTCTTCACTGCAACCTGCACCATGTCTTCAGGCTATTCCTAAAACACTGCTTCAATGATGCCACCACCTCTTCAAAGTTCACACTGGTTAAAGAACAAACCCCAAATTCCAAATTCGGCAATCAAAACTGCTTATAATTTGACCCTACCTACTGTTAGCTGGCTTACTTACCAGACCTTTCCTGCTCATTCCTACAGCTCTGGTCAGGATGGTCTTCTGTTGTGTTCAGTGATCATTCCTACCTCCTAACATTTTCTGAAGCCTCTGCATCTCACCTTTGCTAAAATATAGTATCTCTCTCCTTCAAGATAACTCTTCACATTGTTCAACAAATACATATTAATTTATTCGACATACACTAACTGAGAGTCTATCATCTGCCAGGGACTGTTCAACAGGCAGTGTTGAGCTGCCATGTTACCTGCCCTCATGAATCTTCAGTTTCCAGTTCTCTCATCCTCAGAATTCTCAAGACTGTTGCTTGATTTTAAATAAAAGTCAGTTGCCTAATGTCTTCTCTGCTTTCTGCCATTTACAAAACACTGTCTTTTCAAGTATTTTGTAAAATAAAATTTGTCACAGGCTATCTAAACACTATGTTCTCATTTTTCTTTTATTCATTTATGTCTTATCTCCTCAAGGAGAATTAATGCTCCAGGAAGGCTAGAAAGCAATGTTTCTCTTATAGGAACAATGTTTCTCTCACAGAAAGGCTTCACATGCCTGATTAGCTTCCGATTTAATCACACAGCTCTCGAAAACAGAAGATAGAAGACTAAAATCTCCCACAAATTTCCCCCTTCAATCTAAATCACAATCCATTTCCAACGAAAAGGGGGAAAACAGGTTATAAAAAGTAACAGAATAGGAATATATCAAATACAAAGCTAACTAAGGTCAGCAATATAGCCTGTTCTTTTGGAAAAAAATTAACAGAATGAAAAAACGGTTCCTGGGTCTTGGGAACCTCTCCTCTGAGATAACCAGTACAGAGACTAGTAGTTTCAGAGAGGTGCTGAAGGAAATGCAGGAATATATCAGAAAATGAGCAATTTTTACATCAAGGCCCCTGGATCTTGTATGCAAGCTTGTACTGAGCTTGGTGCTCAGTCTTCAATAAAGTACAATCACATGCCACACAACGATGTTTTAGTCAAGGATGGACTGCATATACCACGGTAGTCCCATAAAATTATAACGGAGCTGAAAAATTCCTACTGCTTGGTGATTACAGCCATTGTAATGTTGGACTGCAATTACTTTATTCCTAAGTAAATTTAGTGTAGCCTAAGTGTACAGTATTTATAAGTCTACAGTAGCGTACAGCAACATTCTAGGCCTTCTTGTTCCCTTACCACTTACTCACTGACTCACTCAGAGCAACTTCCAGTCCTGCACTCTCCATTTATGGTAAGTGCCCTATCCACGTGTGACAATTTTTACTGTACCTTTTCTATGTTTAGATACACAAATACTTACCACTGTGTGACAATGATATTGTGTGACAATGGTGGTATTTCCTACAGTATTCAGTACAGTAATGTGCTGTACAGATTTGCAGGCTAGCAGCAACAGGCTATACCAAATAGCCTAGGTATGTAGTAGGCTATATTATCTAGGTTTGTGTAAGTATACTTTACGATGTTTGAAAAATGATGAAACTGCCTAAGGATGCACTTCTCATAATGCAACCCCATTGTTAAGCAACACATGACTGTATTATATTTTACAAAGTATCAGTTCAAAGGTGCTTGCTGGCAATAATAATCAATTAGTGTCCTAATAAACAAAGAGGGGAATGATATTATCTGGAGTTGTTTGCTTAAAAGTCAGGATGTGTGACTTGATGCCACCACCACACTGAGCCTTCATACGAAGTCAGTCACAAAGTGAAAGTATTGGGTTGGTGCAATAGTAATTGTGGTAATAATTTTAGAACACTAGATTATACAATCTTTTATATTCTATCCCAGGTAATTAAGGTAATCAATTCTTTTTAATTGACATTCCAACTATCTCAGCATGTTATTAAATCAAAGATCAAATGAACTTCTATAGATAATGAGCAATGACCATTCAGGCTTCTCTTCCCCTTACTATCCCTGGTGATTCCTTTCATTATTAGAGAACTACATTCATTAATAATTCTTCCTCTCCTCCTGAGCACATTCTCCCAGATGATGCACTATGATGAACCCTATTTGTTGGCTCACTTACCACTCTCAGAATTACCCAGCACAAGAACTGATGACAAAACCTAGCCAGATATACCAAAGAGAAGTAACACTTTAATCACGACTAATGGCCCAAAATGAAACAGAATTAATGAAGACAAAACAGCAGCACTTGAAGACAAATTATAAATAGTATTTTTATTGAGGCCAGGGAGAAATAGTATTTTTTTTTTTTAAGAGCAAAGAGCTCTGAATAAAATAGCAGAGAACAAATGCTTGGGGGGAGGAGAAAAACTACTAAAATTACCAAATAGAATTAAGTAGAGAAATACACAACAAAGTAGTGATTTAGAAAATTAACTTAAGAAATGTCCTACTATCAGTATGGACAACATGGTAAAACTCCGTCTCTATAAAAAAGTACAAAAAATTAGCCCAGGGTGGTGGCACACACCTGTAGTCCCAACTACCCGGGAGGCTGACGTGGTAAGATCACTTGAACCCAGGAGGTGTAAGGTGCAGTGAGCCGAGATTGCGCCACCGCACTCCAGCCAGGGCAACAGAGCGAGACCATTGAAAGAAGGTGGACCGATGGACAGATGGAGGAACGGATGGAAGGAAGGAAGGAAGAAATGGCCTAATATTGTATAGTGAAGTGTCAAAGACACATACATAATGAGAAAAAGATTAGAGATGAGGTGGCCAGACGTGCAGTATCTGTAAAATAGGATTTTTAGAGCAAGAAAAGGCAAAGAATGAACGTTTTAAAAATTTAGAAGGAAACAAAAACTTCCTAATGTTGATTACTGACTTGAGTCTTCTTATCTAATGGGCTCCATGAAATACTGGGGCAGCACTAGGGGGTTGGAGGGGAAGCTACACATGTAGACTCTCCTGGTAAAATATCTGAATTTCAACAATAAAAATTTACAAGCTCCAAATATGGAAAATATTTCACTTAATTTTACTTAAAATAAGAGGAAAGAGATTTAGACTACCAGTCATTTCACTGGTAAATGTAAATGCTAAACATGTATGGAGAGCTGGGAATGGTATGTGGTGACACACACCTGCAGTCCCAGTTACTTGGGAAGCTTAAGTGGAAGGACTGCTTGAGTCCAGGGGTTTGACCTGGGCAACATGAGGAGACCCCATCTCTTTTTATTTTATTATTTTTTTTTTGAGACGGAGTCTCTGTCGCCCAGGCTGGAGTGCAGTGGCGTGATCTTGGCTCACTGCAAGCTCCGCCTCCCGGGTTCATGCCATTCTGCTGCCTCAGCCTCCCGAGTAGCTGCGACTATAGGCGCCCGCCACCACGCCTGACTAATTTTTTGTATTTTTAGTGGAGGCGGGGTTTCACTGTGTTAGCCACGATGGTCTCGATCTCCTGAACTCGTGATCCGCCCGCCTTGGCCTCCCAAAGTGCTGGGATTACAGGTGTGAGCCACTGCGCCCGGCCGACCCCATCTCTTAAAACAGAAAAAAGAAAAAAAAAAAAAAGCCTACGAAGCAGTGTTTACAAAATTCTAGAGGAAAAATGAAGACAATGTGTTGCTTATGAATATTGATAAAAGACATTTATAGATATTCTCTGATTTGGGAAGTAGAACAGCCATTCACTCTGGGGGGTAAGGGTTACTCAAAGTAGTTCCATTAAGAAAAATATGATTGGGAATAATGATCTCCTGAAAAGGGAAAAGACTGTTTATATAAAAACTAATGGCAGGCTGCTATAAATACCTTGTCTTTTGATCTCTAATATGTTGTCAGTCTTCATTTTCATACTATTTTTGTTTCTTTTATTCCTTGATTGATCCTATCAGTTTCTTTTTTAGTTTTTTTCTTTTAAAAACCTACTTTGACTTTTTTGTTCTTCTCTATTATATCATTGATTTCATTAAATTTTGCTTTAATTTTTTTCAATTATCCATTTCTTTGGGTTTATTCTATTGCATTTTTGTCTAACTCGTAAGAGATTCATTTACTTATTTTCAGGTTTCTTTTTTTAAAAAAAGAATCAAGTATAGGATGACTTAAAAGAACTAAAATTTTAATTATTGTATATTAAGAGGTAATCTGTGATAAACAAAATGTGGTATATCCATACAATGGAATAAAATTATAATATGGATGAATAAGCCTCAAAACACATTGTGTTAGGTGAAAAAAGGACAGAAACAAAAGACCACATACTATGAGTCCATTGATATAAAATGTACTGAAAAGGCAAATCTATAGATAGAAGAAAGTACATTAGTGGTTTCCTATGGCTGAATGAAAATGAAAAAATAATTGCAAATGGGCAACACATTTCTTTTTGTATTAAGGGAAATATTCTAAAATTAGATGGTGGTGATGGTTGCATAATTCTGTGACTATAATAAAAATCGGTGAACTGCACACTTAAAATAGGTGAATTGTAAGGTATGTAAATTATGTCTCAATAAAGCTGTTTACAAAACAGGTACTCTATGCCTGTTTGGTAAAAATTTGTAATGTTTTAAGAAAATCTGGCCTATTAGAGCCAGCCTTGTAATTCTAATTTAAAATGTATAATTGAACAGCTGATTTAGACTTATGATTTTAAGCCGAAATTTTACTAAGTTTGCATCCTGTATAAGAATACTCACAAAACTTAAGGATGTTTATATTTACAATTTTAAATTATTAGATTTACAAGATTTATTTAAGTATCTAAGGTTTTATTAATCAATATTTACAGAGAAAATAAATTTAATTTATACTTACAGATTTAAATGTTTTAAGAAGTTAAATTAAGATATTTATCAAAAGTTTGTTAAAATTAGTTACAGAATAAGATCTGTATTTAGAGAGAACCAGGTTTTAAGTTTATAAATTTAAATAAAGTGAACATTTAAAAATTAAAAATCAAAATAACTATGCATTACCTTTTCTATTCACAAAGCCATCAAGAATATTATTTTTTAAATCTCACATTTAATAAGAATTAATCAAGTGTTTACATAGAGCTCAGCAGTGTGGGGATACAGGGGTTATGTTTAAAAATATGCCCTGCCGTTAAGATATTTATAATTCTAGTCAAGGAATCAAAATTAACATGCTTTCCCACTACTATGCAGATACTTATAACTCTCCAATCCTTTATCTCTTGCCCTAAGACCAAATTTCTAATTTCCTACTTCATATTATCACCAAAATCTCCTAAATACCTAAAAATGCCCACCAAATCAAAATCATTTTACTCCTTTCCTTCATCTCAATCATAGATTTCGTCTATATTCTGTATTCATTACTAAGAAAATGGCATCACGAACACCTTCCCCCCAAGTTATTCAGGTTAAATAGAGACCTCGGTTAGTCACAATTCTATTCTTTCCATAAATCACCAAGTATTCCGGTCATTGAGTCCTATTCATTTTACTTCAGAAAGATTCCTCCCAATCTGTTCTCTCTTTTCCATCCCTAAATTCAGGTTTTCACTATCTCTTATCTTAACAATTATAATAAATGTCACTCATGTTGATAATAATGACAGTTATCATTAACTGCACCCTTATTTGGTATCAGGCAAGCACTATAGCAGGTGCTTCATGCCCATAACAAAATATTCAAAGGAATACTGTAAAACAAGCACTATTACTACCCAGAATGTGTAAAACAAAACAAAACAAACAACCCTGAAAATCAAAGCAGCTAATTCGTTCCAAACTGCAAAGGCCAATATCTAGATTTAAAACCATTCCTGTGATTCTAAAGCCCAGGCTCTTTTCATTTCATCACACCACCTATTAATAACATCTCTTAATTTTTAATTTATCTTAGTATTCTCCCACACCACCATCTCTACCACCAGAATCCACCCTTCATGCTGCTGCTAAACATCATCCTTTCTAGGTTTTAAAAACATTTGATAGCTTTCCACTGACAATAGTGAAGATTTCAATTTCTGGATGCCATGCATGATCATTATAGGATCTGATCCCAAATTATCTTTTCAGTCTCTCCTGCTACCATATTCTGTATACATACACTATGCTCTGGCCATACTGATCAGTCACAACACATACTGTCAATGCTTCCACGCCACTTGAGCACAATATGTCGTCAGCCTACAATGTTCTTCCTGCAACCCTCAATCTAATTCTAAGGTATCCCCATCTCACCCCATAAGCCCCAGGCAAAGTTAGGAACATCCTCATCAGTACTCAAGTTGTACTATTTATATACCTTTTTTTGGTATTTAATCCGCTAGATTTTCAGCAAAGAACTGGAGTTTATTCATCTTTTAACATCACCCTATACTTTGAACTACCATCCTCAAGTAAGTGCTCAATAAATATTTGTTGGATGAATGCAAACACACTCTTTTTAATTCCTACATCATTATAATTAACTGAGAGGTTGGAGATTTTACAAGGACTCTGTTTTATGTGTCAGGCAAGCTAAAGACTTGAAAAAATAGAAATAAAACAGAAGGGTAACAGATATCTGACCAAACAAAAAAAAAAAAAAAAAAAAGATGGCTTTCTGCTCCAGCTCAACTAAGTTCTCTGTATCTATAGACTAAAACCAGAACATAATTAAGGGCTCTTTTTGCTGGCCCACAAACAGCTTTTGCTGGCCCACAAACAGCAGCAAACTTTTTTTGCGGAAAGCTGTAATCATAGTGAAGATAGAAATAAAACAAAAAAGATAAAGTCCTGAAAAACAATAGTATTAATACATTAAGGAGGGAAAAGAAAGATATACTGAGTAGTTAGAACATTATCAGAATACAG
This sequence comes from Homo sapiens, assembly GCF_000001405.40. NCBI lineage: Eukaryota > Metazoa > Chordata > Mammalia > Primates > Hominidae > Homo > Homo sapiens. The sequence goes on along the minus strand of NC_000010.11, from coordinate 96,897,606 downwards.
TATTTACATACATAATGCCATAAACAAGATTCAAAGGTATTAAATAAGTTACCAAAATCACAGAGGTAGTGAGTAGCTAGGTCAGATTAAGTCTTTGGAAATCCAGGGGCAGTTCTGTTTCATTTTTTCTAGTATATCAAACTGTCTAGGTTAATCATGCTTAGAAAGAAACCATTTAAATGCAAATCTGAGGTTGATCAGGAATGAGTCAATTACATCAGTTCACAATCCATAGGCCACAATCCGTTTGAAGACCTCTGTCATTACAAGGTCAGTAAATTCATATGAGCACTGTTTGTAAATCAAATAAAAATGTGCTTGCAGATACAGCCACTAACTACTCTTTTTTAACACACCCTGCTACAAACAATAACATATGTATTCATTTAAAAAGCATTACTGAATCCATAATATCTTTTTTACATCACATTTTTTCTCAAAGATACCAAAACTACAAATTACACTGTGAGAGGTAAGCATTCTTTTGGGTTTTTTTTTTTTTTTTGCTTTTCTTTCTCTTTCTCTTTCTCTTTCTCTCTCTCTCTCTCTCTCTCATTCCTTGGGAATAATGGAGTTAACTAAGTAAAAACAAAATTATAAGCTGAATGATTTCCTTCACTTTAGGTAAAATGGAAATTTCTATAGTTGAAAGAACAGAGATAAAAACTAAACTTTGAAAGTTCTTAGGGTTGGAAAGGTGGGGCTTCCTTTTCTATCCCTTCCCATCCTCTCCCTATTCCTTTGTCCATTTACTCTCTTCTTTCCAGAGTTAGCCCCAACCTAGACCTAGCATGCTTGCGGGAGCTTTATACTATTAGGAGATTCATTTACTATCTTCAGTGTGTGGATCTCAATAACTCTAGATTGTTTTAAAATTACTTTGGGCCGAGTATCATGGCTCATGTCTGTAATCCCAGCACTTTGGAAGGGCAGGGCGGGTGGATCACCTGAGGTCAGGAGTTCAAGACCAGCCTGGCCAACATGGTAAAACCCCATCTCTATTAAAAATACAAAAATTAGCTAGGCTTCGTGGTGTGTGCCTGTAGTCCCAGCTACTTGGGAGGCTGAGGCGGGAGAATCGCTTGAGCCTGGGTGGTGGAGGCTGCACTGAGCCAAGATGATGCCACTGCACTTTAGTCTGGGCAACACAGCAAGAATCTGTCTCAAAAAAACAAATGGTAATAATAATAATAATAAATAAAACTAATAAAATTACTTTGCAAGTAATTTACTGAAAAGAAAATAAATTAAAATTTCTCATATTTTCCCCCATTCCTCACAAGCAGTCAACTCTATTTGAGGTATGTATGTCAGTCTAATACATTTGTGAATAAAAAAAGTCAATGACATAAGGTATGACTATACGGTAATAGTGAGATCCCTCCTCAACCCACACGCCTCTAAATACCAGAAATGTCAGTAACATCCATATAAGTGCTACTGTACAAAGCAGCGAAGACAGCATTTAGAGAGCCGAGAAAAAAATTATCTAGGAGGCAAGATTTTTTTTTCTTTTTAGTTTTTAGAGACAGAGTCTCTTTCTGTTGCCCAGGCTGGGTTGTAATGGCACAATCACAGCACACTGTAACCTCAAACTCCTGGGGTCAAGCAATCCTCCTGCCTCAGCCTCCTGAGCAGCTTGGACTACAGGCATGCATCACAACAGCTAGTTAATTTTTAAATTTTTCTTCAGACAGAGTCTTGCTATGTTGCCCAGGCTGGTCTCAAACTCCTGGTCTCAAGCGATCCTTCTGCCTTGGCCTCCCAAAACACTGGGATTACAGGCAAAGGAGGTAACATTTCTGAGCACTCAATGAAGTGAGGGAACAAGCCATATGGAGACACATGAATGTTCTAGGCAGAGTGAACAGCACTGAGGTAGTTAAGGTATGAAGTACGGTATATTGAGAATTAGCAAGAAAGCAGGCATGGTCAGCAAGGTGATTTAAGATGGGAAGTACAAGATAAGGTAAGAGATTTAGAGGTATGATCATACAGTCCACGGTGAGGAGACTGGATTTTGAATTTTAACAGAAATCCACTTAAGTTTTATATCTGGGTAGTGGTAGAGATAAAACAATTAGATATATATTGTTTAAGATTACCAGGTAGCTGTAGAGAACAGATTATTAGATAAAGCATTAGGAGACTATTATGACAACAGCCTTGGCAAGAGATAGGGGTAGCAATGGCGGTAGAGGGTAGTGACCCCATAGAGGGTATACATCAAACATAAAACCAACTTGCTTGATGATGTGCCGATGTGGAATGTGAGGGAAAATGACACTTACACTTTTGGTCTGTGAACTGAGTAAATGGTAGTGTAACTTTCTAGGATGGAGAAGACTGGAGGGTAAATGTTTGGCAGACAGAGATCTAGTTCACTTTGGGGATAAGTCTGAGATGCTACTTAGAAATCAAAGTAGATCTATGAAGAAGGCAATTGGATAGGTGACTTTGAAGTTAAAAGGGAGACACTGAGATGGGGCAATATAAAATTGGGAATCAGTAAAGTACAGACAGAATTTAAAGCTTTAGAACTAGATAAGATCATATTAAGTTAAGGAAAGGAAGCAACAGGACCAAATACTGGAGCATTCCAATGTTTAAAGATTAGAAAGAAAAAGAGACTGAAAATTAAGGTCAGGTCTTTTTTACTGTTCTATCTTTACCATCTAGCAAACAACTTGATGGTAAGTACTCAAAAAATACTAGCTGATCTGAACTATTATATATGGCACTGTTATTGAAATAAAGACATATCTTAACCCACTCCAAATGTCATCCGAGGATTCTGAAAGGAAACAGGTTCCTTTTAATGTAATCAAACACATCTAAATATATCTAATTTATATATTTTAAAAATCATTACTTTTTACCACACTTCTAACACATCATAATATATGGCAGTACAAAAGATAAACCCTCAGTCTGGCCCCAATTGAAGGATATATTAGAAAATTTTAAACTGTACCAATGTTTGAATCAGCTTTCAGATTTATATACAAAATTCTTAATAGTTCTCCCCTGCTCAAAAAGGTTCAATGATTAGCTACTGCCTGCATAATAAAATTCAAACTGCTTAGTCTGGCTTTCAAATTCTTCCAAAAGTGAACCTTTTCAACACTCCTTTTCAATGCCTTTCAATAACAATCTGCTTCTCAAGTAGGCCTTGATTTTCTTTGTCTTGATCCCTCTCTTCACCTTGCTCCTTCTAAAATGTACTCTCAGGCCGGATGCGGTGGCTCATGCCTATAATCCCAGCACTTTGGGAGGCCAAGGTGGTCGGATCACGTGGTCAAGAAATTGAGACATGGTGAAATCCCACCTCTACTAAAAATGCAAATTTTAGCTGGGCGTGGTGGCATGTGCCTGTAGTCCCAGCTGCTCGGGAGGCTGACACAGGAGAATGGTGTGGACCCAGGAGGCGGAGGTTGCAGTGAGCTGAGATCATGCCACCGCACTCCAGCCTGGGTGACAGAGCGAGACTCCATTACAAAAAATAAATAAATAAAATTCTCTCAAATATCAATAGTCTTGATCCTACGTGGTCTTCAAGGCCATAGTTCAAAAGTCCCTTCCAGCTGTTATCTTTCCTCCCAAATGATTCCCAGTATCTTTCACTTTATTTTTCCTTCATTTTCAACATGAATGCACATTTTATGTATCCAACTGAATTTTACATTCACTGTTGTAGTGTAATAGAAGGAGTACTACAACTCTAGGAAGTAAGAGATGTAGTGGTTAAGAATATGAATTACGAAGCCAGGTCACCTGGGTTCAAATATCTGATTCTCTTTTAAAAGCTCTATAACCTTGGACAATTTCTTTTTTTTTTTTTTTTGAAACAGAGTCTTGCTCTGTCACCCAGGCTGGAGTGTAGTGGCGCGATCTTGGCTTACTGCAACCTCCACCTCCAGGGTTCAAGCAATTCTCCTGCCTCAGCCTCCCGAGTAGCTGGGACTACAGATGCCCACCACCATGCCCAGTTAGTTTTTGTATTTTTAGTAGAGACCGGGTTTCGCCATATTGGCCAGGCTGGTCTAGAACTCCTGACCTTGTGATCTGCCTGCATCGGCCTCCCAAAGTGCTGGGATTACAGGTGTGAGCCACTGTGCCTGGCCATACCTTGGACAATTTGTCTTCTTCACACCTCACTTTCCTTGGCTATAAATTTATAACGTGATTAGACAAGTATTTGTAAATTATTTAGAATAGTATCTGAAAGCATATTAGAGATATTATATTATAAAGTGTTAGGAAGCAAAGAAGGCAGAGAGGTTATGTTTTCAGTTTGTTAATGCCTCTTTTGTTCCCTATATGACTTAAAAGACTACATACAACAATAATTATAACTCTGTGTTGATGGACAAACAATGCATAAAGATTTATTGGAGGGGGGAGAGCTATGTAGCAGCAAAGTATTTTATATACTATTGAAACCAAGTTGTTATTAATTCAAAATAGACTGCTACAAATGAAGGTGTTAATTATAATCCCCAGGACAAACACCAAGAAAATAACTATTATGTAGTAAAATAAATGAGAAGGGAATCAAAATGGTACACTAGAAAATATGTAACACAAAAATCAGTCATGGAGGGCTTGAACAAAACTGATATAAGACAGACAGAAAGAAATATAAAATGGGAAATGTTCCTCCTTATCAGCAATTATATTACATGTAAATGGAGTAAAGCCTCCAATTAATAGGCAGAGATGGGCAGAATTAATTTAAAAAGCATTATCCAACAATATTCTGTACACAAGACATTTGCTTTAGATCCAAAGACACAAAGAGGTTGAAGGTGAAAGAAAAGAAAAAGCCCATGCGAACAGCAACCAAAAAAGAAATGGAGTGGCTATACTAGTATCAGACAAAATAGGCACTGCGATGGTCTAACTGTTGGAGTCCCCCCAAAAATTCATATGTTGAAATCCTATCACCTCCAAGGTGATAGGATTAAGAAGTGGGGCCTTTGGAAGGTGATTAAGAAAATAAGGGCAGTGTCCTCATAAATGGGATTAGTGCCCTTATAAAAGAGGCACCAAGAGAGATCCCTCATCCTTTTGTCATGTGAGAACATAGCAAAAAGACAGTCATCCATGAACCAGAAAGCGGCACCTCACCATACCAAATCTGTCTGTGTCTTGATCTTGAACTTCCCAGCCTCCAGAACTGTGAGAAATAATTTTTTTTATAAGCCACTTAGGCAGCCCAAGTGGACTAAGAAAGGCATTAAGACAAAACTACTTAAAAAGACAAAGGACATTATATAATGATAAGAGTCAATCAAGAACATTTAAGAATTAAAAACATATATGCCCCTAACAACACAGCCCCAAATTCTATGAAGCAAAAATTGACAGACTTGAAGGAAGAAATGGCTCAACAATAATAGCTAGAGACTTCAACACCCTACTTTCAATAATGGGTGGTACAACTAAGCAAAAGATACATAAGGAAAAAGAAGACTTAAACAACACCGTTAGGCAACTAGACCTAAAAGACATATGCAGAACACTCCAACCAACACGAGCAGAATACACATTCTTTTCAAGTGCACTGGAACATCCTCTAGGGCAACACGTTAGACCACAAAAAAACTTGCCGTAAATTTCAAAAGACTGAAATCACACAAAGTATCTTTTCCAACCACAATGCAATGAAGTTAGAAATCACTAACAGGAAAACTGAAAAATTTGCAAATATGTGGAAATTAAACAATACATTCTTAAATAGTTACTCAAAAAAGTAACTACAGGCTAGGTGTGGTGGCTCACACCTGTAATCCCAGCACTATGGGAGGCCGAGGCAGGTGATCACCTGAGGTCAGGCGTTCGCAACTAGCCTGGCCAACATGGTAAAAACCTGTCTCTAACTAAAAATACAAAAATTAGTTGGACGTGGTGGCGTGCACCTGTAATCCCAGCTACTCAGGAGGCTGAGACAGGAGAACTGCTTGAACCTGGGAGGCAGAAGTTGCAGTGAACAGAAATGACACCACTGCACTCCAGTGTGGGCGACAGAGACCCTGTCTCAAAAAAAAAAAAAAAAAAAAAAAAAAAAAAAAAAGAGTCAAGACAGAGTAAGACCCTGTCTCAAAAAAAAAAAAAAAAAAAAGAGTCAGAAAAATCAGTATCAATGAACCCAAAATTTCTCGGAAAAAATCAATATTGACAAACCTTTAACTAGACAGACCAAGAAAAAAGAAGAGAGAAGATTCAATTTACTAAAATCAGGAATAAAACTGGGGACATCTTTACAATCTTATAGAAACAGGAAGGATTACAAGAGAATACCATGAACTATTGTATGCCAACAAATTAGATAATCTAGATGAATGGATAAACCTCTAGAAACTACCAAAACTGACTCAACTAAAAAACTGAAAAGACCTATAACAAGTATGAAAACTGTAATAAAACTTCCAACAAAAAAAACCCCAGGACCATATGGCTTCATTGGTGAATCCTACCAAACATTTAAAGAAGAACACCAATCCTTCCTTCAACTCTTCCAAAAAAAGAGAAAAGGGATGAATACTTCCAAACTCATCCCATAAATCTAGTATTACCCTGATAGCAAAGACAGACATCATCATAAGGAAACTACAGACCAATCTCCCTCACGAATAGAGATGCAAGAATCCTCAAGAAAATACTAGCAAACAAAATTTAGCAGCATATGACCATCCATCATGGAATTATCCCAGAGATGCAAGGCTGGTTCAACATACAAAAATCAATCAGTTGAAAAAAAGTCACCATATTAACAGAATAAAGCGGGGAAAAGAGAAACCTGATCATCTCAGTTGACATAGGAAAAGCACTGGACAAAGTCCAACACCTTTTCATGATAAAAACGCTCAACAATCTAGGAATAGAAAGGAGCTTTTTCATAACCCTGGTTATGAAACAGCTAACATACTCAATAGCAAAATACTGAAAGCTTTCCCCTAATATCAAAAATAAGGCAAGGATGTCTGCTCTTACCATTTCTACTCAACATTGTCTAGAAGTTCTAGCAAGGGTGGTTAGAAAAAAGAAAAAGAAATAAAAGGCATCCAAATTGGAAAGACCAAGTAAAACTACTTTTATAGATGACATGATTTTATATATACATAATTCTAAAGAATCTTTCAAAACACCACCATTAACCTAATAAACAGGTTCAGCAAGGTTGTAGAATACAAGATTAGCATAAGAAAATCAGTTTTAGGCTGGGCAGGGGTGACTCACACTTACAGTCCTAGTGCTTTGGGGAAGTAGAGGTGAGAAGATTGCTTGAGGCCAGGAGTTTGAAATCAGCCTGCACAACACAGCCAGACCCCTTCTCTACAAAATATCTTAAAGGTTAGCCAGATGTGGTACGTAGTCCTAGACTGAGGTGAGAGGATCACTTCACTCCAGGAGTTCAAAGTTACACTGAACTAGGATCATGCCACTGCACTCCAGCTTGGGCGACACAGCGAGACTCCATCTCAAACAAAACAAAACAAAACAAAAAAACTACACGCATACAAAGAAAATAACGAGTGCTGGTAAAGGAAGTGAAGAAATGGGAGCCCTCACACATTGCTGGTGGGAATGCAAAACGGCGCAGATGCTCTGGAAAACAAGTTAGGTGTTTCTCAAAAAGTTAAAAATAGAATTACCAAATGACCCAGCATTCCACTCCTAAGTATATACTCAAGAGAAATGAAAACAGGTGTTCAAACAAAAAGTCATACATGAATGTTCACAGCAGTATTGAACAGCAGCATTATTCATAATAACCTGACAGCGGAAACACTCAAATGTCCACCAACTAAAGAGTGGATAAACAAAATGGAGTACAGCCATCCAATGGAATATTATTCAACCATAAAAAAGAACTGTTAAGGACTCAAAGTTTATGTCACTCCCAAAATTCATGTTAACGCCCTAACCCCAGTGTGGCTGTATTTGGAGATGAGGTCTCTAAGGAAGCAACAAAGATGAAATGAGGTCAGAAGGGTGGGTCCCTGATCTGACAGAATTAGTGTCCTTGTTAGGACAGAAACCAGAGAAGGTGCACACACGCTCGAGATCACTTGTGCTACCTCCCTGCATGAGCACAGAGAAACGGCTGTGTGGGGTTAAAGTGAGAAGGTAGCTACCTACAAGCCAGGAGGAGAGGCCTCAGCAGAAACCAACACTGCCGGACCTTGATCTGTACTTCCAGCCTTCAGAACTATAAGAAATAAGTATCTGTGGTTCAAGCCACTAAGCCTGTGGTATTTTGGTTATGGCAACCTGAGCTGACAACATGAATGAATACTGATACGTACAACATGGATGAACTTCAAAAATATGCTAAATGAAAGCCAGACACAAAAGGCCATATATTGTATGATTCCATTTATATGAAATGTCCAGAACAGGAAAATTCACAGACATAAAGGATATTATGGAGGAAATATGGAAATGGAAGTGACTATGTAATAGGTATGGTCTATCTTTTGGGAGGTGATCAAAATGCTATACAATTAGATAGTGGTAATGGTTGTACAACACTTTGAATATACTAAAAGCTCCTGAATTATACACACCTTAAAATGGCTCAAATGGTGAATTTTAGTTTTTTAAAATGGAGTGAAATAACGGAAGATACAACTTGGATTACTCTCAAATACATGTTGAGTGAATGAAGCCAGTCTCAAATGGTTACACAGTGTATGATTCCATTTATATGACATTCTCTAAAAAACATAACTATAGCAAATGAATGGATCAGAGGCTGCCAGAGGTTTTGGGTGGGGCAATTAGAAAAGACAGCACAGGGAACTTCTTGAGGTCATGAAACTATTCTGTTTCTTAGTTGTGGTGTTGGGTATATAAATTTATACATGAGGTAAAATTCATACAACTGTACACAAAAATGGTCAGTTTTACTACAACTTAATTTAAAAAATAAAATTTCTCCTACAAAAAAAATCCATCAGTCTATTTTGCACTTGACCAATGTTTATTTGTAACATCATTACTGGTCATTTGGAAAGCATTAATTCACTGAGGTATGTGCATTTTCCATCACACAATGTAACACCAAAAAAAAATTACATTTGTTAATATCACTACTGATCCTATCAGAAAGGTCTTTTAAGGGAAGTTCTCATGCCCGCAGTAGTGGATTTAAGTTTTCCAATATTCTAATTTTTCTTGGAAGCTGAAATTGACAATATATACTGTTCTTTTTTTTTTTTTTTTTTTTTTTTTTTTGAGACGGAGTCTTGCTCTGTCACCCAGGCTAGAGTGCAGTGGCATGATCTGGCTCACTGCAACCTCCGCCCACCGGGTTCAAGCGATTCTCCTGCCTCAGCCTCCTGAGTAGCTGGGATTACAGGCGGCCACCACCAGGCCTGGCGAATTTTTGTATTTTTAGTAGAGACAGGGTTTCATCATGTTGGCCAGGCTGGTCTCGAACTCCTAACCTCATGATCCGCCAACCTCGGCCTCCCAAAGTGCTGGGATTACAGGCGTGAGCCACCACACCTAGCCCACTTCATTCATTTTTAAGACAATGTTTGCTAAATACTGAAATCTGAATAACCACAGTTTGTCAGATATTCTTCCAAGTAAAATGGTATTCTACGAAAAAAGTAGGCCAGGTGTGGTGGTTCATGCCTGTAATCCCAGCACTTTGGGAGGTTGAGGCAGGTGGATCACCTGGATTCATGAGTTCAAGACCAGCCTGGCCAACATGGTGAAACGCTGTCTGTACTAAAAATACAAAAATTAGCTGGGTGTGGTGGTGAATGCCTGTAATCACAGCTACTCGGGAGGCTGAGGCAGAAGAATTACTTGAACCCAGGAGGCAGAGGTTGCAGTGAGCTGAGATGGCGCCATTGCACTATAGCCTGGGTGAGAGTAAAACTCCGTCTCAATTAAAAAAAAAAAAAAAGTAGCTAGTTTAGCTTGCAACTCAATCACATAAGTGCTTTTATGCATATTTTCCATTGCATTGCATAGAATATTAAGGAGACCCAAGGCTCATGATTAAGTAGTATTTTTTTTTTTTTTGAGACGGAGTCTCACTCTGTTGCCCAGGCTGGAGTGCAGTGGCGTGATCTTGGCTCACTGCAGGCTCTGCCTCCCAGGTTCACGCCATTCTCCTGCCTCAGCCTCCCAAGTAGCTGGGACTACAGGCGCCCGCCACGACGCCCGGCTAATTTTTTGTATTTTTAGTAGAGACGGGGTTTCACCATGTTAGGATGGTCTCGATCTCCTGACCTCGTGATCCACCCACCTCGGCCTCCCAAAGTGCTGGGATTACAAGCGTGAGCCACCATGCCCGGCCAAAGTAGTATATTTTCACTGTTTCATTGTGGGCATTCTTAGGTAAAACTGGCACATGCTCTGAGTGCAAGGCAGTGAAAGACTATAATATCTACTATAAAAGTTTGGTGCCACTGTCTTAATTTGTGGACCAGAGCAATTTTACCCATCATCACTCCTTCCATATCAGAACAACTGTCAACACAGTGCAAAGGGGAAATGACACCTTAATATCATCATGAAAAGAATTCTGACCTTTCTGATCCCTAAGTCTCAGGAACCACCAGGGGCCCAGGGACCACACCTCAGAGACTCTGAAGGATCAAATCAATCCATTTTTGTCACAGGTTTCTTGCTCTATTTATTAAAGTTACAACTAATAGTTACATTTTCAGAATAGTGTAGCATATCTTTAGGTCCCAATTTGCTGAGTAAAAGAGTATAAAGTTATATGATTAGAATACTGGTTTAAAGATAGGAATAAATGGGTACTTTTGACTGGAGATGTGTAAGCAGTAGGATACCTCAGTATCTAGTCTAATTATTCCAAGTGCTCAGGAAAAGATGTAGAGTTTACAGATGGCATTAAAGATTAGACAAACAATCCAGTAAAATCTCTTAAGGTTGAGTAAGTATAAGGTCATGCCATTTAAGGAAAAAACAACCCAAATTAGATTTATACAAGGACCCTAAGCAATCAGCAAGTCCTAAGTGGTGGTGTATATTCTTCTCTGAATCTACAATTATTACAAAGAATGTCAGTACAGCTAAAAGAGAATACTATAAGTTGTTGAACGTTTTTGGGAATAATATTATAAACTAAATAGTATGAGTTAAGAATCCCTAATCGGAAAATCTGAAATCCAAAATACTCCAAAATCTGAAACTTTTTTAGCACGGTCATGATCCTCAAAGGAAATGCTCATTGGAGGATTTCAGATTAGAAATGCTAAACTGGTAAGCATAACTCAAATATTCCAAAATCCAAAATAATTCTGGTTCCAAGCATTTGGGATAAGAGACACTCAACCTGTATATCTCTTATGTGGTGATGAACTGATTACTAAAGTTCTGAGTGCACTTCAACAAAGCAAATATAAAGGACTAGAATGATGTATGACAAAGTCTTTAGCCAGGTACGGTGGCTCATACCTGTAATCCCAGCACTTTGAGAGGCCAAGTGGGGCAGATCACTTGAAGCGAGGAGCTCGAGACCAGCCTGGCCAACATGGTGAAACCTCGTCTCTACTAGAAATAAAAAAATTAGCAGGACATGGTGGCGCATGCCCGTAGTCCCAGCTACTCGGGAGGCTGAGGCACAAGAATCGCTTGAACCTGGGAGGCGGAGGTTGCAGTGAGCTGAGATTGCACCACTGCACTCCAGACTCTGTCTCAAAAAACAAACACAATCTTTAAAATCATTAAGGGAAACATATCAAGAAATATTAAAACGGGGCACCCTTTTTAACAAAAATATAAAATCAAATCTAAAGTATCCCATAATTAGAACTTTAAGTAAAACCTGACCAACCCAAATTATCTTTTTTTTTTCTTTTCGGTTCATCCTGAACAACCCAAATTCTTAACTGAAATCCTTTTTAAAAAAACATTTAGCCAGGTGAGGTGGCTCACACCTGTAATCTCAGCACTTTGGGAGGCAGAGGCAGGAATCACTTGAGCCCAGGAGTTTGAGATCAGCTTGGGCAACACAGCAAGACCTTGACTCTACTAAAAAAAAAAAAAAAAAAAAAAAATTCAATTAGCCAGGAGCAGTGGCACTGGCCTGTGATCCCAGCTACTTGGGAGGCTGAGGCAGGAGGGTCGCTAGGGCCTGGGAGGTCAAGGGAACAGTGAGCCGTGATCATGCCACTGCACTCCAGCCTGGGAAACAGAGTGAAAGCCTGTCTCAAAAAAACGAAAACAAAAACAAAAACAAAACCTAATTAACATCCTAATGCTAAAAGAGAAACAAATGACAAGTCAACAAACGATTAAGAATGCAATTTTTAAAAACATGCATTGTTACATTCTAAGCTCAAAACACATTGGGTACAAATCTGAAAACTTTACTATTTTCAAATGAGAAGTGATGTTCTAAATAACTGTAAAGCACTGCATTTCCGTAAATTAAGTATATACTAAAGCCAAAATAATGTGGTATTTATTTAATGGCATTTTCCCAAAAGGTCTATAAATAGATTTACAGGAAACTTCCAGTTGAACAGTGATAGGTTTATTGGTGGGACCAAACTATTCAGAGAAGTATGTGAAGACAACTTAAAAGTCTTATTACTATATATAATGGATAAAATATGTGATAAGTGCACACGTATACCCACTCCCCTCCCCAACAAACACACACATCAAGCTAAGCTGAAAAGGTAGGTAGGAAATGCCTCACGTACCAGAAATGAAGAATCTGGAGGACAGAGCTGAGAGTGCACTGATTAATATGGGTAACATGCTGTGTTACCCATGTATTAAAACCAACTTGGGTTTTAATACATATGCAGGGGCAGAAGGGCCTTAAGAAATGAAACTGAGACTCTCGCATAAAGGCTAAGACCCTAGACCTTACTCAAAAGTGTGGTCCACTGACCTGCAATATCAGCATCGGGCAGCTTGTTCCACAGAAATGTAAATTCTTATACCTCAACCCAGACCTAATCAATCAGAATATCTGGAAATGGTATTCAAGAATCTTAGTTTTAACAAGCTTTCCAGGTGATTCTTATGTTTACTGAAGTTTGAGAAGTGCTGTCCTAGAGACACTGCACCCCCAGGTGCAGAAAGGATTGACTGGGGAGGGGGGATATCCAAACACTGGCAAAGGAAGTTCTTCTCTTCCGAGGTACAGAGAAAGGATGACAGTCTTGCTGGACAAAGTGAACCCCTTGCTTATGCCCTGCAAAAGAATCCAAAGATACTACTTTAGCGTTTTCAAATATGTTGCTCCCAGGATCACTTTATACTCTTAAAAATTACTGAAACCGCTAAAGACCTTTTGTTTATGTAAATTATATCTATTGCTATTTGCTATATTTGAAATTAAAACAGAAAATGGACTCACATTCCATTAGCTGTTAGAGTGATGGTATAATTACATACCATAACCTCTGGAAAACTTCACTAGTGAGAGAATGAAGAGTGAAAGGCAGATAACAGCTTAGTATAATTATTATGAAAATAGTTTTGACCTCCTGAATCTTCAGAAGTCCCTGAACTTGAATAATTTATGCAAAATTATTATAAATGAGGTGAATTATTATATATTTAACAGTATAAACATTTGAAATATGTTATATGGTATATGTAATAACCATATATTATTGTATCTGTGAGCTATCTATATCACTGTTTTAAAAAATCCATTATTTAAGAAACTTCCACTCTTGATTTAGCCATTACACAATGTACACATGTATCAAAACATGTTGGACACCACAAATATGTACAATTTTTGTCAATTAAAATAATTCATTAATTAAAAAGAAACTACCATTCAAGAGAATGAGAAGGTAAACCACAGACTGGGAAATAAATATCTGCAAAAGACATCTGATAAAGGCCTGTTATTCAAAATATACACAAGATTCTTAAAATTCAACAATAGGAAGACAATCTGACTGAAAATGGGCAAAAGACCTCTACAAACACCTCATCAAAGACATACAGAAGGCAAGTAAGCATATGAAAGTTCAACATTATATGTCAGCAGGGAACTGCAAGTTGAAACAACAATGAGATACAACCATGCAACTATCAGATGGCCAAAATCCAGAACACGGACAACACCAAATGCTGGTGAAAACATGGGGCAACAGAACTCTCAGAAATGCGAAATTGTACAACCACTTTGGAAGACTGTTAGTTTCTTACAAAATTAAACATACTCTTATCATATGATACAGCAATTGCACTTCTTGGTAATTACTCAAATAAAATGAAAACATGTCCACATAAAAACCTGCACACAGGCTGGGGCAGTGGCTCATGCCTGTAATCCCAGCACTTTGGGAGGCCGAGGCAGGCAGATCACCTGAGGTTGGAGTTCAAGACCAGTGTGACCAACATGGTGAAACCCCATCTCTACTAAAAATACAAAAATTAGCTGGGGGTGGTGGCACGCGCCTGTAATCCCAGCTACTCAGGAGGCTGAGGCAGAATTGCTTGAACCCAGGAGGTGAGGGTTGCAGCGAGCCAAGATCGTGCCACTGCACTCCAGCCTGAACAACAACATGAGATTCTGTCTCAACAACAACAACAAAAGAAAAACCTGAACACAAATTTTATAGTGGCTTTATTTATAACTGTCAAAACTTGAAGCAACTAAGATGCCTGGTAGTAAGTGAATGGATAAACGATACATCTAGACACTGCTAAAAAGAAATGAACTATCAAGCCATAAAGAGACATGGAGTAATACGCATTAAAGAAGTGTATTACTAAGTGAAAGAAGCCAAGCTGAAAAGGCTACATACTATAGGATTCCAACTATGGAAAATTCTGGAAAAGACAAAACTATGGAGACAGTAGAAAGACCAGTGGTTGCCAGAGTTAGGCAAGAGGAGGGATAAACAGGCAGAGCACAGAGGATTTTTAAGCAGTTAAACTATTCTGTACATCACTACAATGGTCAACACGTGTCAAAACCCATAGAATATACAACACCAATAGTGAAACCTAATATAAATTATGGACTTTGGATGATAATGACGTGTCATCGTAGGTTCATCAACTATAATAAATGTACCACTGTAGTATGGAGAAATCAACAGAGGAGGAGAGCTGTACATGTGTGGGAGCAAGGGGTATATAGGAACACTACTTTCTGCTCAATTTTGCTGTGAAACTAAAATTACTCTAGAAATAAAGTTTATTAACTAAAAAATCCCACCACTACTCATCAAGGTTTAGTGTTGTATCAAAGAAAAATATCTACAATTATCTGAAAGGCTATTTTAATATTTTCCAACAACCTTTCTGTATCAGGCTGGATTTTCGTGACATACTTCAACCAAAATAACATATGCTACAGTTGAATGAAAAAGCAGATGTAAGAATTCAGTTACCTTCTGTTAACCCATACATTAAAGAAATGTGCAAAAAAGGTAAAAGCAATGCCCCTTTTCCCACTTTTTTTTTGTTTTGGGAAACAACAATTTTTCATTAATATGTTGTTTAACATGTTAAGAGGTTATTAGTTCGAATAATTAATACAATAACTCTTCAAAGAGCTCAATAATTTTTAAGAGGTCCTGAGACCAACAAGTCTGAGAGCTGCTTATCTAGGACAACAAAACTCAAATGAATAGCAATTAGAGGAAGCTAGAAGAAGACAGAGCCAGTACATCAACTAAAAACAAATAAATCAATGTTATCCAAAGAGACAGACTAAGAGAAATAGTGAATTATCAAACACTGAAAAGTGGTAAAACAATGGAAGACAGATCACATGGCTTTTAAGAGGATATTTCCACCACAACAATCTATAAAATATCATGGTACCACAAATATTGGCTAATATTCTCAATTAAAATAACATTGCTTTGGCTGGGCATGGTGGCTCACGCCTGTAATACCAACACTTTGGGAGGCTGAGATGGGTGGATCACCTGAGGACAGGAGTTTAAGACCAGCCTGGCCAACATGGTGAAAACCCGTCTCCACTAAAAATACAAAAAATAGCCGGGCGTGGTGGCGGGCACCTGTAATCCCAGTTACTTGGGAGGTTGAGGGAGGAGAATTGCTTGAACCCAGGAGGCAGAGGTTGCAGTGAGCTGAGACTGCGCCACTGCACTCCAGCCTGGGCTACAAGAGCAAAACTCCATCTCAAAAAAAAAAACAAAAAACAACAACAAAAAAATCTCTTTATATCACAAAGCCAGGACTTGATATCTGCCACATTCACATAGCAACAGCATATATTACCATTTTATATTACATATTAAGTATGTTAAAATACCAGTTAACCATCATTAAACTGTATTCTAAAACTTGACATTCATTACTTTGTGTAATCTTCACAACAATTCTGAGATAGGTACTATTACTATCTCCCATTTAGAGTCAGATAATGAGGCCAAACAGTTACCAAAGGAGAGAGGCTGGGATTCAAATCTACGTACTCTCCTCTCCAGGAGAGTCAGACAAACCTTTTCTGTAAAAGGCCAGATAATAAATATTTCAGGTGTTGCAGACCATATACAATCTCTGTCCCCACTTCACGAAAAACCACCCTTAGATCTTGAGACTTACAAAAACAGACCAGTCAAGATGAGCCTAACCAGGCTGTCTGAGAGAATTAAGTTCAAATGCACTAAGACATCCATTGTATGTAATGAATTTATTTTTCTTATGCATCTTCAATATTAGTTATATTTGATTCTTGAAAGACTTGACAGTCACTCAAACTGCGTTCAGTGGTTCACCTACGTTCAATATAAGAAACAAATATCAACTGTTACATCTTGGCTATCTGGAAAAATATGATTGTGTATTTTTTCTAAAATTGTACTGATGACTCATTAATGCCAACAAAGAGAAGCAGAATTAAATCATATAGTGTTGCTCTATATTTATGTGGTCCCCATTAAGAAGACAGATAACTGGCCAGGTGTGGTGGCTCATGCCTGTAATGTCAACAATTTGGGAGACTGAGGTAGGAGGATTACCTGAGGTCAGGAGTTTGTGACCAGTCTGGCCAACAGGGCAAAACCCCATCTCTACTACAAATACAACAATTAGCCAGGCATGGTGGCATGTGCCTGTAATCCCAGCTACTCAGGAGGGTAAGGCACGAGAATCGCTTGAACCCGGAAGGTGGAGGTTGCAGTGAGCCAAGACTGCACTACTGCACTCCAGCCTGGATGACAGAGTGAGACTCTTCCCAAAACAAAACAAAACAAAACAAAAAACAAGGAATATAGATAACCTAAACAAGATGGCCTTAAAATATATTTTCTCAATGCTAGAAGGCCACCATTATCATCACGTTTGTAGTCTCACTATGCCCTCCAGGGAAAACCAATGATATAAAACACTTTGCAAAGTTACATTATTTCAAACTGACAGCTCTAAAGGTCACTGACATTATTAAAGAGGAGTGTGTACTAAAAAGCTACACTGCCTTTTGGGGCAATATCAGTTTAAACCAAATAGAGCAAAACCAATACCTGAATGCAAAAGACCAGCCAGATCCTTAAGGATTTTCAGTATCAACAGTGAAGCAACTGAAGCAACATTAAATAGGGGAATATATGAAACACCCTTAATCCACAAATCCCAAACCAATACTTCTTGTAACATGCCAGACATGCAAACAGAATCATAAAGATACAGTATCGGCCGGGCACGGTGGCTCACACCTGTAATCCCAGCACTTTGGGAGGCCGAGGTGGGCAGATTACTTGAGGCTAGGAGTTCAACACCAGCCTGGCCAATATGGCGAAACCCCGCCTCTACTAAATACACAAAGATTAGCTGGGCATGGTGGCGCACGCCTGTAATCCTAGCACACTCAGGAGGCTGAGGCATGAGAAAAGCTTGAACCCAGGAAGCAGAGGTTGCAGTGCGCCAACGTCGCGCACTGCACTCCAGCCTGGGCGACAGAGTGAGGTGAGAGTCTGTCGCAAAAAAAACACAAAACAAAACAAAAAGATGCAGTATTAATATATAGTCTCCAACTTAGATAACCATTACATTTCAGAAGGTCTCATAAAATCTTGCCTAAGAGCACCATGAGATATAATTTCTACGACTCTTCTACCAGCACTAACAGTCTTACTGTTTTTTATATTGTGAAAATAACTATGATTTTTAAAGCTACGGAAGTACTCATTAGCCACAAACTCTGTGTGGAGATGGCTTGGAATAAGCTTCTGGCTTTTGCTTGAATCCTCACTCTCCATTCATGACTACAATAAAATAACAGGAAATAATAAAAAGGAAAGCAGCACTGCACAGTGATTTAGAATGTGAACTCTTGAAGCACTGAGGTTCAAGGGGTGGGTTCAAGTCCTAGTTCTACCTTTTCTAGCTGTGTGGTCTTGGGCAAGTTCCTTAATTTCTTTGTGCTTCATCTGTGAATCATGTATGACAATATATTTCACTGTTTTTATTAGGACTAAATAAATTGATATTTAAAAAATTAAATAGTATTCAGCATATAGTGGGTGTTATATACACATCTTAAATGGAAAAGCAAAATAAAGGCCAGGCGTGGTGGCTCAAGACTGTAATCCCAGCACTTTGGGAGGTCAAGGCAGGCGAATCACTTGAGCTCAGGAGTTCGAGACCAGCCTGGGCAACATGGCAAGACCCTGTCTCTACAACAAATACAACATTAGCTGGGTGTGGTGGTGTGAGCCTGTAGTCCCAGCTACTTGGGAGGCTGAAGTGAATGGGAAGATCGCTTGAGCCTGGGAGGTCACTGCTGCAGTGAGCTGTGACTGCATCGCTGCACTACAGCTTGCAACAGAGCCAGACACTGTCGGAAGAGGGGAGGGGAGGGGAGAAGAGAGAAGGAAAAACAAAACAAAACACAATACAAAAACATCAAGTTGACGAAATGAGAAATCATGATTAATGAACAATATGAGTCTGACAATGAAAGGCCATCTCATGACAGCTTTCTCATACCCTTGGAACTTAATATTCAGCAATATTATGCTCACAGAGAGTACCTACTACGTGGAAGGTAGTCAAAACTGAATTCTTTATTGTCTCCAAACCTGTGCCACCCAGTCTCCTCCTTCTTGGTTAATGGCAACTCTAAACTTTCAGTTGCTTAAACCAAAAACTTTAGAGTCCTCCTAATCTCCTCTCTTTAATCCTCCTTTTCTCTCTTCTTACTTTCCACATTAATCTATTAGCAAAGTCTGTTAGATCTATCAATCTAATATATTTACAGTCCTAATCACTTCTGTCCTCTACTAGTATCTGGTACGAGCAACCTTCATCTCTCACCTGGATTGATGCAATAACTTCCAGCTTGGTCTATGTGTCAATTCTGCTCCCAGCACTCCTGGCCAATTATCAACGTAAGCAACCAGTTAGTTTGCTAAAACTAAGCCATATTTCATCCTGTCAACTCTCCTGCTCAAACGCCTACAATGCTGCTGATTTTGCTCAGAGTAAAAGTGGAAGTTGTCACAATGGCCTATACACCTCACATGGTCTGCATTGTTACTTTTCTACACTTTTCAATGTACTAGCATATACTGATAATCTGCCTGGAACAATTACTGTACATGGATGCAAAATAGTACTCTCTCTCATTCTTCTTAACTAAATTATTCAATGAAAAGCTTTCCACTGTTAACTATTTGATTACCTTGTAATACATTTTGTAGGTAATAGGATAAATGCTTCATTCTTCTCCTATTATAAATTTTCAGGTCGGGCGCAGTGGCTCACGCCTGTAATCCCAACACTTTGGGAGGCCGAGGCAGGCGGATCACGAGGTCAGGAGATCGAGACCATCCTGGCTAATGCGGTGAAACCCCGTCTCTACTAAAAATACAAAAAATTAGCTGGGCATGGTGGCAGGCGCCTGTAGTCCCAGCTACTCAAAAGGCTGAGGCAGGAGAATGGCGTGAACCCGGGAGGCTGAGCTTGCAGTGAGCTGAGACTGTACCACTGCACTCCAGCGTGGGTGACAGAGCGAGACTCCGTCTCAAAAAAAAAAAAAAAAAAAAAAAAAAAAAAATTCAGAAAAATGAGTTGACACCCTTGCAATCTCCAAAGATGATCAATAAGTTATTTTTATTTTACTTATTTTTTTGAGACAGGATCTCACTCACTCACCCAGGCTGGAGTGCAGTGTCATGATCACAGCTCACTGCAGCCACGACTTCCCAGGCTCAAGTGATCCTCCCACCTCAGCCTCCCAAGTACTGGGACTACAGACATGTATCACCACATTCAGCTAATTTTTGAATGTTTTGTAGAGATAGGGTTTTCACCATGTTGCCCAGTCTGGTCTTGAACTCCTGAGCTCAAGCAATTTGTCCACCTCTGCCTCCCAAAGTGCTTGAATTACAGGCATGAGCCACCGCACCTGGCCTATTTTTAAAGCATCATTATGAACTCCTGGATTTTTGTTGATTTGATATAGTTAAATCCATTGTAGCCATTTTTTTAAGATAGTTTATTTTCCATCTTAGGCCAGTGAGAGCACACAAGATGGCCCCTGGGTCCTTTGGATGCCTCAACTTAGCCAATACACAATAGGCAAAAGATTTTACCTTGATGTTTAAATTTGCAAGTCCTTGATTATAATAATGACTGAACAATTTTTATATACATCTGTTGGCCAGGTGCAGTGGCTCACGCCTGTAATCCCTGCACTTTGGGAGGCCGAAGCAGGTGGATCACCTGAGGTCAGGAGTTCCAGACCAACCTGGCCAACATAATGAAACCCTGTCTCTACTAAAAATACAAGAAATTAGCCGGGTGTGGTGACAGGCACCTGTAAGCAATCCCAGCTACTCGGGAGGCCTGAGGCAGGAGAATCACTGAACCCGGGAGGCGGAGATTGCAGTGAACTGAGATCGCACCACTGCACTCTAGCCTGGGCAACAAGAGCGAAACTCCGTCTCAAAAGGAAAAAAAAAGCCTATGAGCTTTTTAATTCTTTGTGAACTGCCTATTCATTGCCTTGTCCGTATTTTCTAATGAGTCATTAATCTTTTCTACTTTCTGAATATTAAGAGTTCATTCTAATATATGGCAGAAAGTTATGTATTAATAAAAGCTGCCATCTTTTTTCTCTATTTGCTTTTTAATTATATGGCTTTTGTCATATAAAGTATTTAATTTTTATATAAACCATTTCCTTTATAATTTAAAGGCCTTTCCCATTTCAATATGTGCTATAGTTTGAATGTATCCCCAAATTTCATGTGTTGAGAAATTAATCCCCAAATTCATATGTTTATGGTATTTGGAAGTAGGGCCTTTGGAAAGTAATTAGGATTAAGTAAGGTCATCAGGGTGGGGTCCCCATGATGGGAATAGGGGCTTTTAAGAAGGGGAAGACAGACCTGAGCTGGCACTCTTGCTCTCTCCCATGAGGTGCCCTCCATCATTAGAGGCAAAAAGGCCCTCATCAGATATGGCTCCTCAACCTTGGACTTCCCAGACTTCACAGCTATTAAGAAATCAATGTCTTTTCTTTATATATTACCCAGTCTCAGGTATTCTGTCATAGCAACAGAAAATGAACTAAGACAATATGATAGGGGAAAAAATTGTCTATGTTGCTTCTACTTCTTTTACTTTTTTTTTTTTTTAATGTTTAAGTCTCTGACCCAGCTAGATATAATTAGCTATTTATAAGTCGGTCTTTTACCAGTAGAATCTGGGATCTCTGAAAGCAAGATCTTACTAATTTTGTGCCTCCTACCAGTGGACCATGTGTGTTTTTTGTTGTTTTTTTCTGAGACAGGGTCTCTCTTTGTTGCCCAGGCTGGAGTGCAGTGGTGCAAACACAGCTCACTGCAGCCTCAATGAACCTCCTGTGCTCAAGCAATTCTCCCACCTCAGCCTCCCAAGTAGCTGGGACTATACAGGCACCCCACCACACCCAGCTAACTCTTATATTTTTTGTAGAGACAGGGTTTCACCACGTTGCCCAGGTTGGTCTCTAACTCCTGAGCTCAAACGACTGGCCCACCTCAGCCTCCCAAAGAGCTGGGATTACAGGCATGGGCCACCAAACCTGGCCCATGTGTTTTCAAACACGTGGTTTGAAGAAGGCAGTGGTAATGATGAACAATCAAAAATCCTATTTCCTCTGCTCTTAAACTAGGGCAGCTGAATCCCACTGAACTTTAACCACTGCAGAAAAAGGGGCAACACAGGATGAGAGTAAGGGAGAAAAAAACTATGTTCTGTTTTATACTAGGTATTATTATTATTTTTTTTTTTATTTGAGACAGAGTCTCGCTCTGTCGCCCAGGCTGGAGTACAGTGGCCCACTGCAAGCTCTGCCTCCTGGGTTCATGCCATTCTCCTGCCTCAGCCTCACGAGTAGCTGGGACAACAGGCACCTGCCACCACGCTCGGCTAACTTTTTGTATTTTTAGTAGAGACGGGGTTTCACCATGTTAGCCAGGATGGTCTCGATCTCCTAACCTTGTGGTCTGCCTGCCTCGGCCTCCCAAAGTTCTGGGATTACAGGTGTGAGCCACCACACCTGGCCATTTTAGACTAGATATTATATAACATATTGCCCTGACAGCTCACAAAAATTTTAAGGGGTGGGGGTGGAGGTGCAGAAAATGAGTATGGGAATTCTGCTTCCAAGAAAAGATGTCTGGATGGAATCTCAAAGAATAAGCAAGTATTACATAATTAAAGAGATTGACAGGCCGGGTGCGGTGGCTCACATCTGTAATCTCAGCACTTTAAGAGGCTGAGGTAGGTGGATCACAAGGTCAGGAGATTGAGAGCATCCTGGCCAACACAGTGAAACCCCATCTCTACTAAAAATACAAAAATTAGCTGGGCGTGGTGGTACATGCCTGTAATCCCAGCTACTCAGGAGGCTGAGGCAGGAGAATCGCCTGAGCCCAGGAGGCAAAGGTTGCAGTGAGCCAAGATCGCACCATTGCACTCCAGCCTGGGCAACAAGAGCGAAACTCTGTCTCAAAAAAAAAAAAAGTACTCTAGTCATAGGGTACTCTACATGTAGAGGTAGAGTACATGGTCTATTATTTGCAGAGTACTGAGAGTTCATGATTTGCAGAATTACCAGGAGTTTATTATGACTGCTCGGTCAGTTACTGGCATAAAAAATACTACATAAATGTTAGCTATTATTATGCTGATTACTGGGACATGGAGATAAATTGGGTAAAATAGTAAGCAGTACACTAAAATATGCATGGAAAGCCATGTTAGAGTCTGGATTTTATCCTGAAGATTATAAGGAGTCATTGAAGGATTACTGACAGGATAATGGCATGTTTTAGAAAAACTACACTGGCAATATAGATCAAAGATTGGATGGAATACAGTTACGCAAGAATCAGAAGAATCTTTAATGATGGCGCACGTGGAAGTGATAAAAACTTATAAAACAGCAGAAATCTGTAAATATTGTGCAAGACAACTTACAAGCATATTGATCTCTACTAAAGCTACAAAATATCTAATAGAGTTTTATAGCACGCGATATATATGCTTAACAATAAATATTTTTGGACTATATCTAATGTTTTCTATTTTAGTAAAACAGAATTTCCATTCAGTAAAGCAAATCATTTTCAAGAAAATTCTTTCTGGGTCATGAAGTGCCCCATTGTCCTCTTTTCCACAAGCAAGAGAGCTTGGCGAAAACTCATGAATGTCCCTCAGTCAACCCAACAGCTGGTTTTCTAAAAACTCCATGATGCTATCCCTTCCCCCACACCCTTTAATCCTAGAAGAATACAATATTTTAATCATTGTTCACCACAGAATTAACATCAAAACAACTTATTTACAGCATTACCAATATGGTGAAACCCCATCTCTACTAAAACTATAAAAATTATCCGGACTGTGGTGGTGGGCTCCTGTAATCCCAGCTACTCAGGAGGCTGAGGCAGGAGAATCGCTTGAACCAGGGAGACGGAGGTTACAGTGAGCCGAGATTGCACCACTGCACTCCAGCCTGGGCCACAGAGGGAGACCCTGTCTCAAAACACACACACACACACACACACACACACACACACACACACACACACGTGTGTGTGTGTGTATCGAAAAACAAAACAACTTACTTAGCACTGTATCTATTCAAATATAGAATCGATTTAACACAACCACAGGAATTAGGATTAAAGAAAAGAATGTAAATTTCATAAACCTGGAGAGAATAAAACTAAAATAATTTACTAACTCAGCAATTCAGGGAAAAAGTGATGAAAAGAAATGTTAGAATACTAATTTCCTCACCTTTCAAAGCACAACCACTGTCTAAAATGGAAAGTTAAAAAGATCCCAATGACTTAGTTTTTTTCCCCTCATAATGTTTTTCCCCACAAACTCAGAAGCAGCTTTTAGAAACTAATTACAGTACTTCCTGCTGTGAATTAACATTTACTTCATGGTACCAATGGCTTCAATTTCCCTTTCTGCTAAATTCAAATAGAATCAAAATTAATATTTAAAAATACAAGCAGCATATATAATGTAACCCCATTTTTATTAAAATCATGTCTATCCTTCCAACCATCCATCCCTCCACTCATCCCTTTTAGCCCTTTGCTCACCCTATCTGTGTCTATGCAATTAAAGTTGTCTACAGTGTTAATAATGGCAGTTATTTATGCATATGGGATTTGGGGTAACCCTGCTGTCATATAATACTACAGTATTTGGTTTTTTAAAAAAACATAGTTACTGTTTTAATAAAAAATAACCTTTTAAATACAAGTCTCATCTGAAATGACATAAATATCTGCCCAACCCCAAACAGCTTATACAATAAGAACATCTTCCTCTATTGTGATTCTGAAACACTAAGGCTATTATTGTTAGAAGAAGAATTAACTGGTAGTCTTTATCTTCATTATAATTTGCCAGTTATGGTCTTAATGTAGCATCCTCCTTAGGTAATTTTCCTGTTTTTTTGTTTTGTTTTAAGACAGAGTCTTATGCTGGAGTGCAGTGGTGTGATCTCAACTCACTGCAGCCTAGACCTCCCAGGCTTAAGCAATCCTCCTGCCTCAGTCCCCCAAGTAGCTGGGACTACAGGTGCGTACCACCAAGCCCAGCTGATTTTTTGTAGAGAGAGGGTTCCACCATGTTGCCCAGGCTGGTGTCGAACTTCTGATCTCAAGCGATCCACCCACCTCGGCCTCCCAAAGCGCCAGGACTACAGGTGTGAGCCACCACACCCAGCCTCCTCCTTTATTTGTAAACAGCACTGCCTCTGTATCTTGCTAAAATCCTCACTCAGTTCAGGTCACCCTGATTCTTTGGACACTCTTAAAATCTCATAGTGACAAAGGCTAAACTGTGTGGCTGCTGATACCGATGGTATATTTGAAATTTCCACAGGTTCAGCAATACTTTTTACTGACACTGCGGTAATGGCATAAGCCATATGTGCCCTCACAATAGAGTTCACACCTAACTCCAGCTATGTAGACTATCAGACATGGCTATCTATGTAGAGGTAGTAGCATGTGAGTTAGCTACAGACTGTGGGGCAAGCTACAGGGCTAGTATTTTAGGAACAGTACTCATCTCAGGTGTTTCTGGTCAGAAGAACTGCTTCTATGTGGCATGGACTATGTCAATCTATTTGGGACTCCACCAAAAGTTACAAAACTTCCTGGGGAGAAGATGAACTGAAGACCGTGATTCTATCTTGACTCTATGAAAGTGGCAGATATTGTGACTTCAGAAAGTTATTAGATCAGTTTGTTTACTGTTGTTGTTTTGTAAGATATACCTCCCAAAATGCTCCTCCTCCTTTCTGCCTACAATATCATGGTTCAACAATAACTGATGAACTACTGTAGCTACTTCTTAAAAATAATTTTATCAACTAATTTTCTAATCTCCTTAGAAAAGGTCTAAATAGGCCAGGCATGTGGCTCACACCTATAATCCCAGGACTTTGGGAGGCCAAGGCATGCCGATTTGCTTTGAGCTCAAGAGTTCAAGACTAGCCTGAGCAACATGGCGAAACCTCCGTTTCTATAAAAACTAGCAAAAAAAAAAAAAAATTAGCCAGGCGTGGTGGCTCACGCCTGTAGGCCCAGCTACTCTCAAGGCTAAGGTTGGAGAATCACTGGAGTCCAGGAAGCAGAGGTTGCACTGAGCCGAGATCGTGCCACTGCACTCCAGCCTGGGCGACAGAGTGAGACCCTGATTCAAAAAAAGAAAAAAGTAAAGGTCTAAATAAAGTGACTTTTTCCTACTCTGATTCTTTAGGAAAAAAAAAAATTGAGCCTGGGAGTGGTGGCTCACACTGTAATCCCAGCATCTCAGGAGGCCAACGCAGGAGGATCACTAGTGGCCAGGAGTTTGAGACTAGCCTGGGCAACACAGGGAAACCTTGTCTCTACAAGAGGAAAAAAAAAAAAAAGCCAGGTGTGGCACATGCCTGTAAGCCTAGCTACTTGAGAGGCTAAGGCAGGAGGATCTCTTGAGCCTGAGAGTTCAAGGCTGCAGTGAGCTATGATCATACCACTGCACTCCTGCCTGGACAACAGAGCAAGATTCTGTCTCTTATATATACACACACATATTTGAAACTTAAAAAATCCCAGCATCTTGGTTCACATCTACTCATTGTTCTGTACTTCGGGAGCTCAATATGGTCTAAGGAAAACAAATAATTACCGACTGATATAGTACCAGTTGCAAAGATTTGTCTTCCGTCCTAGAATTTATCAGTAAATTAACAGCACTTCTAATAAGAATGAGGACAAGCAAAACTACTATTGTCCAAAGCTTTTGTACATCTCTAGCTCAATTTCTTGCTGCTCTAATTCTTAAACTCATGAGCGACTTGATTCTAAATAGAATGACTAAAGAAGGACTAGGAGGGGAGAAGGGGAAGACAAAGCAATAGGAGTATTATTTTAGAGGGCACAGACATGATGAAAGAATTTTATCTTAATAGAAGAAAACTGGAGTTAACTATTTCCAATATCAAACAATAGGTTTTTGAGCTCAGGTTTAATATTCGAGGATGACGTAATTCCAAATAGCACATGTTTTTCAAAACTTTAAAAAGACTTGAAATTAGTCTACAAGATCTGAAGAGTCTATGAGATCTGAGCTACTCTTTGTGTCTGGTAAATTGACAACACATGAGAAATCTATTCTGATTTGGCAAGGCTGTAATATGTCAGTGCCTACGGACTTTGGGAGATTTTATTATGGTTGTAATTTAGTTTAGTGTTTTTTTGTTTATTATGGTTGTAATTTAATGTTTGTTTGTTTGTTTAAATCTTTCCTTCTTACAGAAGTCAAAACCTAGGGTTTAGGGCCGGGTGCGGTGGCTCACGCCTGTAATCCCAGCACTTTGGGAGGCCGAGGCAGGCAGATCATGAGGTCAGGAGATTGAGACCATCCTGGTGAAACCCCGTCTCTACAAAAAACAAAAAATTAGCCGGGCGTGGTGGCGGGCGCCTGTAGTCCCAGCTACTCAGGAGGCAGAGCTTGCAGTGAGCCGAGAACGTGCCACTGCACTCCAGCCTGGGCGACAGAGTGAGACTCCATCTCAAAAAACAACAACAACAACAACAACAACAAACAAAGAACTTATGGTTAGAAGTTTAGGCTCTGAAGTCAGACCCTGCCTATGAGCCCCATCATTTACTAGCTTAGGCTTAATGATAAGCACCACAGGTAAGTCTATACATCCTCATGAAGCTTACAGTTCAGTGTACCTAAATATTTCCTTAAGAAGAACTGAGATCCTGGTGGGCACAGTGGCTTATGCCTGTAATCCCAGCACTCTGGGAGGCCAAGGTGGGCAGATCACCTGAGGTCAGGAGTTCGAAACCAGCCTGACCAACATGGAGAAACCCTGTCTCTACTAAAAATACAAAAAATAGCTGAACGTGGTGGTGTGCACCTATAATCCCAGCTACTTGGAAGGCTGAGGCAGGAGAATCGCTTGAACCAGGCAGGCTGAGGTTGAAGTGAGCAAAGATCGTGCCACTGCACTCCAGCTTGGGCAACAGAGCAAGACTCTGTCTAAAAAAAGAAAAAAAAAAAAAAAAGAAAGAACCAATGAACGAACTACTGAGATACTAATTTCTGTTCATTCAAAACTTAGGCCAGGTACGATGGCTCATACCTGTAATCCTAACACTTTGGGAGGCCAAGGTAGGCAGATTACTTGAGGCCAGGATTTTGAGACCAGCCTGGTTGACATGGTGAAACCCCATCTCTACTAAAAATACAAAAAAATTAGCTGGCCGTGGTAGCACATGCCTGTAATACCAGCTACTCAGGAGGCTGAGGCACAAGAATCACTTGAACCCAGAAGGTGGAGGCTGTAATGGGCCGAGATCAGGCCACTGCACTCCACCCTGAGTGACAGAGCACAACTCTGACCCCCCGCCAAAACAAACAAAAAAACAGGCCAGGCACAGTAGCTCACTCCTGTAATCCCAGCACTTTGGGAGGCCGAAGCGGGGGGATCACTTGAGGTTGCGAGCTTTGAGACCAGCCTAGCCAACATGGTGAAACCCCGTATCTACTAAAAATATAAAAATTAGCTGGGCATGATGGCGGTTGCCTGTAATCCCAGCTACTCTGGAGGCTGAGGTGGGAGAATCATTTGAACCTGGGAGGCAAAGGATGCAGTAAGCCAAGATTGTACCACTGTACTCCAGCCTAGGTGATAGAGTGAGACTCTCTCAAAAAACAACAACAACAAAAACCAACAATTAATTCATCTATCCAGCAACTTACTGGACACCCACTGTGTGTCAGATTAACCTATTTGCTAGGATACAATGCTAAACAAGACAGATGACGGTCCCTATCATCAAGAGGCTTAAAACTTGGAGGAGATGGACAATAATGAAATGGTTATAAATACAAAATTAAAAATCATTAAAAGTGCTATGAAAGAATAGTATAATACTGCTGGGGGAATCTGATCTGATACGAAAGGTTAGACTAGGTTTTTCTGACAGTGACCTAAAACTACACTGTAATTTCAGTCCTTTATCTTAAGAATTTGATGACTTTTAAAAAGTAACCACTCCGACCAGGAAGAGTGGCTCACGCCTGTAATCCCAGCACTTTCGGAGGCCGAGGCAGGTGCATCACGAGTTCAGGAGTTTGAGACCAGCCTGGCTAACACAGTGAAACCCCGTCTCTACTAAAAATACAAAAAATTAGCCGGGGGTGGTGGCATGCGCCTGTAATCCCAGCTACTCGGGAAGCTGAGGCAGGAGAATCACTTGAACCTGGAAGGCGGAGGTTGCAATGAGCTGAGATCATGCCACTGCACTCCAGCCTGAACAACAGTGCAAGACTCCATCTCAAAAAAAAAAAAAAGAAAAGAAAAGAAAAGAAAAAAGTAATCACTCCTTATGGCATACTGGAAAACTCAATATTATTAGGACATCCATCCCCATTAAATTGATATATTCGGCCCGGTGCGGTGGCTCACGCCTGTAATCCCAGCACTTTGGGAGGCCGAGGCGGGTGGATCACCTGAGGTCGGGAGTTCGAGACCAGCCTGACAAACATGGAGAAACTCCGTCTCTACTAAAAATACAAAATTAGCCAGGCACGGTGGTGCATGCCTGTAATCCCAGCTACTCGGGAGGCTGAGGCAGGAGAACCGCCTGAACCCGGGAGGCGGAGGTTGCAGTGAGCCAAGATCATGCCATTGTACTCTAGCCTGAGCAACAAGAGAGAGACTCCAACTCAAAAAAAGAAAAAAAAATTAATATATTCAACATCATCGTTGTTAAAATTCCAGTAGGCTATCTTGAAAAAACAGACAAAATATTCTAAAATTTATATATATTTATACATAAACATATTGTATGATTTTTACATATTAAGTAGATTAAATATATATCTATACATATAAAATAGAGATGAGGTTTTGCTATGTTATCCAGGCTAGTCTTGAACTCCTGGGCTCAAGTCATCCTCCCGCCTTCCCGCCTTGGCCTCCCAAAGGGATTACAGATGTGAGCCACCACATTCAGCTTATAAATATATTTTTGAGACAGAATTTCACTCTGTCACCCAGGCTGGAATGTAGTGGTATGATCACAGCTCACTGCAGCCTTAATCTCCTCAGCTCAAGCGATCCTCCCACCTCAGTCTTCTGAGTAGCTGGGACTATTGGTACATGCCACCACACCCAACTAATTTTTAAATGTTTTGGGGAGGCAAGATCTCCATATGTTGCCCAGGCTGGTCTCAAACTCCTGGACTCAAATGATCCTCCTACCTCAGCCTGACAAAGTACTGGGGTTACAGGTGAAGCCCAACGCACCTGGCCAATATTTAAAACAGAAAAGACTGTCCGGGCACAGTGGCTCACGCCCATAATCCCAGCACTTTGGGAGGCGGAGACGGGTGGATCACCTGAGGTCGGGAGTTCGACATCAGCCTGACCAACATGGAGAAACCCCATTTCTACTCAAAATACAATCCCAGCACTTTGGGAGGCTGAGGGGAGCATGCCTGTAATCCCAGCTACTCGGGAGGCTGAGGCAGGTGAATCGCTTGAACCTGGGAGACGGAGGTTGCGGTGAGCCGAGATTGCGCCACTGCACCCCAGCCTGGGCAATGAGTGAAACTCCATCTCAAAAAAAATAATAGTAATAGAAAAGACTGACAAATACGAAAAATCTGGCAAAATGTGGAAAAACCAATCTCTCATACATTGTTGGTGGGAATGTAAAGTGGTGGCACAACCTCTTTCAAGAATTGTTTGGGGCTGGGCACGGTGGCTGAAGTCTGTAATCACAACACTTTGGGAGGCCAAGGCAGGCAGATCACCTGAGGTCAGGAGTTCGAGACCAGCCTGGCCAACTTAGTAAAACCCCGTCTCTACTAAAAATACAAATAATTAGCTGGGTGTGGTAGTGTGCGCCTGTAATCCGAGCTACTAGGGAGGCTGAGGCAGGAGAATTGCTTGAACCTGGGAGGTTGCAGTGAGCCGAAATCGGGCCATTGCACTCTAGCCTGGGCAACAAGAGCAAAACTCCATCTCCAAAAGAAAGGGTTATTTGGCAATTTCTTATAAAATTAAACATACATCTATCTCCAACCTAGGACCCAGCAATTCCACTTCTAGGTATGTACCCAAGAGAAATGAATAATGGTCCACAAAAAGACTTGTACAAAAATGTTTATAGCAGCATTATTTATAACAGCCCCCAAACAACCGAAATGCTCATCAGCAAAAGAATGGATAAACGAACTGAGGTATAGCCGTACAAGGAAATACTATCCAGAAATAGAAAAGAATGAACTAATGTCCAGAATAGGCAAATGAATAGAGACAAAGTATACTAATAATTGCCTATGGCTGGGGTAAGGGAAGGAGACAGAATGAGGAGTGGCTATTCTAAAATTTGATCATGTAACGGGTGTACAACTCTGTGAATACAGTAAAAATGTAATTGAATTGTACAACGCTTTAAATGGGTGAAATATATGCTATATGAATATTTCAGTAAATCCGCTAAAAAAGGAATGAACTGTTAATAAATAGAGCACCACATACAAACATTAGGTTTAAGCAAAAGTCTGACAAAGAAAGAAACATACTGTGTAGTTCCTTTTATATGAACTCCAGATGCAGGCAAACTAATTTATAATGATAGGAATCAGTTACTGTGGCAGTAAGAGATTGGCCAGAAAAGGATATTAGCAAACCTTCAAGGAGGCTGGCAGTGCTCTATTTCTTTTTCCTTTTTTTTTTTTTTTTTTTGAGACAGAGTCTCGCTCTTGTTGCCCAGGCTGGAGTGTAATGGCGCGATCTCAGCTCACTGCAACCTCTGCCTCCTGGGTTCAAACAATTCTCCTGCCTCAACTTCCCAAGTGGCTAGGATTACAGGCACCTGCCACCACACCCGACTAATTTTTGTATTTTTAATAGAGACAGGGTTCCCCATGTTGGCCAGGCTGGTCTCGAACTCCTGACCTCAGGTGATCCGCCCACCTCAGCCTCCCAAAGTGCTGGGATTACAG
This sequence comes from Homo sapiens, assembly GCF_000001405.40. Classification (NCBI taxonomy): domain Eukaryota; kingdom Metazoa; phylum Chordata; class Mammalia; order Primates; family Hominidae; genus Homo; species Homo sapiens. Next base: position 96,865,614 of record NC_000010.11, on the reverse strand, counting down.
GCGTGAGCCACCGCGCCTGGCTCAGAAGTGTTCTATTTCTTGTTTTGGGTGATGGCCATAGGGGTGTATACAACTGTCATAACTACTGTACATTTTAATTGCATCTCAATTAAACACGATAAAAAAATCACTCCTATTTGATTTTGGAAAGAGAGAGATAGAAACTGACAGAATGTCTGCCTAAGAATGCCTTCATGCTTCTCCAATGGGAGCAACTGTACAGCTATGGATTTACAGAAATATCTAGTGCCTAGGTATAATTGTATCTTTTCTTCCCATAAAATTTTAACAATATACTCATCCAGTGCCCCCTTCCAATTTTCAGTTTCCCTAATTTTTTTTAAAACAGCCTAACAGTCCACAGTCAAAACTGAACCTCATAAAGGCATGTTTAAGTACATCAAATGGTGAGACGAAAATATAAATTTTTATATAAACCAGAATGAGTCTTAAGAGGGAAATTAAGATCTAACTTTGCTTTTTCTGTCTTCTGAAAATATACGTTGATATCCTATAGTCCTTTCTACCAACCACATTTCCCCTACCTCCTTCCCATAGTTAATTAACACCTACTAATCTCTCGTCTCTCAAATTAAATTTTCTTTTCTCAGAAATTCTTCTGAGTTTCTATTACTCCAATCCACCCCCACAACTCACACACAATTATAGTCTTGAGCTGCTTAACAACAAGGATATGGTCTGAGAAATATGCCAATAGGTGTGTTGTTGTGTGAACATCATAGGGTGTACTTACACAAACCTAGATGGTATACCCTACTACACACCTAGGCTATTGCTAGCAAGCTACAAACCTATAGCATGTCACTGTACTGAATGCTGTCGGCAATGGTAACACAATGGTAAGTATGTGTATATCTAAACATACCTAAACACAGAAAAGGTATAGTAAAAATACAGTATTATAATCTTACAAGATTACTGTCATATATGTGGTCTGTTGTTGACTGAAACATTGTTATGAGGTGCATGACCATACATACATGCAGAGAACAACGTCTCTTTTCAGAGCTTTTATCTGGTTCCTTGTGTAACTGATGTCCCTGTTTTTCCCATTATATTCTAAGTGCCATGCGAGCAGGAACAGAGTCTGCTTTGCACATCACCATATCCCCATATAGTGCTTGGTAGCTAGTAAAGATGTTCACAGAACATTTGGCTCAGTGAATAAAAATACAATCCAACCACACCATCTAAACAAAGACTGTCCCCAAAGCAAATAAGGATTTTTCCTTGTTTGAAAAATCAACTGAAAGTCAATACACCTTTATTTGACAGAGAACATTTTGGATTACCATCTATGAGTCATTACTTGAGTATCTACTTCCTTTTCAACTTGGCTCTCAGAATGTTGGACTGTCCTCTGTGTCATTATTTCCTATCCTCATTCTTCTACCTATTGGTCCCTTCTTAGTTGGGCACATTTATTCTTATAACCTTTAATCTCTGTTGTGTATTTTATGATGTGCTTCCGGAGTTTCTAAGATATTGGACCTTAAGAAATTAGGCGATAAGGTTCATAAACTACTGCCAAGTTAATATTTAATGGCATCATTAGCTGTAGAAACATAACTGCTCAGGGACAGGTGTTTCACATCAGAATGTAAACATACAAAGTGACATTCCTACCAACAAGCTCAGAACAGTTCCTCCAACATTCAGTAAACATAATGCTAACTGATACAGAAAGAATAAAGTGCCAAAAACAAAAGACAAAATAGGCAGGTTAGAGACAAAAGATAGCATCATGAAAGAAGGCAACTAGCATTCTGTAGAACATACTAAATCAAACCAAAAATATCAACTTAAACTTACTAGAGAAAAAGTATTTTAGCAAACGCCTAAGGTAAATACAAGACCAAGCCTTTGGGCAAAATTTGAGCAACTTTTCTAAACTCCTTTAAAGCAGTTTAAAGACTGCACAACACCAGTCTATGCTTTCTTGAAAAAGGTCAACCTCAGAAAAACCTGATCATGCTATCCCAATCCACACACTTCACGTTTCCACAGCACTAACAATGCAATCAAACTTTTAGAATCAATTCCCAGAAAATGAATTCTGAATGTGAAAAAATCAGAAAATTCACAAGATGGACCAGGCATGGTAGCTCACACCTGTAATCCCAGCACTTTGGGAGGCCGAGGTGGGTAGATCACTTGAGGTCAGGAGTTCGAGACCAGGCTGGCCAACATGGTGAAACCCCGTCTCTACTAAAACTACAAAAATTAGCCAAGTGTGGTGGTGCATGCCTGTAATCCCAGCTACTCAGGAGGCTGAGGCAGGAGAATCACTTGAAACAAGGAGGCGGAGGTTGCAGTGAGCTGAGAGCACACCACTGCACTCCAGCCTGAGCAACAGAGTGAGACTCCATCACAAAAAAAAAAAAAAACAGAAAAAGAAAACATATTACTTCGGCTGGGCATGGTGGCTTACATCTCTAATCCCAGCACTCTGGGAGGCTGAGGTGGGCAGATCACTTGAGGTCAGGAGTATGAGACCAGCCTGGCCAACATGGTGAAACCCCATCTCTCCTAAAAATACAAAAATTAGCCGGGCATGTGGTGGTGGGTGCCTGTAATCCCAGCTACCTGGGAGGCTGAGGCAGGAGAATTGCTTGAACCCAGGAGGCAGAGGTTGCAGTGAGCTGAGATCATGCCACTACACTCCAGCCTGGGCCACAAGGGCAAAACTCTGTTTCAAAAAAAAAAAAAAGAAAAGAAAAGAAAGAAAACATATTACTAAACTTTAAAAAAGATACTTGTGATATTCTGAAATACATATTTGGTCTTGGACCCTCTTTAACTCCTAAAATCCTTAGAGACTACAAAGTGTTGTCTTTTTGTACACCAATGAGTTGACGGGGGCTGGCAATTCCTAGGTAGCTTGAGGATAGGAGCTGGCCACCAGGAAGACCAAGACAGGATTAGAGGGTTGAGACTTGCAACCCACCTTCCAAACTCTGGAGAAGGGAAAAGGGCTGAAGGTTAAGTTGATCACCAATGGCCAATAGTTTACCAATCATGCCTACGTGGCTGGACTTGGTGATGCATGCCTGTAATCCCAGCACTTTGGGAGGCTGAGGCGGGCGGATCACCTGAGGTCAGGAGTTTGAGACCAGCCTGGGTAATATGGTGAAACCCCATCTCTTCAAAAAATAGAAAAATTGGCCGAGGATGGTGGTGCATACCTATAGTCCCAGCTACAAAGGAGGCTGAGGTGGGAGGACTGCTTCAGATCGAGGCTGCAGTGAGCCAAGGTTATGCCACAGCACTCCAGCCTGGGCAACAAAGTGAGACGCTATCTCAAAAACAAAGAAAAGAAAAAAAAATCATGTCTATGTAACGAAGCCTCCCATAAAAACTTAAAAGGACTGGGTTTGGAGAGCTTCCAAATACCTGAACATGTGGAGGCTCCTGGAGAGTAGTGTGCCCAGGGAGGGCATGAAAGCTCTGTGCCCCTTCCTCCATGCCTTGCCCTATGCATCTCTTCACCTGTATCTTTGTAATATCATTTATAATAAACCAGTAACTGTAAATAAGTGCTTCCCTGAGTTTTGTGGGCTACTCTAGCAAAGTAATCAAATGCAAAGAGGGAGTTATGGGAACCCCAACTTGAAGACAGCCATTAAGAAGTTCCAGAAGCCCAGACTTAAGATTGCTGTCTGAAGGAGGAGGGTCAGTCTTAGAGATGGAGACCTTACATGTGGGATCTGATGGTATCTCCAGGTAGATAGTGTTGGAATTGAGTTAGAAGACACCTACCTTGGTTGGGCGCAGTGACTCACACCTGCAATCCCAGCACTTTGGGAGGCCAAAGTAGGCAGATCACTCAAGACCAGCCTGGCCAACATGGCGAAACCCCATCTGTACTAAAAATACAAAAATTAGCCGGGTGTGATGGCACACATCTGTAACCCCAGCTACTCAGGCACCTGAGGCAGGAGAATCACTTGAACCCAGGAGGTGGAGGATGCAGTGAGCTGTGATCATGCCACTGAACTCCAGCCTGGGTGACAGAGTGAGACACCCTGTCTCAAAAAAAAAGAAAGAGAAAAGAGAAGAGAAGAGACTCACCTAGTGTCCACTGCAGAATTGAATGCCTGCTTATTGGTGGGGGAAAAAACCCACGTTTGGTCACAGAACTGTTCTGTGTTGAAGATTGTGATTATTGTAATATGGTGTGAGCAGAGGAAAAACAGATTTTGTTTTCCCACACTCACACTACCACTGTCAAAAATATTTATAAGTGTTAGAAGAAGCTTACTGCATTCATCACTACGAACTTATGACATTTTCTTTACTTACTGTTATTTCATTTTAGTGAATTTTAGTGGGGCTGGAAGGGAAAGCATATGTATTTAAAAGTACTTGCATAGGTCTCCTAAATCTGTTTTTCCAGTAGTCTTAGGTTCCTCAAAAATGAATTTGTCACACCACAAAGGTTCTGAACAAAATTACAGAACAAGAAGATACCCACTTTCTATAAATTAGAAACCAAAAGAATATTCATTACGTTTTTTTCAAAGTCCAGCCAACCTTAAAGGTGTTATCCAACTCTGTTTGCTGAAAATGAACTAGAACCCAGAAATATCGTTCAAGTTATTAACTTTTTGCTTAGACTCACCAAAATACTAACTGTCCTTACCTCAACAGCTAACTGCCCCAAACATACTCTTTCTTTTATACTCAGGATATTGGCATGTATTTACTGTAGGCGTTTCACTTTATTTCTTCTATTAGTTTTCACACATGACTGCTGAGTAGGACACACTAAGAAATGTTTAGCTGTCCATCAACTAGGAACACAGGTTCAGCTAAACTGTAACTATAGACTAAAATGTAAAGTTCCATAAATATAACCAACCACAAAGTAACATCACATTTTCTGAAGATATCCACCGGGAAAACTTATGGTCAGCATTTTATTTCAAAACGATGGACTTACCCAAAATTAAATTTCAGCATGTGCCAAATATAGTCTGTATTAGCTTTCTAGGACTGCTGGAACACACTACCACAAACTGGGTAACTGGCTGAAAACAACATTGCGATTCTAGAGGCTAGAAGTCAGAAACCAAGGTATTGGCATGGCCATGCTCCCTCCAAAGGCTCTAGAAAAGAATCCTTCCTTGTTTCTTCCTAGCTTCCGGTGGTTGCCAGCAATCCTTGGCAATCCTTGGCATTCCTTGGCTTGTGGCAGTGTAACTCTAATCCCTGCCTCCATCTTCCGTGTCTGTATCCTCATTTCCCCCTTCTTCTGGAGTTATCACTTGTTGGATTAGGGGCCACCCTAATATAGTATGACTTCATCTTAATTTTAACTGCAAAGACCTTATGTATAAATAAGCTAAAATTCACAGGCACTGGAGGTTAAGACTTCATTGTATCTTTTTGGGGGACACAATTCAACCCACCACATGGCCCAAGTCAGTCAATTTCTTCAAAATTAGATCTAGATTCATGGTTAGAATATTTATCAATTTTTGCCTAACCTATATCCATTTCTGTTAGATAACAGCATCCAATTTTCATTTGAAGAACCACTCTTCTCCTTCAAGCCCTTAAGTGAAGGCTGATCTTAAGCCCCTCTCCAAAAGCGGGCACTTGTCCCTGGTCAAGTCAGAGAACCACACTCCACTGGCCATACTGACTGGCTCAGGGATGGGCCACATGACCCAGGCCTGGCCAATGTCCTTCTATCCACTCAGTTTGGCTGGTACTATACAGAAAGAGACACATCAGGCCAGGTGCCGCAGCTCATGCCAGTAGTCCCACCACTTTCGGAAGCCAAGAGTGGACTGCTTGAGTTCAGGAGTTTGATACCAGCCTGGGCAACATGGCAAAACCCCTTCTCTACTAAAAATACAAAAAATTAGCCAGGTTTGGTAGCACACGCCTGTGGTGCCAGCTACTCAAGAGGCTGAGGCACGAGAATTACTTTAACCTAGAAGCCAGAGTTTGGAGTAAGCCAAGATCACACCACTGCACTCCAGCCTGGGCGACAGAGCGAGACTCGGTCTCAAAAAAAGGAAAGAGACACATGCCTCCTTCTGGGATTCTGGACTTTAAGAATGATACAAGTCTAGGCTGGGCGCGGTGGCTCGCACCTATAATCCTAGCACTTTGGGAGGCTGAGGCAAGTGGATCACCTGAGGTCAAGAGTTCGAGACCAGCCTGGCCAACATGGTGAAACTCCATCTCTACTAAAAATACAAAAAAATTAGCCAGATGTGGTGGCAGGCGCCTGTAATCCCAGCTACTTGGGAGGCTGAGGCAGGAGAATTGCTTGAACCCGGGACGCTAAGGTTGCAGTGAGCCGAGATTGTGCCATTGCACTCCAGCCGGGCAACAGATGCCACTGACCATCTTTACCATCATACCTGCCAAAGAACAAAGCCAAAAGTACAACAAAATGCTTACCGATGGAAAGAAGGAAACATTCCTGATGATATCAGTTAAAACTCCTGGATCCTGTCATGTTAGAACCTCATTTTATGCTCTGAACTTCCGAGTTCATAAACCCACAAAATGACCTTTTTGACTTAAACTAACCTGAGTTGGGTTTCTATCATTTGCAATACAAAGTGTCCTGATAAAAGCACAATACTGCAATGTGCCGTATGGTTGAGAAAAGAACCTCACTTTTTTAAGGTTACTTTCTCAAATTTAGCAAAGGACAGGGAGAGCCAGTAGAGAAAGAATAATTTGTATCTGTGTAATGGACACAGATGGCCCTATCCACCAGGCCATCTGCCAGGCAGGGTTCTGGAATCTAAGTTACAAATTCATTCATGCTTGTTAAAAGTACGGATCTGTGAGGTCCTGATAGCAAAATATAAACAATATTAGAAACTCCCAGAGTTATTTTAAAAAAACAAAAAACCCTAAGTATCCAAACATTCATAAAGTTTTCCCCTCCCTAATGACACTCCACATTATGATCATCCCCAAAAGTAATGACAAGCCTAATTACTAAATGCTAGCCAGAATGGTGACAATCATATTGAATATCTCTTTCTGACCACAGCACCACTGTGAGGAAACTCATGATAGTCTCACCCTTTATTATGCCTACAATTATTTATGGTTGGTTTGTTTCTCTAGCAAACTGTGTCACACACATAGTATGTCAGTAAGTAACCCTGTAGTTCTGGAAGGATCATGAACATTTTATACTCACAATCTAAAGGTCTTCTTTTTCTGCCTGCTGGCCACCTCCAACTTTTACCAATTTGTCTGTCGAAAATCCCCAGACCTTTACTTAATCCATTTGCTGGTGCTTCAGAAACCTCAGAGTAACATGCTCTGAACAAAAAGGAAAGCATTACATTTTGAAGTAAAACTAGATAAAATGTTTCACCTGTTAAAGGTCACGTTTCAAGTGTCTCATCACAATTCACACAAATAGAAAAATTACAGTCCTTACTATCTCTAATACTTCTAATACAGTGGTTCTCAAATGCACAATTCCTCCCACTTAACCTTTTAAAAATCACTGTGTTAAAGTCATTAAGGGTACACCAAACTGTGTCCAAAAATTAACACTCCCTCTTTCTCATCTTAGTTTTTATTTTTCCTTAAATAACTTGAATCACAACAAACAGAACACTACCTCTTACTCAATTTTAGCCTGATACACTAGAAAAAGAGTGAGCTATTTTATGGTAAGAAGACTTCAGGGGTTAGGGAATAGGGACTGGGCAGGGTATAGAGAGAGAGGTGAAACTGAAGCAATAGCCTGGGATCAGATATCTTGGAGAATCTTGCATGCTGGTTAAAGTAACCTTATTCACATGCCTGTGGTTTCCAAACTTCAGTGTGTCCAAGCATCATTTGAGACACTTGTTAAAAATACAGATTCCCCTACCCTGCCCAAGATCATCTAGGGTAGCGGTTTTGTTCAAGCGATCGATACTTTGAAACAATGCTTTAGGCAGTATTTTTCTAAAATTTTCTAAGTAGCCCTGGGTAAAAGGGAGGATGCTGTGGAATATTCACTTTCAATAGCCTAAATTTTCACTGTTCTGCAGGTGACAAGATCATCAGCTGAGAGAGAAGTAAGAGTATATAGAGGCTAAAGAGCCATTGTGGTAAACTGCAGGGGTCGACCAAGAATACACAAAGGAATTCCCAGCACTGAGAGTCCAGCTGAAGCTGGACATGATAAATTTATAGCAGCATCAATTCACACAACTGTTAACCCACATATAAAATTAACATCTATCAAAACACATGGGATAATGGCATACTGGAATTTAAGACTTTAACATTTCCAAGTAATAAAAAAGTACAGGGGATGGCTTTGGGAATGGATGTCTGTTCTTTTTATTTCAATAATACACTAATTAAACTCTTCTACTTACTTAAATCATGTTTGTGGGTTGTAGTATCATAACCAACAATTACAACACTATTTCTTTGTCTAAAATGTCTTGTGAGATAGAAATAACTACAATTAAAATTAACTCTGCAAGATTCAAATATGTACTATATACACACATATATATACATATATATATCTATAGTAATATCTTAGTATTCACAGGTGACTGAAGAATTCACTAAAAAAAAGAGTAAGAGAATGGCTTGAAGTGGTTAAGTCTATTTTTTCTACTTCCTGAAATTAAGTAGATCTTCCCCCATACTGTTCCCTACTATTCCTTTCTAGTACAGTATCATCCCAGGTAAACAAACCTTCCCCATTTCCATAAGGCCAGATAATTTTTTTTACTTTTTTTTTTTTTGCATTGTCTACCCGTAGTGAGCTATTTCTTTTCTGCTGCCCTTACGGAGGTATCTTTCTAGAGAAAAAACAGTATTAGCTGGGCACAGTGGCTCACACCTGTAATTCCAGCACTTTGGGAGGCCAAGGCAGGAGAATCACCTGAGCTCAGGAGTTAGAGACCAGCCAGGGCAACATAGGAAAACCCTATCTCCACAAAAATAATAAAAGATTAGCTGGGCATGATGGTACATGCCTGTGGTGTCAGCTACTCACTGATCACACCACTGCACTCCAGCATGGGTGACAGAGCAAGACCCTGTCAGAGTGGAGGGGTACAGGGACGGGGTAAGACAGTGGGGACTGAAAGAGAGAGAGAAATAAAGGAAGGAAGGCAGGGAGGAAGGGGGAGGGGGGAGGTAGGGTAGAAGGAAAGAAAGGAAGGGAGGGAAGAGAGGAAGGGAAGGAAGGGAAAGAAAAGAAGGGAGGGAAAGAGGATTAAAATGCCCATTAGGGCTGGGCGCCGTGGCTCATGCCTATAATCCCATCACTTTGGGAGGCCAAGTGGGCGGATCACAAGGTCAGGATTTCGAGACCAGCCTGGTGAAATCCTGTCTCTACTAAAAATACAAAAAAATTAGCCGGGCGTGGTGGCGCATGCCTGTAATCCCAGCTACTCAGGAGGCTGAGGCAGAAGAATTGCTTGAACCCGGGAGGCGGAGGTTGCAGCGAGGTGAGATTGCGCCACTGCACTCCAGCCTGGGCAACAGAGCGAGACTCCGTCTCAAAAAAAAACTAAATAAATAAAATAAAATAAAAACAGCAATAGATGGCCAGGGGCTATGTCTCACGCCTGTGATCCCAGCACGTTGGGAGGCTGAGGCAGGCGGATCACCTGAGGTCGGGAGTTCAAGACCAGCCGGACCAACATGGAGAAACTCTGTAACTACTAAAACAAATACAAAATTAGCCGGGCATGGTGGTGCATGCCTGTAATCCCAGCTACTCGGGAGGCTGAGGCAGGAGAATCGCTTGAACCCGGAAGGCAGAGGTTGCGGTGAGGCAAGATCGCACCATTGCACTCCAGCCTGGGCAATGGAGTGAGACTCCGTCTCAAAACAAAACAAAAGCATTAGACAGGCCAGGCACTGTGGCTCATGCCTGTAATCCCAGCACTTTGGGAGGCCGAGGCAGGTGGATTACCTAAATTCAGGAGTCGGAGACCAGCCTGGCCAACATGGTGAAACCCCGTCTCTACTAAAAATATAAAACATTAGCCAAGTATGGTGGTGGGCGCCTGTAATCCCAGTTACTAGGGAGGCTGAGGCAGGAGAATTGCTTGAATCTGGGAGGCAGAGGTTGCAATGAGCCAAGATCGCGTCATTGCACTCCAGCCTGGGCAACAAGAGCGAAACTCCATCTCAAAAACAAACAAACAAACAAACAAAAAACAAAAAAAAACAGCGTCAGTCAAAACTTTTGGTTCCAGGTAATAAAAACCCAACTTAAATGGGCTTGAGCAAAAAAGGTAATTATCGGCTCGAGTAAGTTTTTTTAGAGCATGCACAGCTGGATCCAAGTACACAGAAATAATTCTCATCCATCATTCTGTATGTCTCACACAAATGCATATAGCATCACTCACAGGCAAGCTCTCCCCCCATGGTAGCTGCTTCCCACTTTAGGCTATTAGCTTAGCTACCCTAGAGAAAAGAAATCTCTTTCCCAAGAACTCCACCAACCAAATCTCAGAAGGATCCCTGAACCACTCACTCACTGTGACCAATGGCCAGACATCAGTCCCAGGGGTAAGTCAGCCTCATCCAAATCATATGGAACTCAAGAATGGCAGAAAAGGTGACTCCCTAAAAGAAAATCAAGATGCTACTGCCATAAGAGGAGGAGAGAAAGGATCCTGGGAGGGCTAAAACAAGATATTCAGTAGGAAAGGTATGATAAAACACACATATAATTTTTCCCCAAAATAATGGGGGAATAACTTAGGGAGAAAATTAAAGACACCATTTAAATGATTACAATCATATGAATGCAATTACACTCTGAAGTCAGAAAATCTTAGATTCGCATCACCAATTCTAGTACATCTGTGAATTATTTTTCTAGTCTGTTTCTATACAAAAGAATATCACTCTTTTCAAATTGACTGTACATATTAAATGGGAAAAATATCTGCTTAGCACCTATTAAGTGCTTGAAGAATACCTACTGACATGAATATGAAGAAATGGGCCAGGCACGGTGGCTCAAGCCTGTAATCCCAGCACTTTGGGAGGCCGAGGTCAGCGGATCACTTGAGGTCAGGAGCTCGAGACCAGCCTGGCCAACATGGTGAAACCCCATCTCTACTAAAAATACAAAAATTAGCTGGGTGTGGTGGCGGGTGCCTATAATCCCAGCTACTCGGGAGGCTGAGGCAGGAGAATCACTTGAACCCAGGAGGCGGAGGCTGTGGTTGAGCCGAGATCACGCCACTGCACTCCAGCCTGGGCAACAGAGCAAGACTCCATCTCAAACAAAGAAATGAAAACTGATGCTTTCTGATGTAGATTGTAAATGGCCCCAATTCTTTTTCGCTCCATGTAACTAGGCCCTTTGCCAGGTAACTTTATATCATCCTACCATTACTGTAGGCTCAATTATGTGATTTAGCCAGTAAGATATTCATTTAGTCAACGAGCTATCTCATTTAGCCAATGAGATATTAGATATTATACAAGCAGAGGCTTGAAAAGGTGCTTATTTCCAAATTCTTTGCGTATTTCTGTCATGCCAGGGTGATATGGCTTGGCTCTATGTCCCCACCTGAATCTCACCTTGAATTGTAATCTCCATAATCCCCACGTGTCAAGGGTGGGACCAGATAGAGGTAATCGAATCATGGAGGCAGCTTCCCCCATGCTGTTCTCGTAATAATGGGGGAGTCTTATAAGATCTGATGGTTTTATAGGCATTGGCATTTCCCTGCTTGCATTCATTCTCTCTCCTGCTGCCCTGTGAAGAGGTACCTTCTACCATGAATGTTAAGTTTCCTAAGGCCACTCCAGCCATGACAAACTGAGTCAATTAAACCTCTTTTCTTTATAAATTACCCAGTCTTGGGTATTTCTTCATAGCAGTGTGAGAACAGACTAAAATACGTGGTAACAGGCCCAAGCTATCCTGCTGAAGGTGAGAAACGTAGAACAGAGACTAGTTGCCCCAGTTATCCCAACTTAGGTCAACCTACATCAGCCAAATCACCCCAGACATGGAGCAAGTCCAGCCAAAATCAGCAGAGCTGCCTAGTCAACAACAACACAGCTGACTACATGAGCAAGCCTAGACCAGATTAGCTGAACCTCAAACTCTTGAGTTCAATAAATGCTTCTAGTTATACATCACTAAGGTTTTGTGATTGATAAGCACCATTACTGTGACATCAGGTAACTGAAACACTATCTTATTTTGGTAGGTGAATAAAGAAAATAATTTTTATTCTTCCGTTTATGATGTTAAAAGGTGACAACAGGCTGGGTGCAATGGCTCACACGTGTAACCCCAGCACTTGGGAGGCTGAGGCGGGCAGATCACTTGAGGTCAGGAGTTCAAGAGCCTGGCCAACGTGGCAAAATCCCATCTCTACTAAAAATACAAAATTAGCTGTGCATGGTGGCACGTGCCCATAATCCCAGCTTCTCAGGAGACTGAGGCAGGAGAATCGCTTGAACCCGGAAGGTGGAGGCTGCAGTGCGGTGAGCCAAGATCACACCACTGCACTCCAGCCTGGGCAACAGAGCGAGACTCCACCTCAAAAAAACACAAAAGGTGACAACAATAACAAAATAAAGTGTATTCCTATTATCATTACAAATTTACTATTCAAGCATACCTTTAAAACTGTTAGAAATGGAGAACCAATGTTTAACTTCAACAAAGTTTAGATGTTTTAAAATGTTTTAAGTTCATAAATAATAGAGAAAATGAGAAGAGACAAAGCTACTCACATTATAACAAAATGAAATTGTTTTATGGAAGTCATATAAACAATGATACAAAAATAGAGGCAAAATAGTCACTAAAAAAAGACTTACTGACTATATTTCATCATGGAACTCTCCTTCTAGTTAATTTCACTCCCTTAACTATCACCACCACCATTGCTTCTACTTCTACCATTGCTTCTACTTCATGGAGCTCTATCTCCATGGGCTTCTGAAGAAGCCTGTTTCCCTAGAATAAAATAGATATACAGGTTGAGTATCCCTTATCCAAAATACTTCAGACCAGAAGTGTTTCAGGTTTAGGATTTTGTTCAGATTTTATAATATTTGCATATACATAATGAGATATCTTGGGGATGGCACACAAGTCTAAACACAAGATTCATTTACGTTTCATATGTGCCTTATACACATAGCCTAAAGATAATTTGTCGGTTTTTGTTGTTGTTTTTTGAGATAGGGTCTCACTCTGCCACCCAGGCTGGAGAGCAGTGGTGCATCTCAGCTCACTGCAACCTCCGCCTCCTGGGCTCAAGCAATCCTCCCACCTCAGTCTCCCAAACAGCTGGGACTACAGGCATGCGCCACCAGACTGGGCTAATTTCTTTTAAAAATTTTTTGTAGAGACAAAGTCTCACTATGTTTCCCACACTGGTCTCAAATTCCTGGGCTCAAGCGATCCTCCCACCTGAGCCTCCCAAAGTGCTGGGATTACAGGCATGACCCAATGTGTTTGGCCTAACCTAAAGGTAATTTTATACAATATTTTTTAAATTTTGTGAATGAAACAAAGTTTGTATACATTGAAGCATCAGAAACCAAGATGTCACCTTCTCAGCCACCCATGTGGACAATGTATGATTGTGTGGCATTAGCATCATTCCTGACTCTCAATTTATATGCTACCAATAAGCAACCTTATTCTTACACTTATTCACACATAAGGACTTAACATTAAAAAATATGACATACCATTAATACGTGAGAAAATAATGTGTTTGGGGTAACTAAGAGCACAGGAGCATCACCAGAATACCTGAATCAACTGTTAAACAACAACAACGTCAGGCTTTCAGTCTCCATCTACAATGCTATGTTCTCACTGAAAAATTACTGAACACTGTATTTATTTTGGGGGGTGAAAAGAAACATCAGAAGCAGTTGAGAGACCCAGAAGTGGATCCTCTAAGAATGTGGAGGAATTCTTCTGGATGGCTTTTTTAAAATGTTTGCTCCAGAGTCATCTGCCTCATTCACAACATTTTCTGTCTTAGAAGTCTTTCTTCAATTTCATAAACTGACATGATTTCACCATGTTCTCTCTCTGATTTTAAACACTGACATGATTTTACCACGTCATCCACAGGCACTTTTTCGGCAGTGTTAACATCACCATCTTCATCGTCACTATAATCACAATCATCTTGATTCATGGCATCCTTCATGCTAAAACTTCGTTTGAAAAGCTTCCACACCCACATCTCTGTTCACTGCTGCTAGTGTGCTGCTGAAGAACGTGTTTAATCTTATTTTATTTACTCTTCATTCATCTAAGGATACCCTGGTTACACGGTTGAATTAAGTCACATTTGGGGAAAAGTACATGGCATAAACATTTCTGATGAGAATTTCAGCTGGAGGATGACAACAGTTATCAAGGAATAAAGAATCCTGCAGTCATCATCCAGTCCAGCTTCCCTGCAGTAAGCATGAGCAGTAGTACAGAATGCTTGTGAAACCAATCAGAAAAGATGTCCCTCGTGATCCACGCCTTTCTGTTAGCGTAATAATGGACTGGTAAGAAATTCACTCCTTGAAAACAGCAAAGATACAAGCTTTTGCCTATTACATCAAGTTTACTCTTATGCATGCCTGCTGCATTATTAGCACATTCCAGAACAGTTATTCTGTCCTTGGCATCCTTACTGCCTACAGGGGCCTTTGCATCAGCTGTAGTCAGTATCTTTCTGGAGCAATAATGCCAGAACAGTGATGTTTCATCAGCATTACAGGCTTGTTCTGGCATCAGATTGTCATCAGTGATGACCCTAGAAAATCTGTCAATAAATTTCTCTGCTGCTCCATGATCAGCAGATGGTTCAACACAAATCTTTTAAAATTTAGTAAGCCCAGCACAGTCGCTCATGCCTGTAATCCCAGCACTTTGGGAGACAGGTGAGAGGACTGCTTGAGCTCAAGGGTTTGAGAACAGCCTGGGCAACATAGCAAGACCTGGTGGCATGTACCTGTAGTCCCATACTCAGGAGGCTGAGGTGAGAGGATCACTTGAGCTCAGGAGATCAAGGCTGCAGTGACCTATCATCACACCATGCACTCCAGCCTGGGTGACAGAGATGCTGTCTCAAAAAAATAAATAAATAAAAAATAATAATTTAATGCCATATCTCTTCTTAAATTTCTGCAACCAGCCTGTTGAACATTCACAGTTCACTTCAATTTTCAGTTCATCATGCTTGATCTTTCTTTTTAAATATGGGGTCTCACTATGTTGTCCAGACCAGTACTGAACTCTTGGGCTCACATGATCCTCCCACCTCAGCCTCCCAAAGTGCGAAGATTACAGGCGTGAGCCACTGCGCCCGGCCTTGATCTTTCCGCTTCATGACAAGCATACCAGTAAGTGGCATGTGTTCACTGTGATGCTGATGGATCTACTCTTTCAAGATCTAATCAAGGTCATTTTCAGCTTCATGCAGTGCTTTTCTATTTTTTACTAACTTCTGCCCATCACTTTCAACCTAGAACTTTAATAATTTATCCTACTGTATTTTTCAGGTCATATATACAGTGGTCATTCCAACAACATACTCTTCTGTAAGACATTTCAGACATCACTGTCAGTTTTTCCAACAGCTTGACTTTCTTTGCTAGTAATGCTTTCCCTTTTTCTTATTTGTTTTACCCACAGGGATATCTGCAGGACTTTCTGACAATTCCAACAATATCTTCACGTCAGAGAGCAGAGAATAAGCAAAAAAAAAAAAAAAAAAAAAAGTGAGTGACACACAGAGGTCTTGGTCCCATCATGGGGCATCATGGGGATCCTGCCACTGACACATCTGGTCTGCACACATGCCATCTTATTACGCTTTGAGGGCACACTTGCTTGGGGCAATCTGGGCATATATAGAAAAGATGTATCTCAGCTGAAAAGCACCGGGAGGATGTTTTTTCCCTTTGGGGACACTGAATAAACTGTATGTTGTGCACCTGCATTTTGACTCCAACCCATCACATAAGGTCGAGTGTAATTATCCACTTATGGTGTTACTTCGGTGTTCAAAAAGTTTCAGATTTTGGAGCGTTTCAAATTTGGGATTTTCAGATTAAAGACGCTCAACCTGGCTGGGCGTGGTGGCTCGCGGCTGCAATCACAGCACTTCGGGAGGCCGAGGCGGGCCAATCACCTGAGGTCAGGAGTTCAAGACCAGCCTGGGTGACATGGCAAAAACCCTGTCTCTACTAAAAATACAAAAATTAGGCCGGACGCAGTGGCTCACGCCTGTAATCCCAGCATTTTGGGAAGCCAAGGTGGGTGGATCACGAGATCAGGAGATCGAGACCATCCTGGCTAACACAGTGAAACCCTGTCTCTACTAAAAATACAAAAATTAGCCAGGTGTGGTGGTGCACACCTGTAAGTCCCAGCTGCTAAGGAGGCTGAGGCAGGAGAATCACTTGAAGCCAGGAAACGGAGGTTGCAGTAAGCTGAGATTGTGCCACTGCACTCCAGCCTCGGCTATAGAGGGAGACTCCGTCTCAAAAAAAAAAAAAAAAAAAAAAAAAAAAAAGACAATTAGCCAGGTGACAGAGAGGATCTGTCTCAAAAAAAAAAAAAAAACATTTTCAACTCATATACACTTATTTTTAAAAATTAATTCAGTTTCTTGATAGTTTCAAAAACATAGATCTATTTATTTTATATGCACAAAAACAAGGAAAAAGTATAAAGAAAAGATAGAAATATATTAAATGAGGAAGAAAGGTGAATGAAAAACTGTTATCATCCAAAAAAGCTAACCATTCCTGAAAGAATATTCCTGGCAGAATCCTAGCCTGTGTTTTTGAACAAAATAACTGAACATCCTGTATAATAATCTTCAGATGCAATAATCTGAAGATCCTCAGATTCTGCCATCTGAGAACATCCTTTCAGCATCCAGTTTTTATTTTTTGTTGTTTTGTTTTGTTTTTGAGATGGAGTTTCACTCTTGTTGCCCAGACTGGAGTGCAATGGCGCGATCTCAGCTCACTGCAACCTCCGCCTCCCAGGTTCAAGTGATTCTCCCACCTCAGCCTCCTGAGTAGCTGGGATTACAGATGCCCGCCACCACAACCGGCTAATTTTTGTATTTTTAGTAGAGACAGAGTTTCACCATGTTGGTCAGGCTGGTCTCCAACTCCTGACCTCAAGTGATCCACCTGCCTCGGCCTCCCAAAGTGTTGGGATTACAGGCGTGAGCCACCATGCCCAGCCCAGCATCCGGTTTTTAAAGTGTGGTTATTTTAAAATCTAAAATCAAAATATAACAGTAACAGTTATCACTATGTCATTGCTTATACTTCTGTTCCTGAGTCACAGAAACTACAGATTGGCAGCAGCATGATATAACAAGAGAATTTTCCTGTTTCTTAACACAGCTTATATTCTTAACATTCTTTCCTAGTTGTAACTGGATATATATTCACATTCCTCAAAATAGTTGATTTGATCTGGATCATTTCTTAAAAAATATCTGACAAAATACAGGCTGACTTAGGTATAGTAATTACTAAGAGCATTCTTACCTAAACAACTTCATATGGTTTTAAGAAATAATTTATACTGAGTAATATCTGAGAAGTAACATACAAACACTTTTCAACCATTTAACAAAAACAAACCTGCCACTTTTTCCAAAATAAAGTTTAAGTCCTCAGGAAAAGGGGGGAAAAAAGGCAAAAACCGGGTCTTCAATCCTCTGCTATCTTGCCCATGCCACAGTGTCAGTTTCTTTCTTTTTACGTTAACTACAGAACACTCTTCTCCATTAATTTACATTCTCTTGCTTTTAAAAGATCAAAGTTTGTAGGTAATTCAATCTTTTTAATAGTTTTAGTACTTTTGACCAGGCTGGGAGGGGTGGTTCACGCCTGTAATCCCACCACTTTGGGAGGCCAAGGTAGGCAGATCACCTGAGGTCGGGAGTTAAGAGAACAGCCTGACCAACATGGAGAAACCCTGTCTCTACTAAAAATACAAAATTAGCCAGGCGTGGTGGCACACGCTTGTAATCGCAGCTACTCGGGAGTCTGACGCAGGAGAATTGCTTAACCTGGGAGGCGGAGGATGCGGTGAGCCGAGATCGTGCCATTGCACTCCAGCCTGGGCAACATTAAGAGCAAAACTCTGTCTCAAAAAATAAATAAATAAGTAAGTAAATAAATAAATAAATAAATAAATAAAATACTCTTGACCAAATAACTCATTCAGGACTGTTACCGTGTGCTTTTTTTTTTTTTTTTGAAAAATTAAGTCACACATAAATTTCTATTATAGCTTCTGGTAACTCCTTCCTAAAAGTCTTCTCAGCTAATGTGGAAAATTCTAGCTTCTCTTTTCATTTTTTGAGACAGGGACTGGCTCAGTCACCCAGACTGGAGTGCTGCGGCATGATCATGGCTCACTGCAGGCTTGACCTCCCAGGCTCCAGCAATCCTCTCATGTCAGCCTCCCAGGTAGCTGGGACCAACAGGCTCGCAATACCGCATGTGACTAATTTTTGTATTTTTTGTAGAGACGGGGTTTCACCATGCAGCACAGGCTGGTCTTGAACTCCTGGGCTCCAGCAATCCTCCCACCTCGGTCTCCCAAAGTGCTGGAGCCACTGCCCCCAGCCTGATTTCTCTTTTCTATCTTTACTCCATTTATCCACTTACATACCTTTACCTTTCACCAATAAAATGTACTAATCTTTGATATGGATATGTTACATAAAGTTAAGCAGAAGTTCTTCTCCTAAGGAGAAGGGGACCAAAGGGAAGGTTCTCTTTTAGATAAGATTGTACATTTGCAGCCATAAGCCATGGGTCTTTTTGAAACTGTTTTCAGTAGATGTATGGGGGTTTCTCAGTATATGTCTATTTATTTTAACATGCCAGAATCTATTTTAATAAAAACTATACAATGAAAAGCTATACACAGTAAATATATACGCAAATAAAAACTGGTTATACAAGTCTCACAAAGGAAATAGCTTTATCACTTTACTCATACCTGTTTGCTTTATTTTGATTTGTTTTGTTTTAAGAAGCCAGTACAGACAGGCACAGTGGCTCATGCCTGTAATCACAGCATTTTGGGAAGGCTGGGATGGGAGGATCACTTGAGCCCAAGAGTTTAAGACTAGCCTGGGCAACATAGGGACACCCCATCTCTAGAAGAAAAAAAAAATTAGCCAGGCATGGTGGTACACACCTGTGGTCCCAGCCTCAGGAGGCTCAGGTGGGAGGATTGCTTGAGCCTGGTAGGCTAAAACTGCAGTGAGCCTAGAATGCACAACTGTACTCCAGCCTGAGTGACAGAGCAAGACCCTGTCTTAATTTAAAAAAAGAAAAAAAAAAACTTAAAGCCAGTACAACAAAATTCCAGTTTTGTTTTTGTTTTGAGATAGAGTCTTGCTGTGTAGTCCAGGCTGGAGTGCAGTGGTGCAATCTCGGCTCACTGCAACCTCCACCTCCCACATTCAAGCAATTCTCCTGCCTCAGCCTCCCGAGTAGCCAAGATTACAGCTGTACACCACCATGCCCAGCTAGTTTTTGTATTTTCAGTAGAGATGGGGTTTTACCATGTTGGCCAGGCTGGTCTCAAACTCCTGACCTCAAATAATCTGCCTGCCTTGGTCTCCCAAAGTGCTGGTATTACAGGCGTGAGCCACAATCCCCGGCCAATCAAATCATTTTTAAAAGACATATTAGCTCTATTAAACATTCATAGAAAAATGACCAGTGTAAAGGTTTTTCTCAGTAACAATGACCAAAGATTATGGACTTCTTGATGCTCACCCATAATTACAGTATTTTACTGTAATCAGATAAGCCCATTTTGGCCGGGTGCGGTGGCTCACACCTGTAATCCCAGCACTTTGGGAGGCCGAGGCGGGTAGATCACGAGGTCAGGAGATCGACATCATCCTGGCTAACACGGTGACACCCCGTCTCTACTAAAAATACAAAAAATTAGCCGGGCGAGGTGGCGAGCACCTGTAGTCCCAGCTACTGGGGAGGCTGAGGCAGGAGAATGGCATGAACCCCGGGGGGCAGAGCCTGCAGTGAGCCAAGATCACGCCACTGCACTCCAACCTGGGCGACAGCGAGACTCCGTCTCAAAAAAAAAAAAAAAAAAAAAAAAAAAAAAAAAAAAAGGATAAGCCCATTTATAAGAGGCAAACTTTGTCAGCTTCTTTACTAGATGAATAAAAATTCACATAACCTAACACACAGGAAATTAGTGTTTATATCATTCATGGTGCAACAAAAGAGCCACATTTGAAATGTGAAATACTCATAAACACCGACGTTCCCCTCATTTTTTCTTACTGAAGGCAAGAACCTTCACATTTTATTTTGATGGGAATTTCTCCTTATTACCTTTGTCACAACGTCTTCCTGTGCCTGCTAGTAATCATTTTGTCTAAGACCAATGATGTATGAGTTATCATCTTTTTTTAAGTTGATTTTTAAGCTTTTATTCATTTTTTAAATTTATCCAATTTCTTCTTCTCCTTCTCAGTAATTACACACTACTCAGCAACTTCCTTTTCTGTCACACAATTTAAAATATTGCCAGCTAAACTAAATTTAAGTCACAGAAGGTTGGAAGTGAAGAAAAGGCATTTGGCTAGATTCAGGAGTCCTGAATCCTGACCTCAATCTGCTTTAACCTGTTTGCCCCTCCACCACCACCCCACACTTCCTTGAGGTCTCTGGGAAGAATATCAATAGAAGAAAAGGCCAAGCAGCTACACTGTTAAAAGGCCTTTGTTACAAACTCCTATGAATTAGGCTGGTCTACACAGAAGACTCTGTAGGCGTAGAATCAGTATCACTCAGATACCCTCTGCTGCCTTTCCCTCTCCTAAGCCTACGCTCCAATCTCAGTTAATGGTGAAGAATGGCCAGTTGAACAAGATAAGAAGGAAAATTAAGCCAGTGGAAACATTCAGCTCAGAAACTCATTTAGCTAACAAAACTAAAAAATCAAAAAGAAAAAAGGAAACACAAATAGGACTGTGACAGCTGAAGAGAAGGAGGCAAGGTATTCTAGTCAAAGCCAGAGAACAGAAAATGAATAGAATAAACTCCTGTTTATGGTAAGATTATGGGTAGAGAAACCAAAATACCTTAATGTAACATAAAGCACATAAGCAATCAGTAATTAGAAACAAAGACGGGCAACTTAATGGAAATTCTAAAAGAAGGGCATATGCATAATGCTGAAGATTGAAGAAAACTGGGTAACAAAGCAAGACCCCGTCTTTACAAAAAATAAAAATATTAGCCAGGCACCATGGAGTATACCCATAGTCCCAGCTACTAGGGAGGCTAAGGCAGGAGGATCAGTTGAGTCCAGGAGTCGGAGGCTGCACTGAGTTAGGATCATGCCACTGCACTCCAAGCCTGGGTGACACAGTGACCCCTGTCTTGGGGTGTGTGGGGGTACAGGAGGGGAGGGAGGGAGGGAAGGAAGGGAGGGAGGGGGGAAGGAAGGGAGGGAGGGAGGGTGGGAAGGTAGGTAGGTTAAAGAGCATAAAATTTTGATTTCCAATCCCAGGTCTACCACATTTTAGCTGAGTGATTACGAATCAAATCTGTAATCTCCCTAAATCTGTTTCCCCGCCTGTAAAACAGATGTTAACAACATCAAAGGTCTCTTGTCTGTCACACAGTAAATGCTCAACATATGGTAGCTTTTAAGAAACATTACAAGTAAACAAAACAGAAGCAAAAACTTCTCCATATTTAAATGTCTTATTTATTTCTTTAAACTTATGAACCACTTGATGGGGATGCGAGGTGGGAAAAGGAAGATGGTGCCATACAAAAGGATACAACCAAGATTCAATACTAAATATGGTGTCTGGAATTTGCTCCAAAATAATTCAGTTAGGGATGAAACAAGAATAGCCATTAGTTGATGTAGCTGGGTGTTTGTTCACTGTACTATTCTACTTTTCTGTATGTTTGAAGTTTTCCAAACTAAAAGATTTATTTTAAATTCCTTTCCCTTTAAATGATATGGCTGGACAAGAAAACAAGTTACGTCATCCTTTCTAGCTTTGATAAATACTGAATCGAAAAAAAGGTAAAAGAGAACAGGATAATATCCAGTGGGCAGATATAAGGGTAAATACCTACAAACAACCTAGAAAATACGCTTGCATTGGGCCAAAGACACTTATGCCTGTAATCCCAGCACTTTGGGAGGCTGAGGCAGGAGGACCACTTGAGGCCAGGGGATCGAGACAAGCCTGGGCTACATAGCAAGACCTCATCTCTACCAAAAACAAAACAAAACAAAAACTAGCCAGGCATGATGAAACATGCTGCATTCCCAGATACTCCAGGGGCTGAGGCAGGAGGATCACTTTGACCCCAGGAGTTTGAGTTTACAGTGAGCTATGATCATGCCGCTGCATTCCAGCCAGGGAGACAGAACCAGACCTTGTCTCCAAAAAAACAAACAAAACATGCTTGCATTGACTGGAAGGAAGAGGAGTAGCCAGGTAAAAGTTCACAAATATCCATGCAATGGCAACAATAAAAAAACGTGAAAAACAAGAGATCATCAAACTGAATCTGTGCATGACTCAATTTAACAAATTCAACATTCGCTTCCTCTACATACAATGTATACTTATTTCAAAAATTTGTATAAACTAGGGGCGGGCCATGATGGCTCACACCTGTAATCCCAGCAATTTGGGGGGCCAAGGTGGGTGGATCACTCACAGTCAGGAGTTCAAGACCAGCCTGGCCAACATGGTAAAACCCCTCTCTACCAAAAAAAACAAGAACTAGTGGGCTGTGGTGGCATATGCCTGTAATCCCGGCTACTCGGAAGGCTGAGGCAGAAGAATCACTTGAACCTGGGAGGAAAAGGATGCAGTGAGCCGAGATCACACCACTGCACTCCAGCCTGGGTGACGGAGCCAGACTCAGTCTCAAAAAAAAAAAAAAAAGAAAAGAAAAGAAAAAAAAGCAAGCTTTTTAGAAAATTTTTGTATCAACTGATCATTCTAAACGTACCAGAGGAGCCTGTTACTATATTAAATCAGATATGAATTATGTTGTAAAGTGAAACAGATGTCTTTGTGGTAAATTCACATTTTCACATGTGGAATTTTCTTTTATCAAGTAGGATACATTCTATAGATCCCTTTAGTTTCTCTTTCCTATTTATGTATGTATGTATGTATTTTGAGATTGAGCCTTGATCTGTCACCAGGCTGGAGTGCAGAGGCGCAATCTCGGCTCACTGCAACTCCACCTCCCGGGTTCAAGCGATTCTCCTGCCTCAGCCTCCCAAGCAGCTGGGGCTACAGGTGCATGCCACCACACCCGGCTAATTTTTGTATTTTTAGTAAAGATGGGGGTTTCACCATGTTGGCCAGGACGGTCTCGATCTCTTGACCTCGTGATCCACCCGCCTCGGCCTCCCAAAGTGCTGGGATTACAGGCATGAGCCACTGTGCCTGGCCTCTCTTTCCCTTTATACTGTGAGTTTAGGAAAGGTAAAGCATGCTTTTACCTTCTGCAAAACTCTAAAAAATCACGTACTAAGAGAACTATACACAATAATCATTTTTTGATAATGATAAAATGATTCAGATTTTATGAAAAATAAGCTAATCATGAGATCAAAAACAACAGTCACAGACTATCTAGTATTATGAGTAAAAATAATAATGCTCTGGCCGGGTGGAGTGGCTCATGCCTGTAATCCCAGCACTTTGGGACGTTGAGGTGGGAGGACTGCTTGAGTCCAGGAGCTCGAGACCAGCCTGGGCAGCATAATGAGACCTCATCTCTATATTTTTTTATTATTTATTTATTTATTTATTTTTTAAAACAACAGGCTTTCCAATAATAGCAATTATCATGGGAAATAATACTGGTGTTCACAACATCTTCTAATCCAAAAAGAAAGTCTTGGCCAGGCGCGGTGGCTCATGTCTGTAATCCCAACACTTTGGGAGGCCAAGGTGGGCAGATCACTTGAGGTCAGGAGTTCGAGACCAGCCTGGCCAACATGGTGAAACCCCGTCTCTACTAAAAATACAAAAATTAGCCGGGCATGGTGGCACACACCTCTAATCCCAGCTACTCGGGAGGCTAAGGCAAGATAATTGCTTCAGCCTGGGAGATGGAGGTTGCAGTGGGCCGAGATTGTGCCACTGCACTCCAGCCTGGCTGACACAGCAAGACTGTCTCAAAAAAAAAAAAAAAAAAGTGTAAGTTTTCTAGAAAGTATTAAATGTGTCATGCAGATATATAAGATGGTGATACCATTAATACATTTTCTGATACTTTCTGCTTTCTGTTATTTTAAAGAGTTAATTATTCATCTAGATTACTGCACATTTAAAAAATTCTTGTGAGACAACTATATGTTTCTAAGTAATCCCCTTCACCTCTGTAAACAACTGTGATGAACTTCTCTTTTTTCCTGAGACAGGGTCTCACTCTGTCCCTCAGGCTAGAGTACAGTGATGCAATCATGACTCACTGCATCCTCGACCTCCTGGGCTCAAGCGATCCTCCCACCTCAGCCTTCCGAGTAGCTGGGACTACAGGTACACAAAACCACACACAGCTAAAGCTAATTTTTGTATTTTGTGTGGAGACAAGGTTTCACCATGTTGCCCAGGCTTGTCTCCAACTCCTGGGCTCAAGCGACTTGCCTGCCTCAGCCTTCCAGTGTGCTGGAATTACAGGCGTGAGCCACCTGGCCTGTGATGGACTAATTTTCAATGATTCAGAAGTTATAACAAACGCTGCTTTACTTCAAATGGTATTGTTATAATAGTTTTTAATACAATTGTAAGGCACAACTGAGTAAAATTTATTTTTTGTCTTTAAGCTCTAGAAAACATTTAAAGTCTAAAGAAAAGTCCCTTTAGACAGGTCTAGACCAGGAGCAGTGGCTCATGCCTGTAATCCCAGACCCCATCTCTATTTTTCTTTAATCTAAATTTTAAAAAATATATAGAGAGGAAATTTTAAAATAGACATGTCTGAAGCATATTAATTTCTAGTCTCCCAATACCAAATTTGAAACGTTAGTCTAAACCCTAGTTACAGCCATCATTTTTTTCTTTTAGCAAACCCTGACGTATCCTGCTCTTATACTAACAAATGCACATTACACATGACAGGATCCTTCTATTACCCTCAATTATAAGAACTTCATTATAGTAAAGATACAACAAATACTAGTTTTTACTATGTAAAATTCACTGGCTTGCACAATAATGAATTCAGAAAAATGATTAAGTGATATGCTAAAAGAATCTACAACTCTCTTTATCAAAAAGTAGATTAAAACATGAAACAAAGGAATAAAAAGAAGACCAAAAATCATTAGAAGATGCCACTCATTACTACACAGCTTTCCTAACTTGACCCTCACAATCCATTAAGCAAAAGATTCTTAAATTCGGCCATCTACCCCATAAGATACTTAGTTTCATCCTTAAGACATCATTATACCTGACACTTTGTAACAGACCAAACCTAACCAATTCAAAAATCAGAGAAACCAAGAATCAACGAAATTCAAACAAACACTTTAAAAACAGTATATTTAACTTAGCACCAGGAAACAAAATATAAACCAGGGGTGGTGGCTCACACCTGTAATCCCAGCACTCTGGGAGGCCAAGAGAGGCGGAACGTCAGGAGTTTGAGACCAGCCTGGCCAAAAGGGTGAAACCCTGTCTTTCCTAAAACTACAAAAAAATTAGCTGGGTATGGTGCCACCCGCCTGTAATACCAGCAACTAGGGAGGCTGAGGCAGGAGAATTACTTGAACCTGGAAGACAGAGGTTGCAATAAGCCATGATCACGCCACTGCAGTCCAACCTGGGCAACAGAGCCAGACTTCGTCTCAAAAAAAAAAAGCAAGAAAAAATATATTGTATAACTTGTCAGATGTCTGGGTTTTTATAAAATGCAAACAAAAAAAATGTAATCTTAAATTTCAAAAATACTGCTAGTGAGATTCCTCTCACTACCCAAATTCTCACTAAACTCAGAAATGGAACAGATTCATTCAAAACATTTGTGACAGGGCAATATAGAGCAAAGGTGTCCTTCTCTATCCAAACTCTTGCAAATGGAGTTGTAATCCCATAGTACTGGGATTACAGGTGTGAGACACCGCACCTGGCTTTTCTTGAGAATTCTATTTCGTTCTATTACTACGCTCCTTATTCTCTTCATAAGGTATCCTGCAGTTTAGCTTTTGTTACAGTGTATCTGGTCATGTATTGATCTGTATTTGTTCTTAAATGGGGAGTATGAGAAAAAATATCTGCAAAGCATACACTGTAAGTATATCCAGAATATATACACAATTCTTACAATTCAACAATAAATAATAACCCAATTTTAAAAATGGGCAAGGGATCTGAATAAATGTATCTCCAAAGGTATGCAAATGGCCAACAAGCACATGAAAAGATGCTTAACACACTGTTAGGAAAATGCAAATCAAAACCACAATGAAATATAACTTGTCTTATTTTTTTGTATTTATTTCTTGTTTTTTTGAAATACGACTTCATACCCACTAAAATAGCTATTATATAATCAAAACAGATAACAACAAGTGTTGGAGTGGATGTGGATAAACGGAACTGTCATACAGTACTGATGGGAATGTAAAATACCGTAGCCACTTTAGGAAACAATTTGGCAGTTCCTACGAAATTAAAACAGTTACCACATGACCCAGTAATTCCATCCTAGGTACATACTCAAGTGAACTAAAAACAAATGTCCACACAAAAACTTGTACACAAATATTCAGAGAAGCATCATCCATAATAGCCCCGAAGTGGAAACAACCCAAATATCCATCAACTGATTAACGGATAAACAAAATGTGGTATGTCCACACAATGCAGTGTTATTTAGCCATAAAAGAAACAAAGTGCTGATAATGCTACAACATGAATGAATCTTAAAAACATTATGCTAAGTGAAAGAAGCCAGGCACAAAAAGCCATATATTGTATGACTCCAATTACATGCTATGTCCAGAATAGACAAATCCACAGAAACAGAAAACAAATTATAGTAGCTGCCAAGAGCTGGATCATAGGAAGAACGGAATGTGGAACTGCCTATGGATGTGGGGTTTCTTTTTTAGGAAATAAAAATGTTTTGAGGGTGGGTGTGGTGGCGCACACCTGTAATCCCAGGACTTTGGGAGACTGAGGCAGGAGGATCACTTGAGCCCAGGAGTTCAAGACCAGCCTGGGCAACATGGCAGGACCCCACTGCTGAGAAAAAATAAAAATAAAATGTTCTGGAATTAGACAGTGATGATATATGTACAACCTTGTATTTGAAATAACTGAAACCCACTAAGTTGTTATGGTATGTAAATTATATCTCACTTAAAAAGTGAAAAAAAATTCAAGGTATGGACCACTGTACTTGGGATACTTGCTGAATACAAGAATGGTCAATAAAATGAGCTAATGGTTTATATTGGATTTTTACCCCCAGAGCAATGTGCAAGTGTATAGAATAGTAAAAGGAATTTAAAAATAAACACAGATAGACTAGAAAATAATTTATACAGTAGTGATGTTGAGTTTTTCATTTGAAACTATGAAAAGTAACAGCTTTGCTTATTTGCATCTATCCAATATCACAAACTGAGATTCCACACAACAGATGGACAGACTTACGGGAAATATGAATTAAGAGAGAGGTTCAGAGGCACATCGAAACAAATCAAGCCCCTCTACTGAGCTTTCCGAGCTAGACTGCAAGCCAGGGAAGAAAGCCAATCCCATTATTTAACATATACCTTTAATTGCCACATTTCACAGCAAATACTTTTTGACTCTTTCCAAATACCAACTCCAACTTCCAAGGATGATAATCTGTCAATCCTAAAGGTATTCCAAAAATAGGTCTGTAACAGCAATGGAAGGCATAACCTCCAAATGAGCTTGCTTAGAAGATAATACTCTTGTGGATGATAATATTGTCCCTGTAAAGGTGGTTTAAAAAAGAATCTGTCGGCCGGGCACGGTGGCTCACGCCTGTAATCCCAGCACTTTGGGAGGCCGAGGTGGTGGATCACGAGGTCAGGAGTTCAAGACCAGCCTGGCCAAGATGCTGAACCCTCATCTCTACTAAAAATACAAAAAAATTAGCTGGGCGTGGTGGCACGAGCCTGTAATCCCAGCTATTTGGGAGGCTGAGGCACAGAATTTCTTAAACCTGGGAGGTGGAGGTTGCAGTGAGCCAAGATCACGCCACTGCACTCCAGCCTGGGCATACATAGAGGGACGCAGTGGCTCATGCCTGTAATCCCAGCACTTTGGGAGGCCAAGGCGGGCAGATCACGAGGTCAGCAGATCAAGACCATCCTGGCTAACACGGTGAAACCCCGTCTCTACTAAAAAGACAAAAAATTAGCCGAGCGTGGTGGCGGGCACCTGTAGTCCCAGCTACTCGGAGGCTGAGGCAGGAGAATGGCTTGAACCCAGGAGGCGGAACTTGCAGTGAGCTGAAATGGTGCCACTGCACTCCAGCCTAGGCGACAGAGCGAGACTCCGTCTCAAAAAAAAAAAAAAAAGAATCTGTGTCATTTTTGTAGAGTTCCACAATGAAATCCTTAACTAAAGCTACCATTCCTCCCCTGAGCTAAGGAAAGAAACGTGTTGCAAACTGCAAGTTGCCTAACAAAAAGTCTCCACTTTCTAACCTGCATTAGAAAATCCTACAACCTACCTTTGCAAACCTATCATGTGTATATCCCTTACACTAATCATGAACTGCAGTTTAAATTGACAAGTCATTGCTGTCCTTCTCCACTTTTGCTCATGCCATTTCTCATGAATGGAATGCCTTTTCCATCAGAACGAAGCAAAAATCCACCACCTTCTTCACGAAATCGTCCATCAACTCGGGAGAGATTTCACTTCTAAACACCCCTAGCATTTGCTTGCACCATCATATGACACACTATGCCTTGTACAATAACTGATCGATTACATTACATTTTCTCTAAGGTTTAAAAGTTCCTGAAGGTTGAGGCAACTTTCCCAGACTTTGTTTGCCCACAGTGCCTGGTAAAAAACAGATGCTTGTTTAAATGAAGTAAACACCTAACTGCCCTTCATCCTAAAAACAGCATCAATACAAACAGCTAAATGATCAGGCAGGTACTCTGAAGTGGCAAGTTCTATCAGGCAAGTGACTTTGGGAGGCTGAGACAGGAGGAGTTTGAGACCAGCCTGGACAACATAGCCAAACCCTGTCTCTAAAAAAAACTCTAAATAAAAATAAAAGTGGCATCAAATAACCAATTCTCACTATGTAAGAAATTCCAGGCCCCCCTGTGTAGCACCATAAGACTAAAAAATGGCATTGTTCAAATACTTCCTAGAATTGCTCCAGCTACAAGAACATTTCAGGAAATTAGGGCAATCTGAAATAACTTTCTGAAAGTCAAAGAGACTCATCTGCTGTCCTATTTTTAGCCAAGCTAGAGCTAAGCTGAAATCACCACAACTTTCCCCACATTAGGAAGAGCTTCTTGAAAATACAGCAAGGGCAAGGTGCAGGAAAGCAAAAGGTTACATCATATCAGGCGCAGAGAGAGCCTAGATCTTCCTGGAATCTAAACTGATCATCCTAGTCTCAGAGGACTCCTTAATAATCACCTGGTAACCAAATATCATCCATCTTGATCATAATCACTGTCTGAACCCAGGACTAACTCCAATTCAACTGAACCTAATCATTTAATCAGCAACATCACCACCACCACCTGCCCCCACACCCTCCAAAAAAGTACTAATAGAAGGGAGAATTCGATTTTAGAAATGAGAATTAATTTTTAATCCAAACTGCTGTAAATTAAATACCTTCCAGAAACCAAATGACCCTAAAGTATTAAGATAATCAGTCAAGAGAAACAAACAGGTTGACCGTTTAGAACCAATCCCACTAAAAAATTATTACATCTGGAAGTAAACAAGTTACCTTTTGAATTGCCTAAGGATCACTGCCAGTCCTTTTAAATATAGAAAGTTCTTAACACTACAATTAATTTACTTAGAACTCTCCTCTTAAAAAACAAAATTACATATAATAAAAGAGAAAATATGAGGCCCCACTGATTTTAGTTGAGAGACTATGAATATATGTTACTGCTCAGATTAAAATATTGCTCTGCACTCTGGACTCTATAATCTTCTGAACTTTACTATCTTTAAAGTGGAAATTTGGAGTTAAAAGTATGCTTTAAGAAATTTGATCACCAGATTAAAATTTGCCTTCAAAAAATGAATCAAAATGTTGATATTCCATTCAGATATTTACAGAAATAATTTATC
This sequence comes from Homo sapiens, assembly GCF_000001405.40. Lineage (NCBI taxonomy): Eukaryota > Metazoa > Chordata > Mammalia > Primates > Hominidae > Homo > Homo sapiens. The sequence continues at coordinate 96,835,228 of NC_000010.11, read as the reverse complement.
AGTCATAATTTTAAAAACCAAAAACACGGCCGGGCACAGTGGCTCTCACGCCTGTAAATTTCAGCACTTTGGGAAGCCGAGGCGGGCGGATCATGAGGTCAGGAGTTCGAGACCAGCCTGGCCAATATGGTGAAACCCCGTCTCTACCAAAAGTACAAAAATTAGCTGGGCGTGGTGGCGCACGCCTGTAGTCCCAGCTACTCGGGAGGCTGACGCAGAAGAACCGCTTGAACCTGGGAGGCGGAGGTTGCAGTGAGCCGAGATGGCGCCACTGCACTCCAGCCCGGGCAAAAGAGTGAAACTCCGTCTCAATAAAGAAAAAACAACAACAAAAACAAAAACAAAAACACATCTTGTCAAGCAGCAGTAACTAACCACTAACTAGCAATGACTGAAAAAATGGGGTCCTGAGGCAGGAGCCCAGGATTAAATGCAAAGAGAATTAGAATAAGATACACTAATTAAAACCATCTAAATTAAAGCAACATGGAACTCAGAAAATCTACAGGACAGGACTACATTATAAATTTAAAAATCTTTCAAAGACTAAAAAGCCCTGCTGAAAAAACCAATCACTAACAAATGTAAAACATACAAGAACTAAAAATTCTTCAAAACAATTCCAGCATTTGATACTAACCCACAATTCTGAAAACGCATTAATTTCATGCTTCTCAAAACCTGCTATATGCTCTCTTCTATGATAGTCCGAAATACCAAGTAATTCAAAAAGTACTTAAACCGACGTAACATTTTAGTACATGCATAATAATACTTTGAAAGAATAAAACAAGCAGAGATAGAGCAGAGTACAGGATAACTGATAGGCAAAAGGCTGTTTGTTTCCTGGAGGGCAGCACTGGTCTTGGATTGGCAGGAGGGGAATTTTAAAATATATTCATGAGACGAATTATACCAAAAAACTGACTCATGCCTTTATTATTTGCACAAGCATATGTTTGAAAATGCACTTTTAACCTTTGGACAACCAAACTGGTATCAGATACCTTAAAGCATTGTTGCCTATATTAATTTCGGTGTTACAGTCTAAATCCTTAACGAAACTCACGCTATACATTTTCGTAATGAAACCCTGTAGAAATGGAAAGGCGTATATTCTTTAAGTAAAGGTTACCTGATTTTTCACTTGTTTAAAGTTTCAATTTTGCTTTTTAATCTATTATCGAAAACATCCCTTGTGGGACATTGTAAAGGGCAGACCCTCCTGTCAAGCCAGAAGGCTCAAACACAAAGACACTGAGCTAACCAAGTGCTGTAATTCTTCCAAACTGAGCCTCTCCACACCCCCTCCACCCTTCCCCCCAACAGATATGTCTATTAAATCAGTGTCTGTTCTCCCCCTCGCACAACAAAGAGAACTTCTCACCGCATGAAATTGCCGCTGAATGGACACCAGAAAGCAGGATTTGCATAATTCCTTCCAACGAAACCCTGTCGGGAAGGAGGGAATGAGGGGCCCAAGCGAACGGATAGACTCTCCTAGATTCTGCCGGGAAAGACCTGGTTCCCAAGAATATTCCCCTGGGGGAGAAGGGGCTGGAATTCTGGGCCTCCCCGAGGACTGGGCGTGGGGGACAGCGGACGACGAGAGGGCATCTCCCCACACACCAGCAGCACCGAAGCAAAGACGGGGAAGTAACAATGCTGGAGGACAGGAGAGTCAGACACAAGGATGGACTGGGGCTAGGGGGCGGCGGGCGGAGCGGAGACACCACACGGGCCACTTACTTTTTGGAGGGGGGTTAAATATATGAGTTAAGCCCTTATGGTCCCGCCGGCCGCCGCACAGAGGGAAACGGGACCTTGGGAGAGAAAAACAGACAAAACACACAGTGTGAGAGGCGCAGCTCGGCCGCCCGGCCCCTCCCGGGGCGCCCCCGTCCGCGCTCCCTCCGGCCCGCAGGGAAAAAGCCACCCGAGGGCGGCCCAAGGTCCGGGAGGCGGGGGGCGGACGGGGCATTCGGGCGAGGCTGCGGCTCCGGCCAATCCCCGGGAGGGGACGAGAGCGACCCCCGCCGGGGCTCCTCGGTCGGACCCGGTCCCACCCCCTCCTCCCGCAGCACGACACCGAACACAAATACGCACACACCGACCCGTGCGTCGAGGATTAACTCCCCGGCCACCGCCGCCCGCTGAGGAAGTGCAGCCGCTGCCCCCCGCGGCCATGACACCCCACTTGGCTCGGTCAGGCGCACCCGGGGACTGTGACAGCTCCAGCTCCCTCCGCCCCCATCTCCACCTCACGCTTCGCACACGCCCGAGCGCCGGGCGCCCGCCTGCAGCCCGCCGCGCGTGCACGCAGACCCGGGGGCGCGCCCCGCGCGTGGGGGAGGGGTGGCGCAGGAGGAGGACGGCGGCGGCCACAGCGCGGGTGGGGGCCGAGCACGCCCGCGCCCCTCGCGCCTCCCCCAGTACAGCGGCAGCGCCGCGAGGCGAGTCGCCACAATAAGCCGGCGGCGGCGCCGGGGCGCCGGGCCTGGAGCGGGAGCAGGGGCGGGAGCGGGGAGGGAGGGGAGCGAGCAGGCGGGGATGGAGAGCGGGAGGGGGAGGAACCCGCGCTCCCGCCGAGAGCCAGCCCCGGGGAGGCGCGCGGAGGGGAGGGGCCGGCGCGCGCTCGGCCGAGCAGGGGAGCCCGCCTGGAGGTCGCGCGCGCTCACACTCCGGGGGGTGGGGGAAGGGGGGACGCTCGAGCCAAAGAGGGCGGGCGGGCCGGAGCAGCAATTGCCACTTCCCCAGCTTCCTCCCTGGTCTGGGGCGACCGGCGGCGGGGCGGCCGGAGGGGCGGCGGCGGTCGGCGGAGGGTCTCACCTACACAGTGAATGAGCTTGTGGCGCCACGAATCCAGTTCTTGCCGAAAGCCGCGTCTCTCAACGGAGCATTGCTGCCGCCTACACACCCTCGCCATCTTCTGCCGCCCGCCCGGCCCAGCCTCCGCCGCGGCCCCGCGCACGCCCAGCCGCGTCGCCCGGGGCCGCGCACGCACCCGCGGCCCGGGCGTCGCGCCTCCTGCCGGGGGCGGTGCGGGGGCAGGGCCGGCCTCACCTCACCGTGGCCCCGGCGTGGCCCGGGGGCGGCCTGGGCCCGCTCACCCGCCCCGCGCGCCGCCCGCCGGGCTGCGATCCCGCCGTCCTTCTACGCGGCTGCCGCCGCCTCTGGCCGCCCGGGACGGCGCCTTCCCACAGCCGGAAGTCAGTCCCGCTGGCCCCGCGCCGCCTTCGCACTGTCCCCCAAGGCCACGGCTGCCCCCGCCCTCCCCGGGGCTTTTTGTTTTTTACGCCAGCCCCATTTATCACTTCCAACCTGCCTATCGCCCGGCACCAACTGTTGCAAGTTCCGTAATAACTGCTGCTATGAACTTCTCCGTCGAAACTGCTCCTCCCCAGAGCCTGTTTAAGAAGCAGAAATAAGAATAAATTCCCGGATGCCGGTGGATGCACTGACCTCTAAGATTTTCAAAGGTGAAGTGGATACACGTTATTAAGTCATTGGGAGACATCGCCAACATTGGGAAACCTAGTAAAAAGTGGAAATCGAGCGTTTTAAATAAAAAAAAAAAAAGGTTTCTACTAGCAAGACTGATCGTAGGCGAACTTCTCAAGGAATTTTGGAATATTGTGCCAAAGTGAGAATATTTAATATTTCCAAAAGTAGACTTAACTAGGAATACTTAAAGCAGAGACTATTGGAAATGCTTTAATTTGGGATTTCAGGAAAGGGCTTGAAGAGAAATATTTTATATGAGCAAGCCTCTTGGAATAATTGAATCACCTTAATTTTGTCACTGTTACTTCGAAGAGAACGAGAAGAGAGAAGATGGGAAACGAAAGGAGAAAGGGAAAAGAAATGGGGTGGAAAGAAAAAAGCAGAAGAGATCGCCCTATACCAGTAGGCCTAGTACCCTAGGATTCTGGCCTCTTTCTCCCACCTTTGGTGTTTAAGATTAAGGACAGTGCATTCCTGCTTTTAGAAATTTAAATTTAAGTTTGAAGACTTAATTTTAATTACTGTAGTAGGTAAAGCAAAGTCGTTAAATACTTGACATCAGGATCCCATTGGAGTATTGATTTAGGTCTTTTCAAAGGTGGTGGTCCTGGTTCTCTGCACCAGCCACTGGCGGAATGGCGGAATGGTGTATCTACCAATGAACAGATGGACTGGGTGGGCCTCGGGTACGGGTGGCTTGAGATGCAAATGCAAGGGTAGGAAGGCACCTTCCCCCCCACCACTCCCAGCCCACCCCGCCAATCTTAAAACATTGATCTTTATAAAATTCGCAAACGTCCCACAGGATTTCATTGGCTTAAGAGTATTGTCAAATGAAGACGCCAGGAAGTATTGAGTTTCTGGGTACATAATACTGTCCTGAGTGTTGAAGGAAGAGGACTAATACGAGATTTTAAAAAATGGCTGTGGACAACCATCCTTCAGGTGTGATGGCAGGACATCTTGTATCACCTGAAACTTCCTTTTTTCGCCGCTAGGTGGTGGGTGTGAGTCTTTTGCGGCCTTTAAGTTTCTACGGTGTTTGGAGGAAATACGTTTCAGTTTCAAATAAATGAACAACGTGTAACTCTAAGATGAGTAAATAATCAATGTGTTTTCCAACCACCCCAAGTTAATTTGTTTAAAAAACAATCAAACCAAGGGTAATAATTCCTCGACATAATCTCTTAGTCCCAGACATATGGATTCAGAGAATCCTAGAGGCTTCAGAGATCAATTTTGTAACTTAAGATATGAAATTGGAAGCCCAGACAAGTAAGGTGATTTGACCAAGATTACATAGTTGCTGGGTAGAGAAAGGGCAACAAAAGCCAGGAGACAAGTTTCCCAATTTCCAATTTAATGCTAGTTTTACTACTCTACTCTGAGTTCCAATTTCTGCTTCACTTATTTTGAGTTGGGAACTAACTCATGGTTGACCTATCACAAAGACCTATTTGGAAGAAAGGATAGGGAGGCAATAGTAACAGCTAATATTCATTGAGCACCTATTATATGTTTATCATTGTTTCATTCCATCCAGATAATAATGCTATGAGTATATATTTACCACATTTTCCAAGTTAGGGACACAAGACTCAGATGAGTTAAATACATTTGTCAAGATCACATAGCTACCAAATTCTAACTAAGATCTCTGTGACTCTAAACCCCTCTAAATTGTCTTACAAGTAGAAAGTTGGCTTGGCGCGGTGGCTCACGCCTGTAATCTCTGCACTTTGGGAGGCTGAAGTGGGCAGATCACTTGAGGTCAGGAGTTCAAGACCAGCCTGGCCAACATGGTGAAACCCCGTCTCCACTAAAAATACAAAAATTAGCTAGGCATGGTGGTGGGCACCTGTAATCCCAGCTACTCAAGAGGCTGAGGCAGGAGAATCCGTTGAACCCAGGAAGTGGAGGTGGCAGTGAGCCGAGATCGTGCCACTGCACTCCAGCCTGGGCGACAGAGCTGAGACTCCATCTTGATAAATAAATAAATAATAAGTAAATAAATAAATAGTCTTACAAGTAGAAAATAGACTCTGCAACTGGAGGATTCACTTAACTCTACATGACATGTTCCGAGCACAGTTAAGCAGTTGGACATTCTGTGTTCCTATCACATGGCAGGCGGTGTCCCAGGCACCGAGGACATAGATAGATAAGACAGAATTTCTGACCTCTGTTGCTTTGGGCTACTGTTAAAGAGGGCCTTAGCTGTAAACTCTTACATTCTAGGGAGGGGCAGGTAATATAACATGGCAGTTAATAGGGTCTGAAGACAGCTGGGTTGGAATTCTGGCTCCATTTTTCAGTGGCTGTGTGACCTTGACATATTAACTTTTCTGGTCATTAATTTCCTCATGTGAAAAAGAGGATAATAATAGTCTGCAAGATGGGGTTTGTGTGAAAATGAAATGAAACTATTCACGTACAGTGCTAGCACATTCTTAGCATGAAATGAGCATCTGTTCTCTGATTAGGCCTTCCTAAGCTCCTATCTGTTTGCCCAGTCTGCAGGATGATGGGAAACCAAGATGCTTCTGCAGTTTGGAGTTAATCTGTGAGAGTATGAAGGAATGATAGCAATGACCTCAGCCTTTGAAAACAACCTCTGAGCCATGTTCTATAGTTCTCACAATGGCAGAAAAGGAATGTCAGGGAAGGGGAGTAGGACTTGGCTTGTCAGCATTAGATCAACTACTACCTGGTGTCTGATTAAAGATGGCTTGCAACATAGAAATGATCATTGACAAATGGGAGGATGAAATGATTGGGGCCTTCTAAAAAAAGCATGTCCTAATGGGAGGCTTTTTTAAAAAAACATAGTCAACTTCAAATAAATTCCAACAAGCAAGAGATGCTTTTTGAAGCACGTTTCAAAGATTATGTTATTTATTCTTCGCAACAACCCAATCGTGTATCCCATTTTATAACAGAGCACAGAGAGGTTAAGTAACTTGCCTAAAGTCACACAGGTTATAGATCTGGATTGGAACCCAGGGAGCCAGACTGCCTGGGTTCAAATCCAGATCTATAACTTGTGTGACTTTGGGCGAGTTACTTAAAGCCGGCTCTTTAACCATCACACTATTTTTTGCTTCCAGTGCTATTTCGGGGAAATGAGACCTAAGTCAGAGACAAGACCTAGCCAGACAGAAAGGAAGCCATGTCACTTGGTCACACGGCTTTTGGTCTTTTTGAGAAACTACTCATGTAGTGGCTTTTTTTGCTTAATAAAAGACTTTCAGGCCGGGCATGGTGGCTCACGCCTGTAATTTCAGCACTTTGGGAGACCAAGCCGGGAGGATCACTTGAGGTCAGGAGTTCGAGACCAGCCTGGACAGCATGGTGAAACACTGTCTCTACCAAAAATACAAAAAAAATTAGCTGGGTATGGGGTGCACCTGTAATCCCAGCTTCTTTGGAGGCTGAAGCAGGAAAATCACTTGAAGCCGGGAAGCAGAGGTTGCAGTGAGCTGATATCATGCCACTGCACTCCAGCCTGGGCAACAAAGCAAGACCCTGTTTCAATAAATAAATAACTTTCAGAGTTTCTCTCTTTTCAGCCTGTATACCTCTATGCCACTGGCCTAGAAAACATGTATGATTTTACTTTATGTTGTACGTGTGACATTTATTTTTCTTCTGTAGTTTTATTGAGATATATTTCACATACCATAAAATTCGCCCATTTGAAGTGTCCACTTCATCTGAAAGCAGGCAGTGGGAGGAGTGGCATCTCTTGGCTTTTTCCTGGGCTCTTGGCTCTGGGTCTTTGGCGCATGTTTTAGCATGGTAGAAATGTTTGACTGTCCCAGCCGGGTGCTGCCTTTCTGCATAAATGAGATCTTTTCTGCCTGGCAACATGGTTTTACCCTCACATCCAAAAGCTCCTAGTTCCTACACAGCTACTGGCTTGTCTGTTTTGAGGCAGTTCCCTTCTTGGAGGTTTCCTTGATATAGCTATGGGTTTGGGTGTCCACTATCCCCATGCCACTAAGCTTGTTCTAGAGTTCAAGACCCATCAACCCCTGCCCCCCAACCACCACCAACTGCGAAAGATTCCTCTTGGGCTCTTTCCCCATTATCTTTTCATCCTACCAGTCAGAAAGGAGGATCATTATTGGAGATCTACTGTTTACTAATATATTGGATGGAGGTGGTGCCCACCCTCTTGGCAGAGGAAAAGATTACAGCTACTAATGCGTCTGACCCCAGCCTGAACCAGTGTTTTAGTATCAAAGGCAAGTGAGACATAGTGTTGCTGTTCATGACCTTGTCCCCAACACAGCCACCTCTGTTTCACCTGCCTTACGTCCAGAAATGCTTTATCCCTACTGTGGAGCAGCTGACTCTGGGGATCCCATGCCAGAATCATGGGGAGATAGACCATGGCCAGGATATATTTCCAGCAGAGAAGCTCTGTCATCTGCAGGATTGCAAGGTGAACCTTCACAGAGCTGCCTGCGGTGAGTGTATTGTTGCACCCAAGACTTCCAGCTTCCCTTACTGTCAGGGGACCTGCCTGACCCTCAACAGTGAGCTTCATCAATCCAACTTTGCACTCAAAGTTTGCACTATAAGAGGGGAGTGCCTATTGATCTGTTCCTGGCTCTTTCAGACCTGTAGTCCCACCAAGGTCATTCTCTTCTCCCTAACGGTCCAGGATGACGAACGTAAGATGAGCGTTCACTGTGTGAACGCATCCTTGATAGAGAAGTGTGGCTGCTCTTGAGACACCCGGGAGCCTCCTCCTGGCTCCATACCCTCCTAAGTCTCGGGACTCAAGTGGGGGGTGGGATTGGTTCCCATAGCAACTAGAGCTCTTTGAAGGGAGGTAGGATTTGGCTTCTGTTTCTCAAAGCACAGCAAGAAGGATGGAGTTATGGCAGTAACCCCTCTTAGATGCTCCTTTTTGACATGGACAGAGGCTCCCCCAGTGCTGTTCTCAGTAACTCCTATTACTGGGAAGCTGAGCCCATTGAGATGTCTGACTATTGCTCTGTCCTAGATTGTGTGAGTGGGCCAGGCTTAGTGCCACCTCTGGAGTTACTTAGATGGAGAAAGAGGAACTGGAATTGGATGCATGTTAGCCCTCAGTGTAGAGGTAAAATTGTTACTGGTGTTAAACAAGGCTGGCTTTGGACTTTTCCAAGCTCGTTAGCTGCCACTGTCCTTCTCTGTACCATAGGACTGGGGCTGGTCCAGAGCTGGCCTAGGCATGTAAATTCCTCCCTACCTAGCATTCCTGGCCTCTTTGGAGTGAGTGAGGGCTCTGTCCAAGGCAGCATTCTGTCATGGGCTAGTTATGGGCAAAGGGCACCAACGCCTTCCCTACCTAGTGTCAGATGGGAGCCTCTGAGTGAAGAACATTGCTCGACAGATTGTTGATGGAGGGGGCTTCTGGCATCAGAAGTCTTTCTTTCTTTTCTTTTCTTTCTTTCTTCTTTCCTTCTTTCCTTCTTTTCTTTCTTTCTTTCTTTTTTTTTTTTTTTTTGAGACAGAGTCTCACTCTATCACACAGGCTGGAGTGCAGTGGCACAATCTCAGCTTTCTGCAACCTCCACCTCCCGGGTTCAAGCAGTTCTCTTGCCTCACCCTCCCAAGTAGCTGGGATTACAGGCACCCACCACCACGCCCAGCCCGGAAGGTTTTCTTACTATCATTTAAGGAACTTGATGATATTAGCTTTTCTACTATCTTTAGAACTTAGTACCATTACAAAATAATAAAAGAATAAAATGTACACTTCAGGGGGTTTTCGTATATTCACAAAGTTGTGCAACCATCACCACAATCACTTTTAGAACATTTCATCACCCCAGAAAGAAACCCTGAAATATCAGCAGTTATTCATCATTCCCCATCTCCTCACCCGCTGGCAACAACAAATCTAGTTTTTTCTTTTTTTTTTTTTTTTTTTTTTTGAGACAGAGTCTCGCTCTGTCGCCCAGGCTGGAGTGCAGCGATGCAATCTCGGCTCACTGCAAGCTCCGCCTCCCGGGTTCACGCCATTCTCCTGCCTCAGCCTCCCGAGTAGCTGGGGCTACAGGCGCCCGCCACCACGCCCGGCTAATTTTTTGTATTTTTAGTAGACGCGGGGTTTCACTGTGTTAGCCAGGATGGTCTCGATCTCCTGACCTCATGATCCACCCGCCTCTGCCTCCCAAAGTGCTGGGATTACAGGCGTGAGCCACCGTGCCTGGCCAAATCTAGTTTTTTCTCTATGAGTTTTCTTATTCTGGACATTTCACATAAATAAAATCATGCAATATGTGATTTTTTTTTTCTGACACAGTCTTGGTCTGGTGCCCAGGCTGGAGTGCAGTGGTGCAATCTTGGCTCACTGCAGCCTCTGCCTCCTGAGCTTAAGTAATCCTCCCACCTCAGCCTCTGGAGTAGCTGGGACTACAGGCATGTGCCACCAAGCCTGGCTAATTTTGGAGGGATTTTTTTTTTTTTTCTTTGCAAAGACAGGTTTCACCATGTTGCCCAGGCTGGTCTCGAACTCCTGGGCTCGAGTGTTCCGCCCACCTCAGCCTCCTCCCAAAGTGCTGGGATTATAGGCATTAGTCACTGTGCCCAGCCAATATGCGGTATTTTGTGACTGGCTGCTTTCACTTAGCATGTTTTTAAGGTTCATCTATATAGTTTTTTCATAGCAACCTGTTAAACAAAGGTTGATCTATGTTGTAGTATGTATCTGTATTTACTTTTTATTTTTATTATTTGAGATGGAGTTTCACTCTGTCGCCCAGGCTGGAGTGCAATGGCACTATTTTGGTTCACTGCAACCTCTGCCTCTCGGTTCAAGTGATTCTCCTGTCTCAGCCTCCCAAATAGCTGTGATTACAGTTGTGCACCACCACACCCAGCTAATTTTTGTATTTTTAGTAGAGACAGGGTTTCATCATGTTGGCCAGACTAGTCTCGCACTCCTGACCTCAAGTGATCCATCAGTCTTGGCCTCCCAAAGTGCTGGGATTACAGCCATGAACCACTGAGCCTGGCCTATATCTATTTTTTAATTTTTTCTTGTTAAATATTTCATCATTTAGATACAAAATTTTGTTTATGTATTTCAGTTGATGTATATTTTCATTGTTTTCACTTTTTGGCTATTATGAATATGCAGCTGTGAACATTTGTGTACAAGTTTTTGTGTAGACGTATGTTTTATGTTTATTATGAATATGAATGTGTTCCATATTAATTTTGAAATAATTTCAAGTGACCAAAAAGTTACAAGAATTCTCATGTCCCCCTCACTCAGATTCCCCAAGTTTTAATATTTTAACATATTTTATTTCACTCTCTCTGCATGTACCTACTATATGGTTTTATTGTTGTTATTCTGAGTCTTTTTTTTTTTTCTGCCCAGGCTGGAGTGCAGTGGTGCAATCTCGGCTCACCGCAACCTCCGCCTCCCAGGTTCAAGCGAATCTCGTGCCTCAGCCTCCCGAGTAGGTGGGACTACAGGCATGCACCACCAAGCCTGGATAATTTTTTTTTTTTTTGTATTTTTAGTAGAGACAGGGTTTCACCATGGTGGCCAGGCTGGTCTCAAACTCCTGACCTCAAGTGATGTGCCCGCCTAGGCCTCCCAAAGTGCTGGGATTACTGCCATAAGCCACCATGCCCAGCCTCCTGAGTCTTTATATGAATAATCAGATGAAAAGCTACACACTGGCTACACCGTCATCCCTAAATATCAGGTGTGTATGTCCACTGTCCACTGTTTTCTTTTTCTTTTTTTGAGACGGAGTTTTGCTCTTGTTGCCCAGGCTGGAGTGCAATGGCACAATCTTGGCTCACCACAACCTCCGCTGCCCAGGTTCAAGCAATTCTCCCGCCTCAGCCTCCTGAGTAGCTGGGATTACAGGCATGCGCCATCACGCCTGGCTAATTTTTTTTTTGTATTTTTAGTAGAGACGGGGTTTCTCCATGTTGGTCAGGCTGGTCTCGAACTCCTGACCTCAGGTGATCCACCCACCTCGGCCTCCCAAAGTGCTGGGATTACAGGCATGAGCCACCACGCCCAGCCACTGTCCACTGTTTTCTCATGACTAGACTCAGTCATACATTTTGGTAGGAAACCTACGGAAACCTACAAAGAAAGAGAAGACAATCAGGCAAAGCAAAGCACTCCAAATCTAGATCATCAATTGCATAGCGAATACAGGGATACTCTTTTACATGAATCCTGCTGTCCTTTGCAGGAATGAGAAGTAGCCTTGAAGGGGTCAAGTTGATCTGGAGATGGACACAACTAACCTTTACTTCACTCCTCAGGTAAAATTTACTATATGCACAATTTATTTGAAAATTACTGCTGGGTGTGGTGGCTCATGCCTGTAATCCCAACACTTTGGAAAGCTGAAGAGGGAGGATCTCTTGAGTCCAGGAGTTCAAGACCAGCCTGGGGAACAAAGTGAGATCCCGTCTGTACAAAAATAAAAAACAATTAGCAGGGCGTAGTGGCGTGCACCTGTTGTCCTAGCTACTCAGGAAGCTGAAGGGGAGGGATTGCTTGAGCCTGAGAGATGAAGGCTGCAGTGAGCTATGATCCTGCCACTACACTCCAGCCTGGGTGACCCCTGTCTCAAAAATAAAATAAGGCTGGGCACAGTGGCTCACACCTGTAATCCCAGCAATTTGGGAGGCAGAGGCGGGTGGATCACTTGAGGCCAGGAGTTTGAGACCAGCCTAGCCAACAAGATGAAACCCTGTCTCTACTAAAAGTACAAAATTAGCCTGGTGTCGTGGCAGGTGCCTGTACTGCCAGCTACTCGGGAGGTTGAGGGGGGAGAATCACTTGAACCCAGGAGGTAGAGATTGCAGTGAGTCGAGACAGCGACACTGCACTCCAGCCTGGGCAACAGAGTGAGACCCTGTCTAAATAAATAAATTAATTAATTAATTAATTAATTAATAGAATCACCTACTGACATGTGAGACATCACCTGTGGTGGTCCTGAGCTTTTGGGCGAATTGTGTCCTCCTCATCAAATTTTAATACTTTGTTCTCCCAACATAGAATGTAAGCTATTTAAAGACAAATGTGTTCAGTCTGGCATGATTTTTCTCAGCAGCTAAAGCCATAACTAGAAAAGGGTCTCTCTGTGGATAACAAAAGTTTGAGGACTCTGGCCTATTCTGTATCTAGATGTTATGTCTTCTCTTTCTCTTCCATCTGCTCATTCTTCCATTTTACTCCTATCTTAGACCACAGATGAACAACTTTAGCTTTTCTTTCATTCCTTGGGTTTGAATCCTAACCTCTCTAAACCTCAGTTTGCTCATCAGTAAAAAGGGGCTAATAATACTACCTACCTCAAAGAGTTGTTGTGAGGATTAACTGATATAATCCATGTAAATCATGGATTTTATGGATCCCCCACAAAGATACTAAAACCCTCCCTAAAGCCCACTCCACAGATGCTGTCTCTGCAGATCATATCACCTTTTGACGTGATTGGGTCTTATGGTAAAATCTTGAATTTTTTTTTTTTTTTTTTTTGAGATGGAGTCTTGTTCTGTCGCCCGGGCTGGAGTGCACTGGCGTGATCTTGGCTCACTGCAACCTCCGCCTCCTGGGTTCAAGCAATTCTCTTGCCTCAGCCTCCCAAGTAGCTGGGATTACAGGCATGCACCACCATGCCCAGCTAATTTTTTTGTATTTTAGTAGAGACAGGGTTTCACTGTGTTGGTCAGTCTGAACTCCTGACCTCAGGTGATCCACCCTCCTTCGCCTCCCAAAGTGCTGGGATTACAGGCATGAGCCACCGCGTCCAGCCAAATCTTGATATTTTATCTAATTATAAAATATGCATACCTTTTTCCCCAGGATTTTTACTTCTAGGAATTTAATCTATAAAAATATTTTCAACACATATATAAAGATATATGTACAAGGAAGTTTTCATTGTTGAAAAAATAAAACAAGTCACAATGTCTGCTCATTCAATGGAATGCCCTGTAGCTAGTTAAGAAAAAATGAAACAGGGCCTGGTGCAGTGGCTCACACCTGTAATTCCAATACTTTGGGAGGCTGAGGTGGGAAGATAACTTGGGGTCAGGAGTTCCAGACCAGCCTGGGCAACATAGCAAGACTTCATCTCTATTTTATTTTTTGAAAGAGAATAAAATATACTGTATACATAAATATACAGTAAGATCTACAATACACTTTCTTTTTACCTTTAAGCTCTGTTGGACTTGATACAATACATTTTTAAGTGACAAAAGAAAGCTACAAAATTGCACATATACTTTAACATGGTTGGGTTAAAGATATTAATATATAGCTGGGCATAGAACCTCACACCTGTAATCCCAACACTTTGGAAGGCCGAGGTGAGAGGATTGCTTGAGCCCAGGAGTTTGAGACCAGCAGGGGTAACACAGCGGAACCCTGTCTCTACAAATAAATAAATAATTTAGAAAATAAAAATATTAAATATATATGTATACAAGCTATGTCTGAATGTTTGTGTATCCTCAAAATTTGTGTTGCAACCTAATCCCCATTGTGGTGGTATTAAGAGATAGGGCCTTGTATTAGTCAGGGTTCTCCAGAGAGACAGAACTAATAGGATATATGTATATATGAAAGGGAGTTTATTAGGAAGAATTGGCTCACACAGTCACAAGGCGGAGTCCCAGGACAGGCCATCCGCAAGCTGGGAAAGAAAGAAGCCAGCCGTGGCTCAGTCTGAGTCCAAAGCTTCAAAACCAAGAAAGCTGACAGTGCAGCCTTCAGTCTGTGGCAAACGGCTTGACAACCCCTGGCAAAACACTGGTGTAAGTCCCAGAGTCCAAAGGCCAAAGAACCTGGAATCTGAAGTCCAAGGGCAGGAGAAGCAGAAGGAAACATCCAGCACGGGAGGAAAAAGAAGGAAGCAGAAGACCCAGCAAGCAAAGGCATCCCAACTTCTTCTGCCTGCTTTGTTTTTGCCACGCTGGCAGCCAACTGGATGGTGCCCACCGACATTAAGAGTGGATCTTGTCTCCCAGTCCACTGACTCAAATATCAATCTACTCTGGCAACACCCTCACAGACACATCCAGAAATAAGACTTTACCAGCCATCTAGGCATCCCTCAATCCAATCAAGTTGATACCTAATATTAACAATCACAGACAGGTGTTTAGGAGATAATTAGGTGATGAGGACTCTGCTCTCATAAATGAGAGTAGTGTTCTTCTATAAGAGGCTTGATGGCCGGGTGTGGTGGTTCAGGCCTGTAATCCTAGCACTTGGGAGGCTGAGTTGGGCAGATCACTTGAGGCCAGGTTCAAGGCCAGCCTGGCCAACACGGTGAAACCCCATCTCTACTAAAAATACAAAAATTATCCAGGTGTGGAGGTGCACACCTGTAGTCCCAGCTACTCGGGAGGCTGAGGCAGGAGAATCACTTGAACCTGGGAGTCAGAGGTTGTAGTGAGCAGAGATTGTGCCACTGCACTCCAGCATGGGCGACAGAATGAGACTGTGTCTCAAAAAAAAGAAAAAAAAAAGAGGCTTGAAGGAGGCTTTCTTTTTTTTTTTTTTTTTTTTTTTTTTTTTTTTTTTTTGAGACGGAGTCTCGCTCTGTCGCCCAGGCCGGACTGCGGACTGCAGTGGCGCAATCTCGGCTCACTGCAAGCTCCGCTTCCCGGGTTCACGCCATTCTCCTGCCTCAGCCTCCCGAGTAGCTGGGACTACAGGCGCCCGCCACCGCGCCCGGCTAATTTTTTGTATTTTTAGTAGAGACGGGGTTTCACCTTGTACCTCATGATCCACCCGCCTCGGCCTCCCAAAGTGCTGGGATTACAGGCGTGAGCCACCGCGCCCGGCTGAAGGAGGCTTTCAACCCTTCCACCATGTGAAGATGCAGGGAGAAAGCACTATTTTTTTAAATTTTATTTTTTTTTTGAGACAGAGTGTCACTCTGTCACCCAGGCTGGAGTGCAGTGGCGCGATCTTGGCTCACTGCAACCTCCCCCTCCTGGGTTCAAGCAATTCTCCTGCCTCAGCCTCCCGAGTTTTTATTCTGGCTGTACTGGCAGCTGATTAAATGGTGCCCACCCAGATTAAGGATAGGTCTGCCTTTCCCAGTCCAGTGACTGAAATGTTAATCTCCTTTGGCAACACCCTCACGGACACACCAGGAATAATACATTTTTTTTACTTTTTTTTTTTTTTTCGAGACAGAGTCTTGCTCTGTCACCCAGGCTAGAGTGCAATGGCACCATCTCGGCTCACTGCAACCTCCGCCTCCTGGATTCAAGCGATTCTCCTGCCTCAGCCTCCCGAGTAGCTGGGACTACAGGTGAGTGCCACCACACCCAGCTAATTTTTGTATTTTGTTAGTAGAGACAGGATTTCACTATGTTGGCCAGGCTGGTCTCAAACTCCTGACCTCGTGATCCGCCCACCTTGGCCTCCCAAAGTGCTGGAATTACAAGCATGAGCTAACGCGCCCCGCCTTTTTTTTTTTTTTTTTTTGAGAAGGAGTCTCTCTGTTGCCCAGGCTTGAGTGCAGTGGTGCGATCTTGGCTCACAGCCACTTCCACCACTCGCGTTCAAGTCATTCTCCTGCCTCTGCCTCCTGAGTAGCTGAGATTACAGGCATGCATCACCTCGCCTAGCTAATTTTGTATTTTTAGTAGAGAAGGGGTTTCGCCAGGCTGGCCAGGCTGATCTCGTACTCCTGAGCTCAGTTGATCTGCTGGCCTTGGCCTCCCAAAGCGCTGGGAATACAGGTGTGAGCCACTGCGCCCAGCCTCCTGGATAGACATTTCAAGAATAAAGCTGCACTCAGAATGATGTAAGTAGGATTTTAAATTTATGAGATCTTTTCCCAAATGACAATAGAATTAATTGATTAGTTAACATATAAATAGGCAAGGCTGGGTGTGGTGGTCCACCCCTGTAATCCCACCATTTTGGAAGGCCAAGGTGGAAGGATCATTTGAGCCTAGGAGTTTGAGACACCAGCCTGGGTAACACGGGGAGACCCTGTATCTACAAAAAGTAAAATAGTTGGCCAGGCGTGGTGGCTCACGCCTATAATCCCAGCATTTTGGGAGGCCAAGGCAGACGGATCACCTGAGGTCAGGAATTCCAGACCAGCCTGGCCAACATGGTGAAAACCTGTCTTTAGTAAAAACACAAAAATTAGCCGGGTGTGGTGCAGGCACCTGTAATCCCAGCTACTCCAGAGGCTGAGTCAGGAGAATCGCTTGAACCCGGGAGGCGGAGTTTGCAGTGAGCCAAGATTGCCCCATTGCGCTCCAGCCTGTGCAACAAGAGTAAAACTCTGTCTCAAAATACATAAATAAATAAATAAATAAATAAAATAAAATAGCCAGCTGTGGTGGTGCAAGCCTGTGGTCCCAGCTACTCAAGAGGCTGAGGTGGGTATATCGCTTGGACTCGGGTGGTCCAGGCTGCCATGAACCACGATCACACCACTCCACTCCAGCCTGGGCAAGAGAGACCCTGTCTCAAAAAGGAAAAAAAAAAAAGTCGGTTTGAGAGGATGTAGGAATTAAATATCTTCAGCATCATTTTTGATTTTTAAAGGAGTGACTCTTTTTCATAAACCCTCAAAATCATATTTTAATGCTGATCTATTTTTGCCTGAATGCGTGATGTTTTCTTCTAGTTTTCAGGAAACAAATAGAAAAAATAATTACTATTGTCTATGTTAGGTGACTGTAAGAAATAATTTTTAATAGAATAACCAGAAAGGAGGCCGGGCGCGGTGGCTCACGCTTGTAATCCCAGCACTTTGGGAGGCCGAGGCGGGCGAATCACGAGGTCAGGAGATCGAGACCACGGTGAAACCCTGTCTCTACTAAAAATAAGAAAAAAAAAATTAGCTGGGCTTGGTGGCGGGCGTCTGTAGTCCCAGCTACTCGGAGAGGCTGAGGCAGAATGGCGTGAACCCAGGAGGCAGAGCTCGCAGTGAGCCGAGATCGCGCCACTGCACTCCAGCCTGGGTGACAGAGCGAGACTCCGTCTCAAAAAAAAAAAAAAAAAAAAGAATAACCAGAAAGGAGTTATTTATAGCTAGGTGGCAATGGAAAGCTGTTTCTATGTGTTACAAGAAAGAGAGGGTTCTTGGATCTCCAGCAAGAAGAATTCAGTGTGAGTCTGCAGAGTAAAGTGAAAGCAAGTTTATTAAGAAAGTAAAGGAAGAGAAGAATGGCTACTCCATTGACAGAGCAGCCTTGAGGGCTGCTGGTTGCCCATTTTTTATTTATTTATTTATTTTTGAGACGGAGTCTTCCTCTGTCACCCAGGCTGGAGTGCAGTGGTGCTGTCTCGGCTCACTACAACCTCCGCCTTCCGCATTCAAGCGATTCTCCTGCCTCAGCCTCCCGAGCAGCTGGGACTACTGGCACACACCACCATGTCCGGCTAATTTTTGTGTTTTTAGTAGAGACAGGGTTTCACCACGTTGGCCAGGCTGGTCTCAAACTCCTGACCTCGTGATCTGCCTGCCTTGGCCTCCCAAAGTGCTGGGATTACAGGCGTGAGCTACCACGCCCAGCAAGGTCGCCCATTTTTATGGTTATATATTGATGATATGCTAAACAAGGGGCAGATTATTGATGCCTCCCCTTTTTAGACCATATAGGATAACTTCCTGACATTGCCATGGCATTTGTAAACTGTCATGTCGCTGGTGGGAATACAGCAGTGAGGACGACCGGAAGTCACTCTCATCATCATCTTGGTTTTGGTTGGTTTTGGCCAGCTTTACTAAAACCTGTTTTGTTAGCAAGGTCTTTATGACCTGTATCTTGTGCTGACCTCCTATCTCATCCTGTAAGTTAGAATGCTAACTGTCTGGGAATGCAGCCCAGTAGATCTCAGCCTCATTTTATCCAGCTCCTATTCAAGATGGAGTTGCTCTGTATATATACACTATATAATATAAATATACGGTATATATTACATATATATATACCGTATATAAATATACGGTATATATATATTATATATACCATATAAATATATATTTATATATATAAATATATTTATAAATATAAATATATATATACTATATACGTATATACTATATATACTATATATACTAATATACTATATATACTATATATACTATACACTTATATACTATATATACTATATACTATATATACTATATACACTATATACTATATATACTATATACTTATATACTATATATACTATATATAATATATACTATATATACTATATACTTATATACTATATACTTATATACTATATATACTATATATACTATATACTTATATACTATATATACTATATACTTATATACTATATATACTATATACTTATATACTATATATACTATATATACTATATACTTATATACTATATATACTATATACTTATATACTATATATACTATATACTTATATACTATATAATATATACTTATATACTATATATACTGTATATACTTATATAGTATATATTTATATACTATATAAATACACAGTATACTATATAAATATATTAGTGTACAAATATATATTACATATAAATATATTAGTATACAAATATATTTATATATTATATAGTATACTATATATTATATATAAATATATAGTATACAAAATATTATATATAAACCTATATAGTATATAAATATATATTATATATAAATCTATATAGTATATAAATATATATTACATAAATCTATATAGTATATAAATATATATTATATATAAATCTATATAGTATATAAATATATATTATATAAATCTATATAGTATATAAATATATATTATATAAATCTATATCGTATATAAATATATCTTATATAAATCTATATCATATATAAATATATCTTATATATCTATATAGTATATAAATATATCTTATATATCTATATAGTATATAAATATATCTTATATATCTATATAGTATATAAATATATCTTATATATCTATATAGTATATAAATATATCTTATATATCTATATAGTATATAAATATATCTTATATATCTATATAGTATATAAATATATATTATATATCTATATAGTATATAAATATATATTATCTATATAGTATATAAATATATATTATATATAGTATATAAATATATATTATATATCTATATAGTATATAAATATATATATAAATTTATATAAATTGATATAAAAATTAATTTGTATATAAATTATATATAACTTATATATATAATTTATATTATATATTATATAGAACAATATATTTATGTATTATATATAATTATATGTATATATATATATAAAATGCAGGCTGGGCATGGTGGCTTATGCCTGGGTGGACAGATTACCTGAGGTCAGGAGTTCGAGACCAGCCTGGCCAACATGAAGAAACCCCATCTCTACTAAAAATACAAAAAAATTTAGCCAGGCATGGTGGTGGGCGCCTGTAATCCCAGCTACTTGGGAGGCAGAGGTGGGAGAATCGTTTGAGCCCAGGAGGCAGAGGTTGCAGTGAGCCAAGATTGCGCCATTGCACTCCAGCCTGGGCGAAAAGAGCAAAACTCTGTCTCAAAAAAAAAAAACAGTATATAAGTGTATATATATACGTGTTGCAGGTAATTCAGCAGTTATTACTGCAAAAAGACAGTACAGACACTTAAGTTCCAGTTTAGGAAAAAAATCAGAGTAACTTACATGAATTTTTTGAACAATGATGGGAACTACTCTTTATTGAGCAAGGACTCTATGCAAAGTCCTGAGCTAACGACAGGGAAAATAAAGCATACAGATATAAAATACCTTATTCAAAGTCACTCCACAGGTAGGTGGAAGAATTTAAACTCAAGAGATTCCAATAATTTGGTTTTAACTTATTTCACTGTAGTGCCTCACAAATCAAGGTCAATGCTAACTTGGCTCTGTAAGTAATTAAAAGATAGATGTCAAACTTCCTTTTTACTTAGTCTATACAAATTACGGGCATTTAACAAATCCTTGGGCATGGCATGGTGGTTCATGCCTGTAATCCCAACACTTTGGGGGGCCAAGGTGGGAGGATCACTGGGCCAGGAGTTCAAGACCAGCCTGGGCAATGTAGCAGGATCTCATCTCTACAAATAATTTTTAAAAATTAGCTGGGCATGGTTGTGCATGCCTGTGGTCACAGCTATTCTAGAGGCTGAGGTGGGAGAATCACTTGAGCCCAGGATGTGGAGGTTGCAGTGAGCCCTGATCATGCCACTGCATTCCAGCCTGGATGACAAAGCAAGACTGTCTCAAAACAGAACAAAACAGAAAACCAAATGCTTGTCGGCTAAGTCTTTGAAGTTCTACATCATTAAATTGGAATTTTTGTTTCTTCAGAGTATAAAAGTTCATGGGATGAGTAACACAGCTACTCTTGAAAGATGATAAAACATTAGAATATCTTTAATAATTTGGTTAATCCACATGCTTTTCAAAAATTTTTTTTGAAATATTTTGGACTTTTTTTGGAATAGTTATTTTATTTGTGATTTCTCATTTAAATGCCTTTTCAAAAGTTCAAACACTATCACTTGTCACTAAAACTGTTATGTTGAATGTCTTATATGATTACATATGCTTTATGACTATTCTTTTGCCTGTAACACAGATACATAATTTTCTTTTCAAGCATTGTCTTCTTGATCCAATAACAGTTCTTCCAACATCAATTGAAATGTAGAGTGAAAAAATTTGAAAGTACACACTGCAGAAAACTTGAAACTATTGATAAACTGATACAGTGTAAAACAAAGAACAGCTCCTATTCACAGAATGGGGTTACATTTCATATTCAGAAATAATAAAGTAAGTACAGTAAACTGATAAATGACATCTCTTTTTCACATATTCAGTTTTTAAAAAAGAAAATAAACCTACAAGTTGCTTTACAGTTGATGGCACCTTAGCATTAAAAATTCCCCCTTGCAATTTTTCTTAAAAATTACTCTGTACATCTTTCTGAAAACCTTTATTCTCTTAGTCAGCTTCTTCTCGACAGATGCTCTCCTGGATTCAGTGTTAATGATGTAAATAAAATCTAGGTATTCCAAACAGATAATGATGTTGCTACACAAATGCTCTTTCATGTTGTCTGATGCTATTAATTCTGGCAAACTCTATTGGTCAGTTCTCTGATCTATCACCCTTTCAGAAAGTTGAGGACCATAATATAGTCATTGTTATACCTTTGAAATATGTTGAACATCTTCTTTGGTAATCAATTTGCTTTACAACCTTTTACAAATCACTGAATTTCTTTGGCACTCATTTTCTTCTTCTATAAAAGAAGGTTGGACTAATTCTCAAGTTCTATTTTCTAATTCTATAAAAGGAGAGGTTGGACAGGGTATTCCCAAGTTTCCTTAGAGCCTGAGTTATCTAAGTTATTAGGATTCATCAATGTCACATGCCCGAAAGCCTTAAACAATTTTATATTTGTAGATTTTTTTTTAAAGACGGAGCCTCACTCTGTCACCCAGGCTGGAGTGCAGTGGCGCTATCTCCGCTCACTGCAACCTCTACCTCCCAGGTTCAAGTGATTCTCCTGCCTCAGCCTCCTGAGTAGCTGGGACTACAGGCGCATGCCACCACGCCTGGCTAATTTTTGTATTTTTAGTAGAAATGGGGTTTTGCCATGTTGACCAGGCTGGTCTCGACCTCCTGACCTCAAGCAATCCACCACCTTGGCTTCCCAAAGTACTGGGATTACAAGTGTGAGCCAGCGTGCCCAGCCAATATTGTAGATCTTAATAAAATACCACAATGTATAAAATACTAGCCATGGTATCTTAAGTGAAATAGGTAGACTCAACTCTCTATGAACCTACACATTTCAATGTGATGAAACTGATATTTGTTTTCCATTTGGTGGTATAATACATTCAAAATGTAAAGCATTAGGAGTTTTCTGAGAAGAAGATAATGTACATAGGAAATATATGGCTGCCTACTGGCTAAAGCCATCTAAACCAATAGCTCCAAAAGGAGCATTAATAGGAAACCCCAAAACAATAAACAGCAACAAGACCTAGCAAAATAAGTTTCTTTTTTTTTTTTTTTTTTTTTTTTAGATGGGGGTATCTCACTCTGTCACCCAGGCTGGAGTGCAGTGGCATGATTATAGCTCA
Organism: Homo sapiens; assembly: GCF_000001405.40. Lineage (NCBI taxonomy): Eukaryota > Metazoa > Chordata > Mammalia > Primates > Hominidae > Homo > Homo sapiens. The sequence continues at coordinate 96,812,592 of NC_000010.11, read as the reverse complement.
CTGCAGCCTTGACCTCCCTGGGTTCAGATGGTCCTTCCACCTCCTGAGTAGCTGGGACTACAGGCACATGCCACCATGCCCAACTAATTTTTTATTTTTTTGTAGAGACAAGATTTTGCCATGTTGCCCAGGCTGGTCTGGAACTCCTGGGCTCAAGCCATCTACCTACCTCAGCCTTCCGAAGTGCTAGGATTACAGGCGTGAACCAGCACACCCAGGCAAGTTTTGGAACAAAGGAATTATGAAAGAAATCTCATGGGTCCAGTTAGCAAATGTTGTATCACCAAAGCAGAGAAAAGCATTCAAAGCAGGATCTTCCCATGGTATTCACAATGGCAGAAATTCGAACCCATGTAAAGATTCATATATAAAGCAGTAGACAAAAGAACAAAATTTTAACATTTGATTATTAGTAATAGTGGAAAAAATATAACCAAATTAATATTCACCAAAGGAAATTGGTTATGTAGATGAAACACCCTTTGACTGATTACCTTATAGCCAGTAGAAAGTATGTTCAAGGGCTGGGCGCGGTGGCTCACGCCTGTAATCCCAGCACTTTGGGAGGCTGAGGTGGGCAGATCACTTGAGGTCAGGAATTCAAAACCAGCCTGGCCAACATGGCAAAACCCCGTCTCTACTAAAAACACACAAAAAATTAGCTGGGCGTGGTGGCGGGCACCTGTAATCCCAACTACTCCGGTGGCTGAGGCACGAGAATGCCTTGAACCTGGGAGGTGGAGGATGCAGTGAGCTGAGATCTCGCCACTGCACTCCAGCCTGGGCAACAGAGTGAAACTGTGTCTCAAATTAAAAAAAAAAAAAAATATATATATATATATATATTCAAGAAGAATATTAATAGTCAACATAGCAAAGTATGTTGTTTACCACGTTTCTGGTTCCCTCCACTTCTAGATATGGTAGCATTTCACTTCTTGGCCCCACTGTTTGGGTGGAACCACATGCATGTTGTAGTCAATGAATTAATTGTGAGCAGAAGTGATCGACACACATTTGCACTCCAGCCTAGGCTGCAAAGCAAGACTCTGTCTCAAAAAACAAAAAACAAGAAGTGATACATATGACTCCCAGGCTGGGTCATTTGAGTGTTGACACAGCACCCTCCTGGGCACTCTTTTCTCTGTGGATGGCAGCCAGAAACATTCAAGGTGACACTACTCTGTCAGTTTGGGTCCCTGAGTAAGTCTGATGACCTGAGCCATTCTGCTAACCTTCAATTAATACATAAGGTGAGCAAGTGTTGTTGTGAATATAGATCGTCTGTTACCTCAGCATAAATGAATTTTTGCAAATGGAACCAACATTCTAGGTCAAGTCACTATACACTCCTTCCCACAAGGGAAACTACTATCCTGACTTCTAACCGAATATATTAGTTTTACTTGTTCTTATTCTTTAAAAACTGTTGTCATACAATATGTACTCTTCTTTTTTTGAGTTGAGGTCTTGCTTGGTTGCACATGCTGGAGTGCAGTGGTGCAATCATAGCCCACTGCAACCTTGAACTCCTGGGCTCAAGCAATCCTCCTACCTCAGCCTCCCAAGTATCTGATATGTGCCACCACGCCCAGCTAATTTTTAAATTTTTTTGTAGTAATGAGGTCTCGCTATTGTTGCCTAGGCTGCTCTTAAACTCCTGGACTTAAGCAATCCTCCTGCCTCGGCCTCCCAAAGAGCTGGGATTATAGGAATAAGTCGCTGTGCCTAGCCCAGTATGTACTCTTTTCTGGCTTCCTTTGTTCAATATTGGGCTTGTGAAATTGCTCCATGGGTTTGTGGTCTGTTCATTCTCATTGATGAGTGCTATTCATTGTATAAATGAACTACATTTTAGTATTTGACTGTTAATGGGCTTTTAGGCAATAGTTTCCAGTACTTGACATACAAATAATGCTCCAACAAATATTCTGGTATATACCTTTTAGTGAACATATGTGTGCATTTCTGTTGCGTATATACGTAGAAGTGGAATTGCTGGCTCATAGAGTATACATATGTTCAGCTTTGGTAGATAGTGTGAAACAGTTTTCCAAAAATAGGTGTACCAATTTATACACTCACTATCAGTGTAGGAGTGTTCTGGAAGTTCCAACATTTGGCTTTTTTTTTGTTTTTTCACTTTAGCCATTCTGGAGGTAACTGGTGAAGTTAAACACCTTTTCACATATTTATTGGCCATTTGGGGTTTTTTTTTGGAAAGCCACCTGTTCATCTTTTGTCCATTTTCCTATTGGGTTGTCTTTCTATTTCATTAGACAGTAGTTCACTCCTTATCTGTGGGGAATACATTCCAAGACCCCAAGTGAATGTCTGAAACCACTGATGGTACCAAGTCCCATACAGGTGAAGTATCCCTTATCTGAAACGTTTGGGACCAGAAGTGTTTCAGATTTTTGATTTTTTCAAATTTTGGAATAATTGCAGAATACATACTGGTTGAGTATCCTTAATCTGAAAGTTCAAAATCTGAAACCCAAAATGCTCCAATGAGCATTGCCTTTGAGTGTCATGTCAGCACTCAAAAAGTTTCAGATTTTGGATTTTGGATTTTTAAATTAGGGATGCTCAACTTGTATATACTATTTCCTACACACACATATATATATATACGTACATACCTAAGAAGGTTTAATTTATAAATTTGGCACAGCGGGAGATTAACAACAGTAAAGGATAAGTAAATAGAACAATTATAACAATATACTGTAATAAAAGTTATGTGAATGTGGTCTCTCTCTCAATATATCTTCTTGTATTATACTAAAGATAACTGGAACTGAGGAGAGTAAAGCATGATAAGGGGGACTTTCCTGTATTTTGAGAGACAGATCATGTTCACTTAACTTTTATTATAGTATATTGTTATAATTGTTCTATTTTATTAGTAGACATTTTTATTAATCTCTTACTTTGCCTAATCTATAAATTAAACTGTATCAAAGTTATGTATCAGAAAAAGCACAGTGCAGTATACATAAGATTCAGTACTATCTGTTGTTTCAGGCATCCCCTGGAAGTCTTGGAATGTATCCTCTGTGAACGAGGGGGCACTACAGTATATTCCTTATTTATAAAGTTGTTGTTTACATATAGTTTATATATTTTGGATATGAATCTTCTGTAGAATATGCATATTATATTTTGAATATATTCTCTCATCTGTGCATTGGCTTTTCATTCTTGTGATATATTCTCTTTTGGAGTATAAATTCTTAATTTTAAGATGCTCCAATTCTTTTTCTTTTATAATTAGTGCTTTTGTCTTGTTTTTAAATGTTTTGCCTGCTCCAAGATGAAGGAGATATTCTCTTTTTCTTTTTTTGAGACGGAGTCTTTCTCTGTTGCCCAGGCTGGAGTGCAATGGCACGATCTCTGCTCCCTGCAACCTCCGCCTCCTGGATTCAAGCAATTCTCCTGCCTCAGCCTCCCAAGTACGTGGGATTATAGGCATGTGCCACCACACCTGGCTAATTTTGTATTTTTAGTAGAGATGGTGTTTTGCCATGTTGGCCAGGCTGGTCTCGAACTCCTTGCCTCAGGTGATCCGCCCGCCTCGGCCTCCCAAAGTGCTGGGATTACAGGCGTGAGCCACTGCACCCAGCCTAATTTTTGTTTTTTTAGTTGAGATGGGGTTTCACCATGTTGGGCGCGCAAGTCTCAAACTCCTGACCTCAGATGATCCACCTGTCTTGGCCTCCTAAAGCACTGGGATTACAGGTGTGAGCCACTGTGCCCGGCCCTCCTTCTGATATTTAGGTCTTAAAATTTGACCGTGATATAGTCTATAGTTTCCAATGTACAGGTTTCACACATCTTTCATTAGATTTATTCCTAAGTATTTGATTTGTGATGATATTCTTAGTGGGTTTTTTGGAAACTCATTTTATACTTGTTTAATGCTGGCCCATCCATAAATAAAATTGTTAAATAAAGTTTTTGTTTTGGAATGATTTTAGATGCAACAGAAAAATTGCAGATAATACCCTCCACCCAACTTCCCTTAATGTTAACATAACCATTGTACATTTGTCAAAACTAAGAAATTAACATTGAAACAATACTATTTACTCAACTATACACTTTAATTAGATTTTAGCAGTTTTTCCACTATTGTCATTTTTTTGTTCCAGGGTCTGATATGCCTGTAATCCCACCACTTTGGGAGGTTGAAGCGGGAGGATCGATTGAGCTCGAGTTCGAAACCAGCCTGGGGCAAAATCAAAAAATTACTTTCTATCAAAAATAAAAAAAATTAGTTGGGCATGGTGGTGCACACCTGTAGTCTCACCTACTCAGAAGGCTGAAGTGGAAAGTTCACTTGAGCTCAGGTATTCAAGGTTGCAGTGTGCTCCAGCCTGGGTGACAGAGCAAGACCCTGTCTCAAAAAAAAAAAAAAAAAAAAAAGCAACATTGCATTTAGTCACCATGTCTTCTTGGTCTCCTCCAGCCTGTGGCAGGCTTTCCTTGCTCTTCATGACCTTGAAACTTTGAAGAGTTCTGGTCAGGTATTTTGTAGAATGCCCCTCAGTTTGGGTTTCACTGTTGTGTTCTAATGATTACAGCAGGGTTATGGGACTTGAGGAAGAATACCACAAGAGGTGAGGTGTCCTTCTCTGTGGATCATGTCAGCTGGTACATGATGTCAATATGAGAGATCCCGGGTTGATGCAAACCTTGATCACTTCATTAAGATGATATCTGCCAGGTTTCTCCAATATAAACTTATTTTCTTTCTATACTGTCTTCTTTGGATGCAGTCACTAAGTCCAGTCCACACCAAAGCGGAGTTTTCCTTTTTAGTCTTTTCTTGGCATCCTCCCCTTAAAACTATTGATCTGTATCTGTCACTATATCTATTATCTGTTATCTATGATCTATGATGCATTATATCTATAATCTATTATGTCACTACTGTATTTCTTAGAGTTTTATGTAAATGAAATAATATAGTATGTACTCATCTTTGTCTGTTTTTTCACTCAGAATAATTCTTTTTCATGAGAGAACATGAACCAGAATTTCTTTTTTTTTTTTTTTTTGAGACGGAGTCTGGCTTTTTTACCCAGGCTAGAGTGCAGTGGCATGATCTCGGCTCACCACAACCTCCGCCTCCCAGGTTCAAGTGATTCTCCTGCCTCAGCCTCCCAAGTAGCTGGGGCTACAGGTGTGCACCAGCATGCCCTGTTAATTTTTGTATTATTAGTAGAGATGGGATTTCACTATGTTGGCCAGGCTGGTCTCGAACCCCTGACCTCGTGATCTGCCTGCCTCGGCCTCCCAAAGTTCTGGGATTACAGGCGTGAGATACCGCGCCCGGCCATGAACCAAAATTTCTAAAAAGAAAATGATTAAAATTTTAAAAAGTAAACTTAAAATTACTTTTACATTTTGATATGTTTTCACTTTGGTTGAAATATGCACAGCTACTTATGCATCACTTTTAAAAAAGTTCAAAATACCATATAATTTCTCTTTTGATTTTGTTCTTTGACCCATGGGCTATTTAGAAGTATATTACCTTGCTTCCAAAATATTATAGTTTTTCTATAGATCTTTCTGTTACTGACTTCTAATTTAATCCCATTATAGTCAGAGAACATACCATATGATTTTAATCTTTTCAAATTTATTAAGATTGTTTTATGGTCCAGAATATGGTCAGTCACGATAAATATTTCACATGTTCTTGAGAAGAATGTGTATTCTGGCTGGGTGCAGTGGCTCATGCCTGTAATCCCAGCACTTTGGGAGGCCAAGGTGGGCGGATCACTTGAGGTCAGCAGTATGAGACCAGCCTGGCCAACATGGTGAAACCCCGTCTCTACTAAAAATACAAAAATTAGCTGGGCTTGGTGGCATGTGCGTGTAATCCCAGCTACCCTGGAAGCTGAGGCAGGAGAATCACTTGAACCTGGGAGGCGGAGGTTGCAGTGAGCCAAGATTGTGCCAATGCAACTCCAGCCTGGGTGACAGGGCGAGACTCTGCCTTAAAAAAAAAAAAAAAAAGAATGTGTATTCCGCTGTTGTTGGCTGGAGTCAAATAAGTTGAGAGTATTGTTCAAGTCAGCTCTGTCCTTGCTTATTTTCTGTCTACTTAATTCTTGGGAGAAGTGTATTGAAAACTCTGATTATAATTATGGATTTGTGGATTTTCTTTAAAGCCTTGGTCTTCACATGTGCAGACAATGTTGACTGTATGCCAGTATTGTTTATAAAGTACCATATATGCTCCAGATGGTGTTATAGCCCATCATAGAGAATTCACTCTTTAATCTGTCGGGCTGATAGAGGAGGGGGCTGATAATCTCATTTCAATCTGGGACTGAGCATGGGTGGGATTAGGATGGGGGCCTGGGTATCGTAGAAGTGGATTAGACTCAGCCTGTCTCTGATTTGTTCTCTTTCCTTGGGAATGGCCCTCTAGGGCTTTTAAAATTGAGAAAAAGGAGTTTGTTACCTTTCTTGAAGGTTTTCAGAAAATTAAGTTCTGCTCTTAAAAGGTTTTCAGATTGGGTATTCAGTCTCCTACCCCAAGCATCTTCAAAATTTGGCATGCGGCTTCCAGGGGAGACTAGGCGCCTCCATTTAACATCTGAAATATTCAATTTGTCTCCCTACTGGTCCACATGTATACCAAAATCTCAGCTGATTTCACCGTTTTCTGTACTGGGAGCTTCTGCTCTGGGGCCAACCCTGGATTCTCAGCCTCTGGTTATACCCAGAATAAAAAAGTATCTAGAGCCTCTGTATCAATACTCCTTCTGAGGCTAACTCTTATCTGTTTCCATTTTAGTCCTCTTTCTATTGGTAATACTGTGGTATCATTTCTTTTTCAAATTTATATCTGATTTTTTTTACTAAGATATACATTTAGTTTACCTTTCTTCATCTTGTTTACTGTGATTTCACTGTTCTTGAAATATATATATCTAAATCACTTTTCAAATGTATATTTTACCTTCTTTACGATTCTAAAGTATGCATAAATCATTTTCAAAAAAAAGCTAAAAAGAGGCCTTCCTAGGACTTTGACTTCTGTCAGTATGACAGGCTACATACTAGAAAGCACCCTGCTACTCTAAAACAAGGAGATTCTGGAAAAGGATTTTAAATACATTTTATTTATTTTATTTATTTAAATACATTTTATTTCAGTAAATAAGTAAAATCTTCAAATTGTCCAAAAAAAAAAAAAAAAAAAAAAAGGCTCAAACCAGCATGGGAGCATGAATATTAAGAGGCTTGGAGTTTGGTATTGCCCTAAGGGTAAATGTAGACATATGAGTGTTTACAATTGTTTGGAGACAAACTTTGGGCTAGTTCCAGACAGGTCTCTTGAACCTGAGATTCCTAAATAAGGAAAAATATTGGAAAAAACTAAAGTAGTTCCAGAAGGGTAGCTCCTGTTGGCTTCTAGTAAAAGCATGAAAAAATCCCCAATATAAGCCTTCAGGATCCCCAAAGAGTAAGATAAATACCTCTGTTCTTACAATAAGAAACAGAGATCAGCAAACATAAGAAAAAATGTCAGTGTGATTAAGTTAGAACAACAAACAACAGATTTAGACCTCCATGGTCTTCAAATATGGGAATTATAATATTCAAATTATAAAATAGCTTTATATGAAATACTATGAATTTTTAAATGGAATTACAAAACAAGCAACAAAGACGGTCATAAATAATTGGAATTTTTAAAATAGAAATAAACAATGTATGTGAAAATGAAAAATATAATTGTTGACATTTTAAAACCTCATAAAGCCATGGCTGAAACTGCAGATTACACATGGATGAAAGGAGAATTATATCATGGAAGCTGAATCTGAATAAATTACCTAGAATGTAATAGAGAAAACAAGAAGATGGAAATTATAAAAGTGGGATTAACAGATGTGCAAAATAGAATAAATCTAATTTATGAATATCTGGGAGATTAGTGAGAATATAGAAAAAGGAATAATTAAAGGATTAATGATTATTTTTCAATTCTGATGAAAGATATAAATTTATGAATGCCCAAAACATGATTTATAGCAAGCTTGATAAATAAAAAGGACTCTAGTCTGGGCATGGTGGCTCACGCCTATAATCCTAGCACTTTGGGAGGCCAAGGCAGTCATAGCACTTGAGTCCAGGAGTTTGAGACCAGCCTGGGCAACACAGCAAAACTCCATCTATACAAAAAATACAAAAATTAGCCATATGTGGTGGCACACATCTGTACTCCCAGCTACTTGGGAGGCTGAGTTGGCTTGGCAGGTTGAGGCTGCAGTGAGCTGAGATTTTTGCCACTGCACTCCAGCCTGGGTGACAAAATGAGACCCTGTCTCAAAAAAAAAAAAAAAAAACGAAAAAAAAAAAAGTTCAAAAAGGACTCTAGACCTAGATACCTTATAGTAAAACTCCAGAGAACAAAGGTAAACATATTTTAAAAGCATCTTTTTTTTTTTTTTTAAGATGGAGTCTTGCTCTGTTGCACAGGCTGGAGTGCAGTGGCGCGATCTCGGCTCACTGCAAGCTCCGCCTCCCAGGTTCACGCCATTCTCCTGCCTCAGCCTCCCGAGTAGCTGGGACTACAGGCGCCCGCCACCACGCCCGGCTAATTTTTTTTGTATTTTTAGTAGAGACGGGGTTTCACTGTGGTCTCGATCTCCTGACCTTGTGATCCACCCACCTTGGCCTCCCAAAGTGCTGGGATTACAGGCGTGAGCCACAGCACCCGCCCTTTAAAAGCATCTTTAAAAAAAATTTCCTATTGATGAATGACAACTAGACTACAGATTTCATAACAACAAAGGTAGAAAATATATTTATCAATAATATCTTCAATGTGCTAAAAAAATCATTAACTGTCAACCTGGAATTAGATAAATCATTGTCCACTTTGAATTATGTACCTAGAAGAATTATCTTTCAGGAATGAGGGAAAAATACAGCTATTTTGAGGCTAACAACATCTGAGAGAATCTGCCACAGCTGACCTTCACCAAAAGAATGTCTAAAAAATGACTTCAGGAAGAAGAAAAACGGTCTCAGAATGAAAACCCAAGATCCAGAAAGTGATAGTGAGGAAAGAAAGTGATGCAATCACCCGACAGGTTCCTCCTGCCTGCTGCACAGACAAAATCACTGAGGCCTGCCACTGAGACCATGGCATTGCAGTGGAGAAAGAATTCAGTTGACCCAAGGCCAGCCCATGAAGGACAACTGGAGTTATCACCCTGATCAATCTCCCTGAAGGCTCAGAGCTTAGGGATTTTGTGGACAATTTGGTGGGCAGGGGGCTAGGGAATGGGTGCTGCAGCTTGGTTGGGGATGAAAACATAGGGATGTGGAAACTATCCTCATGAGATGAGCTGAGTCTGCCTCTGGGTGGGACCACAGGACCAGCTGAGTCACGGCTCAGGAGTCTGGGTGGGGTCAATATGAAAAACATCTCAAAAAAGACCAATCTTGGGTTCTACACTATAGATAACATCTAGAGTGATGTTATCTATAGGAGCAATTGGGAAAGTGACAACTCTTGTGACCTTTGGCCACATGACCCATGAGCAGTAAGGGATTATAGAAACTGTGTCTACATCTAAAAGAAAGAAAGAAAGAGAGAGAGAAAGAAAGAAAAAGAAAGAGAAAGAAAGAAGGAAAGGAAGAAAAAGAAAGGAAGGAAGGAAGGAAGGAAAGAAAGGAAAGGAAGAAAAAGAAAAAGAAAGAAAGGAAAGAAGGAAGGAAGAAAGGAAAGAAAGAAAGAAAGAAAGAAAGAAAGAAAGAAAGAAAGAAAGAAAGAAAGAAAGAAACTAACTATGTCTACATCTTATAAGAGTTCAGACCTTTACCATAATCCTATTCCTGTGGCCTTTCATTAGTCTGACAAAGGTGGTTTTTGGCCCCTGAGCAAGGAAGGGGTTAGTTTTAGGGAAGGACTGTTATGATCCTTGTTTTCAAGTTAAACTCTAAACTAAATTCCTCCCAAAGTTAGCAGTTAAAATTCAGAGATTATCAGATTGTTATAAAATGAATGCCCATTGCAAAGGATTTGGAAAAAGAAAGAAGAAAGAATAATTAATTTTAATTTTAAAAAAAAGAAGCAAAGAAGAAAAAAAAATGCCAAGGCTTTCTAGATGTGGCCATGATGAAGTAACAGGTATTAGGCTTACTCTTCCATCAGAAACAACAAAATTGGCAAATATATGAAGCGACTGTATCTAGGCATTGAACAACAGATAGTGCTTCCTGTGATCTTTGAGAAAAATGCAAATACATGAAATGTGCTCCGTATTCAACACAGCTTTCTGCCCGGGCACACTTTCCAAACCAGGGTGCAGAGAGGTGAAGCCTAATTAGAATACAAATATGTTGCTGAGCTGAAGAAGCAGAGATCAGAGTTCCAAATGGTGGTAGTGGCTGTAATTTTTGAGCGGAATAGAAGAAAGTAGAGGTGTACACAGAAAAGGAGCTCAAGAAATACAAAGGGATTCCCTTAGTCTTTGGCTGAATACTAAGTGGTACATGCACAAGAAAACATCCACAAATTCTGGCAGAAAACAGCTACTGGTGGGTTGCAAGAAGAGAGATAACTTGGAGTCGCTGGGAGAGTGTAGGAATACCAAATTATAGTTCTGAATAGAAAAAAGTACAGAGAGTCTCTCTGAGCCTACACTGGCTTCAGAGCCTGCCTGATTAAAAAAAAAAAAAAGGCTGGGAGCGGTGGCTCACGTCTGTAATCCCAGCACTTTAGGAGGGTGGATCACTTGAGGTCAGGAGTTTGAGACCCTCCCTTTCTGTTTCTCTCTCTCTCGCTCTCTCTCTCTCTGCCTGTTTCTCTCCTTCTCTCTCTGTCTGTCTCTGTCTTTCTCTGTCTGTCTCTTTCTCTGTCTGTCTCTTTCTCTCTGTCTCTGTCTCTCTCTCTCTCTCTCTGCCTGTCTCACTGTGTCTGTCTTCTGTCTCATTCTCTTTCTCTGTCTGTCTGTCTCTCTCTCTCCCTTCCTGTCTGTTTCGGTGAAACCCTGTCTCTAGCAAAAAAAGAAAAAAATATATATATGTATATATACACACACATATGTATATACACACATATGTATATATGTATATACACACACTTATATACGTATACACACATATGTATATACGTATATACACACATGTATATACGTATACACACATGTATATACGTATACACACATGTATATACGTATACACACACGTGTGCATGTATGTATACACACACGTGTGTATATGTGTGCGTGTGTATACACACATATGTGTATATGTGTACATGTGTGTACACACACATATGTGTATATGTGTGCATGCGTGTATACACACATCTATGTATATACACATATATGTATATATGCATATATGTGCATGTGTATATATATACACACGCATGTGTATATACACACATATATGTGTGTATACACATATATACACACATATATGTGTGTATATACATACATACACACATACGTGTGTATATACATACATACACACACATACATACGAAAATTAGCTGGTGTGATGGCACATGCCTGTAATCCCAGCTACCTGGGAGGCTGAGACCTTGGCTTACTGCAAGCTCAGCCTCCCGGGTTCACGCCATTCTCCTGCCTTGACCTCCTGAGTAGCTGGGACTACAGCTGCCTGCCACCATGTCCAGCTAATTTTTGTATTTTTAGTAGAGACAAGGTTTCACTGTGTTAGCCAGGATGGTCTCCATCTCCTGACCTCGTGATCCGCCCGCCTCGGCCTCCCAAAGTACTGGGATTACAGGCCTGAGCCACTGCGCCCAGCCGGTCATAGGTAGATTTTAAAATTTTCTGATTGGCTATTGGTTGAAAGAGTTATTATCAATAGACATGAATGTCTGGGTTACATTAAAGGGTTGTGGACACCAAGGTTTAATCATGCAGATGAAGCCTCCGGGTAGCAGGCTTCAAAGAGAATAGATTGTAAATGTTTCTTATCAGACTTAAGGTCTGTGTTAATGTTAATGCTGGTTGGCTTTTCCTGAATTCCAAAAGGGAGGAGGGTATAATGAAGCATGTCTGACCCTCCCTTCCCATCATGACCTGAACCAGTTTTTCAAGTTAACTTTGGAATCTCCTTGGCCAAGAGAAGGGGTCCATTCAAATGGTTGGGGGACCTTGGAATTTTATTTTTGGTTTACATAGTGAAGGCTAGCTTATTACAGGCTTTTTTTTTTTCTTTTTTCTTTTTTTTGACAGAATCTCACTTTATCTCCCAGGTTGGAGTGCAGTGGCACAATCTCACTTCACCGCAACCTCTGCCTTCTGGGTTCAAGCAATTCTCCTGCCTCAGCCTCCTGAGGAGCTGGGATTACCAGCTCCCAGGTAATCTAGGAGCTGGGTACACACCACCACGCCTAGCTAATTTTTGTATTTTTAGTAGAGATGGGGTTTCACCTTGTTGGCCAGGCTGGTCTCAAACTCCTGACCTCAGGCGATCCACCCACCTTGGCTTCCCAAAGTGCTGGGATCACAGGCATGAGCCACCATGCTGGCCTGATATTTTATTTTATTTTATTTTATTTTATTTTTTCATTTTTAATTATTTTTGAGACCAAGTTTCACTCTTGTTGCCCAGGCCAGAGTGCAATGGCGCAATCTTGGCTCACCACAACCTCCACCTCCCGGGTGCAAGCGATTCTCCTGCCTCAGCCTCCTGAGTACCTAGAATTACAGGCATGCGCCACCACACTTGGCTAATTTTGCATGTATAGTAGAGATGGGGTTGTCAGTATAGTAGAGATGTTGGTCAGGCTGGTCTCGAACTCCCAACCTCAGGTGATCCGCCCACCTCAGCCTCCCAAAGTGTTGGGATTACAGGCATGAGCCACCACACCTGGCCCTGATATTTTATTTTTATAATTCTTTTTTTTTTTTTGAGGTGGAGTCTCACTCTGTCGCCCAGGCTGGAGTGCAGTAGTGCGATCTTGGCTCACTGCAACCTCCACCTCCCGGGTTCATGCCATTCTCCTGACTCAGCCTCCTGAGTAGCTAGGACTACAGGCGCCCACCACCACGCCCGGCTAATTTTTTATATTTTTAGTAAAGATGGGGTTTCACCATGTTAGCCAGGATGGTCTCGATCTCCTGACCTCGTAGTCCGCCTGCCTCGGCCTCCCAAAGTGCTGGGATTACAGGCGTGAGCCACCGCGCCCAGCCAATTCTTTTTAAGAGACAGGGTCTTGCCACATTGCCCAGATTGGTCTTGAACTTCTGAGCTCAAGTGATCCTCCTGCCTCAACCTCCCAAAGTGCTGGGATTACAGGCACAAACCACTGTGCCTGGCCTTTTTAAAAATAGAGACAGGGTTTCCCCATGTTGCCCAGGCTAGTCTCAAACTCCTGGGCTCAAGCAATCTGCCTGCCTTGACCTCCCAAAGTGCTGGGATTATAGGTGTGAACCACTGCACCCAGCTCATTCAACATTTTGAATGAAGAAAAGAGTGAATGAGTCTAGGAGCTATTATCAAGCCCAGTGGAGCTCACATCTGGTCTGAATGTTTGATACCAGCTGGGGTGGGAGTAGTGAGCATTACATTGTCAGATCCACTCAAGGTATCAAGCCATTGGCTGAATGGAGAAGGGAAGAGTGACACTGGGGTCTAGCTTCTTGGGATGAAAAGTCAGCCAAGACATAAGTGCATTGAGTACTCATGTTTCAGGGCCCTCTTTAGGGAGAACAGAAGGCTGACTAGTGTCCGGCCAAGCTGGAAGCATCTGTTTTATCTACTGCTCTCTGTTACTAATTAACTATGGGCGCCCCTATTGCCAACACCCTTGTGCTCAAACACAATTAAATTTTAAAATAACATGACTTTAGGAAGAACTGTCCAAAGTGCAGTGGTCTGTGGATGGGAGTTGCCAGGGTGTAGGCAGCAATGATAGCTGAGATCAGAAATCCTTTCTGCCTGTTTACTTTGACCAAGAATCGGACCCAAGTTCTCCCCTGGAGTAGAGAAGGATGGGGAATCTTCTAAGCTGGGTGTGGTGATCTCTTTAAAATCTCAAACATGAGGCCAGGCGCGGTGGCTCATGCTTGTAATCCCAGCACTTTGGGAGGCCGAGGCGGGCGGATCACAAGGTCAGGAGATCAAGACCATCCTGGCTGACACGGTGAAACACTGTCTCTACTAAAAGTACAAAAAAATTAGCCGGGTGTGGTGGCGGGTGCCTGTAGTCCCAGCTACTCGGGAGGCTGAGGCAGGAGAATGGTGTGAACCTGGGAGGCGGAGCTTGCAGTGAGCCGAGATCGCACCACTGCACTCCAGCCTGGGCGACAGAGCGAGACTCTGTCTCAAAAAACAAACAAACAAAAAATCTCAAACATGAGATCAAAACCTGATCACATGAAATCTGAACCTTCTGTATTACAGACCTTGGCCCTCATGGAACCCCTTTTGGCCTTGCCCAGAAGATGTCTGAACCCTAGAACCTGAGTAGGGTTGTGGGAAGAGCACTAGAGAGGTGGGAAGGGGACTTCAACTTTAGTTTGGACCTTACCCGTGCGGCCCTAGGCATGTTTCCTGATCGTCTGGGCCTCAAAGGAAAACCAACTGGACCAGCATTCCCAAAGTATCCCCAGGATTTTAACAGGTGTTACGGAAAAGGGAGTTCTGTTAACCAGTGTTTCCCAAACGGTCGTATGGAACACTCACTGGTGTTAGGTGGGATGACCTGAGCAGGTTCTGGGATCAAATTAATATTTTTACTCATTCTAACTAATTTTGGCAAATGATCCTCATTTTTCCACTCATAGTAGTGAGATAAAATGCTCTTTTAGAATGTACCTTTTAAAAGGTGAGTAGATTTAAAGAAAGAAGATCAAGTCAGTAACAGTTCAGGTTGCTGATGTGGCAAAACGCGTGAAGGCAGTACACAAATTACTGAGACTTGAGGTAATTCTCTATTAAACCAAATAACGTGGCTTATTTGTTGCAGGACTCCTGAGGAATTTTGTCTTGTTGATGGCCACTTTGTTTCTTCAAGGAGGGATTTGGCACCTAGCATTTCTTGAATTTATTTGACCATAGAACCACTCTTTTGGCCGAGTGTGGTGGCTCATGCCTGTAATCCTAGAACTTTGGGAGGCCGAGGTGGACAGATCTCCTGAGGTCAGGAGTTTGAGACCAGCCTGGCCAACATGGTGAAACCCTGTCTCTACCAAAAATACAAAAATATTTATCCAGGCATGGTGGCATGCATCTGTGGCCCCAGCTACTCAGGAGGCTGAGGCAGGATAATCACTAGAATCCAGGAGGTGGAGGTTGCAGTGAGCTGAGATCAGGCCACTGCACTCCAGCCTGGGTGATAGAGCAAGACTCTGTCTCAAACAAAACAAAACAAAACGAAACAACAACAACAACAAAACGCTCTTTTTCTTTAAAGTAACAGAGCATCTTGTTAGATTCTAGTTCTGGAGATTGTTCTTCCAAGAAATGCTTATGAGAAGTGAAGAGGTGGCTTTTAGAGCTGATATTCTTAAGACCTTGGTTCCTTCTCCTTCCCTATGTTGGTTGGAAATTCTTAGAAGGGAGCACAGGGATGGAGCTGGAAACAGCCATCTAAGCAGGTTTAGATCATGGTTAAAAGCACATTCGCCCCTACATGCAATGTAATATCCTGGATTGGATGCTGAAACAGAAAAGGGATATTAGGGGAAAAAAACCCTAGTGAAATTTGGAGTTTAGTTAATATTAGTTAAAACTAGTGGCATATAGTCTGGAGTTTAGTTAATACCAATGTGCCAAGGTTGGTTTCCTAGTTTTGACAATGTACTGTGATAATGTCAGATGTTAACAATAGGGGGCTGGTCGTGGTGGCTCACGCCTGTAATCCCAGCACTTTGGGAGGCTGAGGCGGGTGGATCACTTGAGGTCAGGAGAAGTTCCAGACCTGCCTGGCCAACATGGTGAAACCCCATCTCTACTAAAAATACAAAAATTAGCTGGGTGTGGTGGCACGTGCCTGCAATCCCAGCTACTCTGGAGGCTGAGGCAGGAGAATCACTTGAACCCAGGAAGCGGAGGTTGCAGTGAGGCGAGATCACACCACTGCACTGGGTGACAGAGCAAGACTGTGTCTCAAAAAAAAGTGGGTGGGGGGAAACTAGTTATGGGGTATACAGAACTCCCTGTGCCATATTTGTAACTTTTTTTGGTAAATCTAAAGCTATTGTACAGTTAAAATGTTTATTTTTAATTATTTATTTATTTTTTGAGACAGAGTCTCACTCTGTTACCCAGGTTGGAGTGCAGTGGTGTGATCTCAGCTCACAGCAACCTCCGCCTCCCGGTTCAAGCGATTCTCCTGCCTCAGACTCCTGAGTAGCTGGGACTACAGGCACGCGCCACCACACCCAGCTAATTTTTGTATTTTTAGTAGAGATGAGGGTTTCACCATGTTGGCCAGGCTGGTTTCGAACTCCTGACCTCAAGTGATCCAGCTGCCTCGGCCTCCCAAAGTGCTGGAATTACAGGCATGAGCCAACATGGCTGCCTAAAATGCTTATTTTTTTAAAAGCACATTAGACCAAAGTTTGGCTGGGTGCAGTGGCTCATGCCTGTAATCCCAGTACTTTGGGAGGCTGAGGCAGGTGGATCACTGAGGTCAGGAGTTCCAGGCTAGCCTGGCCAATATGGTGAAACCCCATCTCTACTAAAAATACAAAAATTGGCTGGGCATCATGACACATGCCTGTAATCCCAGCTACTCGGGAGGCAGAGGCACGAGAATTGCTTGAACCCAGGAGGTGGAAGTTGCAGAAAGTGGAGATCGTGCCACTGTACTCCAGCCTGGCTGACAGAGCGAGACTCTGTCTCACAAAAAAAAAAAAAAAAAAAAAAAAAAAAAAAAAATTATACCAAAGTTTGATTCTCTGATTCTGCCACTTACTAGGTAGTTTGGGCAAGAGATTTAACCTCTTTAATTTTTTGTTTCTTCATCAGAAAAATGTGACTTATAATAGTTCTATTTCAATAGCTTGATGGGAAGATTAAATGATGACCTGACAATAAAGCGTCTAGCACAGCATCTAATATGGAGCAAGACATCAATTCATACCAGGTGATCAAGGCTCAGTCGGGCCAGGCACTCTGCTCAACAGGAAAAAACAGGGTTAAGCTGAAGCGGAACAAGAGAGTAGAGGAATCAAATTCACTCACTCACCAAACCCCTGCTGAGACCCCTCCATGCCCTCCATGTGCCTTTGCTGGTTCCGAGTTTGGCCCTGTAGGGAGACTCCTAGTAACAGTAAAAGGGAGGGGCACTTTGCATCCTCCTCAATTACATTCTGTTCCCATCACCAGCCCTCCCAGTCACAGCCCGGCCCCTCCAACATTCCTCAACTTCAAATTAAGTTTAGGGCCAAAGTCCCCTTGGGGCCAGAGACGGGAACACTCTCCAGTCCAAGGACCTGAGGGTGCCAACCTCTCTGACAACAGAAGCTGCGGGCAGTCAGGCTATGGCCATAAAATCCTCCCCAGGTCTTGGTGGGCAAGGCTGAGAGAGACTGTGGTTCTAGAACTCTGCTAACCCTGCCAGAGTCTGTACCTAAGTAACAAGTGGGTGGAGAAGAGAGAGAGAATTAGCCACTTACTTCCATGTGCAGACACACTGGCATTTATTGCAGGCTTATCACAAAAGTCTGCTAGTTATTATATTTCGTAACAGTTATTGGAGGGTTGGAAGGAAAGCAAGACCTAGGAGACACTCAAAGGGAGAAAAACAGAAACAAAACCAAAAAATTTTATGGAGGGCCTTTAGCTCTCTTCTCAGACAATCCTCGTCCACGCAAAGTGTTAACACAGAAGGTTGAAGATACATTTTATTCTCTAAAAATAAATATATAGGCTGGCCATGGTGACTCATGCCTGTAATCCCAGCACTTTGGGAGGCCGAGGTGGCTGGATCGCTTGAGGTCAGGAGTTCAAGATCAGCCTGACCAACATGGTGAAACCCTCTCTACTAAAAATACAAAATTAGCTAGGTATGATGGCACACGCCTGTAGTCCCAGTTACTCGGGAGGCTGAGGCAGGAGAATCACTTGAACCCAGGAGGCAGAGGCTGCAGTAAGCCAAGATTGTGCCACTGCACTCCAGCATGGGCGAGACAGAGTAAGACTCGAACTCAAAAAAAAAAAAAAATATATATATATATATATGTATATATATATATATATGCATACAATACATGAGATTCTGCTCAGGGTAGTGTCAATGTAGGCTCAAGGGGATGGTGGTGGGAAAGAGCAGAATTGGTTTAGACAAGGCACTTGACTGAGAAGTGAAAAGTAACTGCATTCAGAATCACAGGTAGGCAAAATTTCACTATCTTTTTCCAATGAGTTGCAGGAATGCTATTTCTTCTTTGCAGATTAATTTGTTTCTAGCTATTTTACTAAACCTACATTAATTTCAATACTTTTAACCCATTCTTTTTAGTTGTTAGTACTGAAACTATATCATCTAAAATATCTTTGTTTCTTCATTTTTACTGTTTGTTGCTTTTATTTCTATTTCATATCTTATTGCAGTAGAAATAATTTTCAAAACAGTACATAATTATAATTAAGAAATAGTGGGCATCATTCTTCTGAGGGGAATTCATCTCATGTTTCTCCTTGAATTTGATTTGGTTTAGATGAATTATTCTTTATTGTGTCATGTCATTTTTCCCATAGAGTGATTCATCTCTTCTCCTCTCTGCTAATTTAATTCCTACCCATTCTACCAAAGATCATCTGAAATCTCACCACTCTCGCCAAGTGTGCATATACAAAAGCATGTGTATGGACACCCAGCTAGTCTTAATGTAGTTTTTTATATTTCACAGAGGATTTTCATGTACAGATTCTCTTTTTTTGGTGGGGGCGTGGCGGGGACAGGGTCTGGCTGTGTTTCCCAGGCTGGTGTGCAATGGTGCTATCTCAGCTCACTGCAACCTCCATCTCCCAGGCTCAAGCCATCCTCCCACCACAGCCTCCCAAGTAGCTGGGACTCCAGATGCATGACCAGCTAATTTTTGTATTTTTTGTAGAGACAGGATCTCACCATGTTGTTCAGGCTGGTCTTGAGCTCCTGGATTCAAGTGATCTGCCTGCCTCTGCCTCCCAAAGTGCTGGGATTACAGGTGTAAACCACCGCAGCTGGCCCCATATAGATTTTCATTTGATGCTTTTTTTTTTTTTTTGAGATGAAGTCTTGCTCTGTCACCCAGGCTGGTGTGCAGTGGCACGATCTTGGGTCACTGCACCCTCCACCTCCCAGGTTCAAGCAGTTCTCTGCCTCAGTCTCCCAAGTAGCTGAGATTACAGGCACCTGCCACCAGACCCGGCTAATTTTTTTGTATTTTTAATAGAGATGGGGTTTCGCCATCTTGGCCAGGTTGGTCTTGAACTCCTGACCTTGTGATCCACTTGCTTTGGCCTCCCAAAGTGCTGGGATTACAGGCATGAGCCACTGCGCCCGGCCATTTGATGCTCTTGACAAACTACGAAGGCGTATATTGTTAGGATTTCCATTTTACATATAAAATTCAATCTTTGTGCAGTTAGGCAACTAGCCCAAGAATGTAAGTGAAATTGACTACAGTTTTGCATTATAGGAAAAAGATTTTTGAATGGCAAGGAATTGCAAGAGTTGAGACAGTCCAAAGTGTCACATCCAACTTGTAAAATAAGGTATTGAAAAGCATCTTACAAGTTTAGCAAAATCAATAGGCTTAACCCCAAATTCTGCAGATTAAGGAAATCTTGGATAACCTTAGCCATAGAAAATCAGTTGCTTCTCAGGTTATTGCTGCTCACAGTGCCATCAATTCATCCTTGTTCTGAAGTGTAAAGATCTGAAAAAAGATCTTACCAACCATTTGCAAGGTTGGACATTGGAGGCTACACCATCAGTTATTAATCTTGGACTGGACTCCTTATCTCTTAGATGGGGTAGACAATAGCATAAAACAGCCTGAAATAAGAAAGTGTCAGAGACCATCCTTCCAAACTGTAAAGGGCTGAAAAGTATTATTTTTAACATTCTAGGCCAGGCATGGTGGCTCACACCTGTAATCCCAGCACTTCAGGAAGCTGAGGTGGGAGGAATGCTTGAGTCCACAAATTTAAGACCAGCCTGGGCAACAGAGAGAGACCTTGTCTCTACAAAATACAAAATTTTAAACCATAAAATCCTAGCCAGTATGGTAGTACACACCTGTGGTCCTGGCTACTCAGGAGGCTGAGGTAGGAGGATCGCTTGGGTTGGGAAGATTGAGGCTACAGTGAGCTGATCATGCCACTGCACTCCAGCCTGGGTGACAAAGTGAAACCCTGTCAAGGAAGAAAAGAAAGAAAGAAAGAGAGGGAGAGGGAGGGGGAGGGGGAGGGGGAGAGGAAGGAAAGAAAGAAAGAAAGGAAGGAAGGAAGGAAAGAGGGAGAGGGAGGGAGGGAGGAAGGATGGAAGGAAGGAGACAGAAAGAGAGAAAGAAAGGGAAAGAGAAAGAAAGGAAGGAAGGAAGGAAGGAAAGAGGGAGAGGGAGGGAGGAAGGATGGAAGGAAGAGAGAAAGAAAGGGAAAGAGAAAGAAAGAAAGAAAAGAAAAAAAGATAAAGGGTCAGAGAAACTCTATCTTCTAATCTTGCTGAGGCAAAGTCAGGATGTTTCGGGAAAAAAAAGGAAAACTTCACTATGCAAGTAATACAAATACATCCTAAATACACACAAAAATTATTTTACAGTGCCATGAGTCTGATGATAGGTTAAAGTTTAGACAAAGCTAAATATAACCATCATTACTTAAGAAATACATATTTTCCTATGATTTCCTGAATCCTTATCTTTACTTTGTTTCCCTTTCCTGGCCAACTTTCCCAAGACATCCTCAGGGTCTGATAGGAAGTGCCTCCTTCCAGGAAAGGCTGGCTACCTGATGTGAATCTTGAGCCTAATAGGTGAGAAAGCAATTCTCCCATACAGAACCACCTACACCTCAGGTGCCCTGGGTTCCCAGAATCTCACTGTTGTAGTTTCTCTTCCAAGACAGGTTTATGTGTGGTTGACTGAACCTCTTTGTAAGACACCATAAGTGCAGGATGAGCATCTAATAAGGGTGGTGGACTCTTTTGACCAACGGATCTGGGGTCCATTTGTTAGTATCTATGATAGGAACATGTATGTGCTCAGGACTTAATCATTCTAGTGGATATGATTACAGGAGACAAAATCACAGGGGTCAAGGTGGAATGAGCACAAAAGGAGTTCGATGTTCTTTTGGAAGTTATTCTTTTAAACTCTAGTATGGTAACCAGAGGAATTGTTCTCTTCTATTCGAAAATATATTTCTACTGAATTTGGCACTGGCCATCTCAAATCAGTACTGTATATTCTTTCCTCTGAGAACTACTGACAAAACACTGGCAAATTATTTATGTCCAGCTCTTTATCCCCCTACTCCATGCAAACCAAAATCTACCTTTACCAAATATCAGCTCTACTATATGCTACAATTCATTTAAAAACTCCTCACCTATATTTTCATGTTAGACCTAGATTGTGATTTCTTTAAGAACATTAAGAATATTTTTTCTCCTCAAAAATATTTACTCTCAGGCCGGGCATGGTGGCTCACGCCTGTAATCCCAGCACTCTGGGGGCCAAGATGGGCAGACAGCTTGAATTTGAGACCAGCCTGGCCAATATGGTGAGACCCATCTCTACCAAAAATACAAAAATTAGCTGGGCGTGGTGGTGCGTGGCTGTAATCCCAGCTACTTGGGAAGCTGAGGCACGAGAATTGCTTGAACCCGGGAGGCAGAGGTTGCAGTGAGCTGAGATCACATCACTGCACTCCAAGCTGGGTGACAGAGCAAGACTGTTAAAAAAAAAATTACTGCTCTTAAAATTGGCTGATCTTAGGAATTCTGGAGAATTTTGATTTAGCAAGCCCGAAAACACCTGTCCATAGAAACTGAAGCTCTGGCCAGGCACCGTGGCTCATGGCTGTTATCCTAGCACTTTGGGAGGCTGAGGTGGGAGGATCACTTGAGCCCAGGAGTTTGAAACCAGCCTGGGCAACATAGAGAGTCTCCATCTCTGTAAATTAAATTAAATTAAATTAAAATTTAAAAGAAAATAAAGAGGAAAAGAGAAAAGAAAGAAGGAAGGAAGGAAGGAAAGAGAGAGAAAGAGAAAGGAAAGGAAATGAAAGGAAAAGAAAGAGGCCAGGCGTGGTGGCTCATGCCTGTAATCCCAGCACTTTGGGAGGCAGAAGCAGGCAGATCACCTGAGGTCAGGAGTTCGAGACCAGCCTGGCCAACATGGTGAAACTCCGTCTCTACTAAAAATACAAAAATTAGCTGG
This sequence comes from Homo sapiens, assembly GCF_000001405.40. Lineage (NCBI taxonomy): Eukaryota > Metazoa > Chordata > Mammalia > Primates > Hominidae > Homo > Homo sapiens. The sequence goes on along the minus strand of NC_000010.11, from coordinate 96,790,195 downwards.
GCATGGTGGTGGGCACCTGTAATTCCAGCTACTCAGGAGGCTGAGGAAGGAGAATTGCTTGAACGCGGGAGGTGAAGGTTACAGTGAGCCAAGATTGCGCTATTGCACTCCAGCCTGGGGAACAAGAGGGAAACTCCGTCTCAAAAAAAAAGAAAGAAGGGAAGAAAGGGAGAGAGAAAGAGAGAGAGAGAAAGGAAGGGAGGAAGGAAGGAAGAAGAGGAGGGGAAGGAAGGAGGGAGGGAGGGAGAGAAGGAGGGAAGGAAGGAGGGAGGGAGCGAGAGAAGGAGGGAAGGAGGGAGGGAGGGAAGGAGAGACTTTAGCTGGGGCAGGGGTATTTTACCAGAACTAGCCCAGTAGTGCACAGTGCCACCTAGTAGTGAGCCTGCACCAGAGGGACCTTCCTTCTGGAAAGTGTGTGACTGCAGAGAAGGGGCTGGACCACAACAGGGTAAAACACTCCCTTGGGTGAGCTATGACAAAGTTTAGCAGCAGATGCTACACATTTACATCCTCTCCGGTTTCTGAGGTCTTGCCTCTCTTAGCTTACAGTTTCCTCTTCTGTACAATAAGGGCAGCCAGGTGAACATGAGGTTCCCTTTCTGGACTGTTTCTTTATAGGGATCAAAATCCCCCTCTAAAGCTTCCCCTCATACTTCCTTTTTTTCTAGCTGCAAGTAAAGAAGATAATAAAATGAAAGTCTTTATTATGAAATGAAAATTTTGTTCTTTGTTCAGGTTGTAGAAGAATGCTTAGGTGTAAGATTTATTTGGCAGAAGTATAAATTGCATTTGGACTGCAAAATTAGGTTCTAGAACACGCAACATACTTAGAAAACAATATGAGAGGCTGGGCACAGTGGCTCTTGCCTGTAATCCCAGCACTTTCGGAGGCCAAGGTGGGCAGATGGCCTGAGGTCAGGAGTTTGAGACCAGCCTGGCCAACATGGTGAAACCCTATCTCTACTGAAAATACAAAAAAGCCAGGCTTGGAGGCAGGCGCCTGTAATCCCAGCTACTCGGGAGGCTCAGGCAGGAGAATCGCTTGAACCAGGGAGGTGGAGGTTGCAGTGAGTGGAGATCATTCCACTGCACCCCAGCCTGGGCAACAGAGCGAGACTGTCTCAAAACAACAACAACAAAACCAATATGAGAATGTTACATTTTTCTTTTCTAAATTGTGAAAACCACATTACAGAGTATTTGGAAAACAGAAGAAGGAACACTACTTCTAACTTCTATCACCGACATTGTGAACATGCTTCCACTTGCTTTTTTTTTTTTTTTTTTTTTTGAGACGGAGTCTTGTTCTGTCGCTGTGTCGCCCAGGCTGGAATGATGCAATGGTGTGAACTCTGCTTACCACAACCTCCACCTCCCGGGTTCAAGCGATTCTCCTGCCTCAGCCTCCCAAGTAGCTGGGATTACAGGCACACGTTACCACACCTGGTTAATTTTTGTATTTTTAGTAGAGATGGGGTTTCACCACGTTGGCCAGGCTGGTCTTGAACTCCTGACCTCAGGCGATCCACCTGCCTCAGCCTTTCAAACTGCTGGGATTACAGGCGTGAGCCACCACCGCACCCGGCAATTTTTGTGTTTTTAGTAGAGACGGTTTTGCCATGTTGCCCAGGCTGACCTCAAACTCCTGGGCTCAAGTGATCTACCTGTTTTGGACTCCCAAAGTGCTGGGATTACAGGCATGAGCCACCACACCTGGCCTGCTTATATTTCTTTCTATATATTTTTATCCCTATCCTTTGCCCATTTTATGAGCTTGTTTATATATTTCTTTCTTATTAATTTGAAGCATATATATATAGATCATATATATAGATCATAGTTAGATCATATATATAGAGAGATAGATAGATCATATATATATGATCTGCCCGCCTCGGCCTCCCAAAGTGCTGGAATTACAGGCGTGAGCCACTGTGCCTGGCCCAGTTATTTATATTTTAATAATATTTACACTTGGTTACATCTTGCAAATATTATCTTCCAGTCTATAATTTATCTTTTGGCTTTGTTTTTTAAAAAGTGTATTTTTGCTGAGTGCTGTGGCTCATGCCTATAATCCCAACACTTTGGGAGGCTGAGGCAGGTGAATCGCTTGAGGACAGTAGTTCAAGACCAGTCTGGCCAACACAGTGAAGCCCATCTCTACTAAAAATAAATACAAAAAAATTAGCAGGGCGTGGTGGTGCATGCCTGAAATACCAGCTACTCGGGAGGCTGAGGCACTACTCAGGTTGGCTCTCTATCTAGAAGAAAACAAAGTTAGCACTTTGCCTCATATGACTCACACTATAAATAGTAAACCCCACAGAGATTGAAAATACCAATACAAAAAAATAAAACTGCTAAAATAGCAGAAAATAAAAGAGAATATTTGTTTTGCTTAACCTCTGTTAACAAAGACTGTGCCAGGTGCCGTGGCTCACACATATAATCCCAGCACTTTGAGGCCAAATGACTTATTTAACATGAACATACCCTTTGATCCAGTAATCCTACTTCTAGAAATGTACTTTATAGAAATAAAAGCACTGGTATATAACAATTTATATGTAAGGATGTGCATTACATAATTTCTTTTATAACAGCCAAAAAATCTGGAATCACCATTAATGTATACAGGGAATGTTTTAATAAATTATGGCAAATCCATAGTAAAAAATATTATGAAGTTATTTAAAAGAATGCTATAGATTTCTACATACATTGACTTAGAAAAATGTTCAGCACTGGCCGGGTCTGGTGGCTCGTGCCTGTAATCCCAGCACTTTGTGTGGGGGTGATCAGACCCAACACCAGGTCATGGGGGTGACACATTCCGACCAAGTCAAAGGAATGAGAAAAACGCATTGAGAGAGAAAGCGGGACCAGGGGGCCATTGCGAGTGTGGAGGCTGCAAAGGCCTCGTGCTCTGGGAGCCCACGCTACTTATTGGTGCTCAAACAAAGAAACAGGTGGTGAGGATGTGGGGGTTGAAAAGAAACAGTGTATCAAGTGAATGAGAAACATATGGCTGCTTGAGATAACGGGAGCGCTAGAAGCAAGGAGCCAGCAAGTCTAGCAGACATGCAAGCCCTGCCTCAGCTTCTCTCCCAACACTCAGCTTTTCTCCCAACACTTTGGGAGGCTGAGGTGGGTGGATCACCCTGAGGTCAGTAGTTCAAGACCAGCCTAGCCAACATGGTGAAACCCCGTCTCTACTAAAAATACAAAAATTAGCCGGGCAAGGTGGTGAGAGCCTATAATCCCAACTACTCAGGAGGCTGAGGCAGGAGAATTGCTTGAACCCAGGAGGTGGAGGTTGCAGTGAGCCAAGATTGTGCCACTGCACTCTAGCCTGGGCGACAGATCAAGATTCCGTCAAAAAAAAAAAAAAAACCAAAACCAAACAAACAAAAAAACCTCATATTTCTGTATATGGATAGAAAAAAAATTAAAAGTTATGCCTCATAAGGTTATCATTAGTTTCCTCAACGAGAGGGAATTGGAAGGAGGTTGAAAGGTAGGAAGTGAAGATTATGAATTTTTATTTTACAGATATGTATTTTTTGAAATGCAGTGTCAAGAAAGAAATCACATTACTAACTGGTTAATTATCCAAAAAGTAGACAAATTGTTTAGCCTATGGGAGGGGAGGTAGAAGGATCAATACCCATGTTTTTCCACTTTGGAAGGCCAAGGGAGGTGGATCACTTGAGGCCAGGAGTTTGAGACCAGCCTGGCTGACATGGTGAAACCTAGTCTCTACTGAAAAATAATAATAAAAAAATTATTCAGGAGTGGTGGCAGGCGCCTGTAATCTCAGCTACCCGGGAGGCTAAGGCAGGAGAATCTCTTGAACTCGGGAGGCAGAGGTTGCAGTGAGCCGAGATCACGCCACTGCACTCCAGCCTGGGTGACAGAGCAAGATCCTGTCTAAAAAACAAACAAACAAACAAACAAAAAACGTTTTTCCATCAAGAAGGCCAAAGGGAGGATAATGACCTCATACATCAACAGGTTGGTAGATTTGATAGTCTTGTATGCTGTCAGGGTAGAAGTAGAAGCAGTGGACAGGAATTTCAGGAGGGCTAATTTTAGCACAATATGATGTAAGTTTCTAATCACCAGAAGTTATCAAAAACTGAAGCATCTGTTATATGGAGTTCGAGTTTTCCATTGCTAGAAATATTCAAGCTGGGGCTAGGTGACCATCTGTCATGTATGCAGTGAAATAAATGTCTAAATTTGACTGGAGACTGCACTAGATGATTTTGAACAACCTCCCAATGCTAGAATTCTATGATTTTAATACCTGGAAAAACTTCATTAAAAAATAGTAGTGTAATGGCTGGGCAGAGTGGCTCATGCCTATAATCTCAGCACTTTGGGAAGCCAAGGGGGGTGGATCACCTGAGGTCAGGAGTTTGAGACCAGCCTGGCCAACACGGTGAAATCCCATCTCTACTAAAAATACAAAAATTAGCCGGGTCTGGTGGCTTGTGCCTGGAGTCCCAGCTACTCAGGAGGCTGAGGCAGGAGAATAGCTTGAACCCAGGAGGTAGAGATTGCAGTGAGCCGAGATCATGCTACTGCGTTCCAGCATGGGCAACAGAGCAAGACTCCATCTCAAGAAAAAAAAAAAAATTAACTGGGCATGGTGGTGCATGCCCTCGGAGGCAGAGGTTGCGGTGAGCTGAGATTGTGCTGCTGTACTCCAGCCTGGGCTACAGAGCGAGACTCCGTCTAAAGAGAGAAAAAAAAAAATAGCAGTGTAAATGAAGGGCCTGAAGAATCAGAAAGGACATATACAATATACAAAGTCATCAAATATGTAAAGGGAATTATTATATGATAGATGTGACATTTTGAAGAAGCAAGGAAAAGATTGATAATTCAGTAAATAATGATAAGACAAATTGAATTATGGAGAATATAAAATTAGTTTTCTTCCTCATTCTTTACCAACATGTTTTTTATGAATCAAAGTTTTACTTGTTAAAAAGATTGAACTATTAAAAATTGAGTCCAAAAATAATGGCTGCACTGTTTTTATTATCCAGGAGTTGGAAGCCATTTTGAAGGAATATATTAAATCCAGAGGCCACCATTTAAATAACTGGAAAATTTGACTCACAAAAAATGTTTCTATTGAAAAGAATACTATTGAAGTCAAAAGATGCACAGCAAAATTATATATATATATATATTTAAAGAGATGGGGTCTCACTATGTTGCCCAGGCTGGTCTCAAACTCCTGGCCTCAAGCATTCCTCCTGTCTTGACCTCTCAAAGTGCTGGTATTATATCAAGTGAACCACTGCATCCTGCCTGAATATTTGTAAGAACTACTTTCCTTAATATGGAAAGAGTTCTTAAAAATCAATAATTTAGGATGGGTGTGGTGGCTTATGCCTGTACTCCTAGCACTTTGGGAAGCCAAGGTGGGCTGACTGCTTGAGCCCAGGAGTTCGATAACTGCCTGGGCAATATGGTGAAACCCCATCTCTACACACAATACAAAAAGTAGCTGGGCATGGTGGAGCATGCCCGCAGTCCCAGCTACTCAGGGGGACTGAGGTGAGAGGATCGCTTGAGCCCGAGAGATCAAGGCTGCAGTAAGCCATAATTGCATCACTGCACTCCAGCTGGGGTGACAGAGTGATACCCTGTCTCAAAAAAAATTAAAATTAAAAATTAAATAATTTAAAGATAAATACCCTAACAACAAAATGGGCAAAGCCCATGAACAGGTAAATCATATTGAGAAATATTGACCTTTACATACCTGAAAAGATGGTTAGTCTCATTCATAGTGAATTCCACTTTTCCATCAATAAGATTGACAAGTATTAAAAAGTTTGATAATGCAAAGTATTGCCACGAAGATATAGAGAAATAGGCAATCTCATACCTTGTAAGTAGAAGTGTAAATTAGCACAATATTTTGGAGAGTAATTTGATATTATTGTAACTTTTCAATGCATATACCGTTTTGTCCAACATTTTAATTCTAAGGATTTATCATATAGCTTTATACTTTTGTGAGGGTATCTGTGAAAAAAATGTGATAGGAATAATAGCTTCTATTTATTAGACCTCTACTACGTATGAGGTGCTGTATTATTAAAAATAATATATATAGGCCAGGTGCGGTGGCTCACGCCTGTAATCCCAGCACTTTGGGAGGCCAAGGCAGGTGGATCACCTGAGGTCGGGAGTTCAAGAGCAGCCTGACCAATGTGGAGAAACCCCATCTCTACTAAAAATACAAAATTAGCTGGGTGTGGTGGCACATGCTTGTAATCCCAGCTACTTGGGAGGCTGAAGCAGGAGAATTGCTTGAACCTGGGAGGCAGAGGTTACAGTGAGCCGAGATCTCTGCCTCAAATAATAATAATAATAATAAATATGTATATGTTTTTTTTTTTTTGAGACAGGGTCTTACTCTGTTGCCCAGGCTAGAGTGCAGTGGCACAATCTCGGCTCACTGCAAGCTCCGCCTCCCAGGCTCAAGTGATTCTCCCGCCTCAGCCTCCCGTGTAGCTGGGATTACAAATGTGTGCCACCATGCACAGCTAATTTTTGTAATTTTTGGTAGAGATGAGGTTTCACCATGTAGGCCAGACTGGTCTCAAACTCCTGACCTCAAGGGATCCTCCCGCCTCACCCTCCTAAAGTGCTGATATTACAGGTGTGAGCCACTGCGCCAGGCCAGAAGTATACTTTATAAGGCTCTTATACTATACATGAAAACGTATCTCATTTTAAGAAAAACTGTGATAGGTAAAAGATATATACTATAAAACCTAAAGCAACTTTTAAAATAAAAAAATAGCAAATAAGCAAATAAAATACCTTGGAATCATAACAAATATTTATTTAATGCAAAAAAAAGGGCAAGGGAAAAAAGTGAAAATAAGAGACAGATGAGGAAAAAAGAAATGCAAATAGCAAGATAACAGATTTAAACTTAACCGTATCACTAATCACCTTCAATATAAATAGTTTCAACTAGGGGTCAGTGAACTGTAGCTCGAAACCAAATCATGGCTGTTTCCTGGTTTGTTTGCTTGTTTGCTTGTTTTTTGAGACAGAGTCTCACTCTGTTGCCCAGGTTGGAATGCAGTAGCATGAATATGGCTCACTGTAGCCTCGATCTCCCAGGCCCAAGTGATCCTCCCACTTCAGCTTCCCAGGTACAATTTTTTTTTGTATTTTTTTGTAGAGTCTGATCTCAAACTCCTGGGTTCAAGTGATTCTCCTGCTTTGGCCTCACCAAATTACTGGGATTACAGTCATGAGCCACCATACCCCGCCATCTGTTGCCTGTTTTTGCGGTGCTCATGAACTAAAAGCAGTTTTTACATTTTTTAATGGTAAATTTTTTTCTATAACTGACTATATAATTGCTTCAATTTTGCCTCTTGTCCCACAAAGCCTAAAATATTTACTCAATATTTTGAGTAAGATATTTACTCAATATTTTGAGTAAGATATTTACTCAATATTTTGAGTAAGATATTTACTCAATATTTTGAGTAAGATATTTACTCAATATTTTGAGTAAGATATTTACTCAATATTTTGAGTAAGATATTTACTCAAAGGGTGAGCCTTTGAGTTTGCCCACCTGTGTGGTATAAATATCCCAATTATAAGGCAGAAAGTATAGCATTGGATGGACATTTGGGTAGTTTCCACTTTATGGCCATTATAAATAATGAAGCTGTTAACACTCATGTTCAAGTTTTTTTGTGAACATATAATATGTTCTCAATTCTTTCGGATATATGCATAAGGAACAGAACTCCTGAATCATGTGGCACCTCTATGTTTAACCTTTTGAGGAATGGCCAGACTATTTTCTTTTCTTTTCTTTTCTTTTTTTCTAAGATAGGGTCTTGATCTGTCACCTAGGCAGGAGTGCAGTGGTGTGATTTCGATTCACAGCAATCCCCACCTCTCTTGCTCAAGCAATCCTCCCACCTCAGCCTCCCGAGTACCTGGAACTACTGGAACTACAGGTGCATGCCACCATGCCTGGCCAATTTTTTTTTTTTTTTTGGTAGGGATAGGGTTTCACCATGTTGCCCAAGCTGGTCTTGAACTCCTGGCCTCAAGCGATCCACCTGCCTCGGCCTTGCAAAGTGCTAGGGTTACAGGCGTGAACCACCACGCCTGGACAGACTATTTTCTAAAGTGGCTGCTCCGTTTTACTTACCTACCACTTGTGCATGAAGTTTCCAATTTCTCCACACTCTCACCAACACTTATTATCTATTTTTATTATAGCCATCCTAGGAAGTGTGAACTGGTATCTCAATATGGGTTTGATTTGCATTTTTCTGATGGCCAAAGGAGTTGAGATTTTCATTTTTTTATCGGCCATTTGTATATTTTCTTTGGAGAAATGTATACTCAGATCCTTTGCCCATTTAAAAATTGGATTATTGGGCCGGGTGCAGTGGCTCACGCCTGTAATCCCATCACTTTGGGAGGCCGAGGTGGGCGGATCACGAGGTCAGGAGATCAAGACCATCCTGGCTAACATGGTGAAACCCCGTCTCTACTAAAAATACAAAAAAATTAGCCGGGCACGGTAGCGGCTGCCTGCAGTCCCAGCTACTTGGGAGGCTGAGGCAGGAGAATGGCGTGAACCCGGGAGGCAGAGCTTGGGTGAGCTGAGATCGCGCCACTGTACTCCAGCCTGGGCAACAGAGCGAGACTCCGTCTCAAAAAAAAAAAAAACAATTTTGAATTATTTGTCTTATTGTTATTGGGTTGTAAAAGTTCTTTATATATGCTGGACACTAGACTCCTATCAGCTATATAATTTACAAATATTTTTTGTGGGTTTTTTTTTGCTTTCATGATGGTTTCCTTTGAAGCACAAATGTTTTTAATTTTGATGATGCCCAATTTACCTATTTTTTTCTTTGATTGCTTGTGCTTTTGGTATAGTATCTAAGAAATCATCATCTAATCCAAAGTCATAAAAATGTACACGTATTTTCTTCAAAGTTTTTTTTAACTTATATTTTAGTTTCAGGGGTACATGTGCAAGTTTGTTATATAGGTAAACTGTGTGTCACGAGGGAGACTTTTTTTTTGAGACAGGGTCTCACTCTGTTGCCCAGGCTGGAGTGCAGTAGTATGATCATGGCTCACTGTAGCCTCGACTTTCTGGGCTCAGGCGATTCCCCCACCTCAGCCTCTCGAGTATGAGTCCTCCCAACTTGTTATTATTGTTTCAAGACTGAAAAAAAAAAGAGGTTCTGTGATATCTCGCATAATTTTAGCATCAGCTTATACTGCAAAGAAGTCACCTGGGAAATGGATAAGGATTGCATTGGATCTGCAGATCAATTTGAGGAGCACTGCCATCTTTACAATATGAAGTCTCCAGTGCCCACTCTTTCTCACTTTCTCTCTCTGATCTGACTGTTCATCTCCACCAGCTTCTTCCCACTCCTGCCCACTTTAGCTTGCTCCAGGAAATTAAAAATTTGTCTTTCTTTTTTGTAGAGACCAGGTCTCACTGTGTTGCCCAGGTTGGTCTTGAACTCCTGGGCTCAAACAATCCTCCTGCCTCAGACTTCTAAAGTATTGGGATTACAGGCATGAGTGACTGTGCTCAGTTACTAAAATTCATCTTTCTTTCTTTTCTTTTTTTCTTTTTGAGACGGAGCTCACTCTGTTGACAGGCTGGAGTGCTGTGGCACGATCTCAGCTCACTGCAACCTCCGCCTCCTGGGTTCAAGCGATTCTCCTGCCTCAGCCTCCCAAGTAGCTGAGATTACAGGCATGCACCACCGCACCCAGCTAATTTTTGTATTTTTAGTAGAGATGGGGTTTCACCATGTTGCCCAAGATAGTCTCGATCTCCTGACCTTGTGATCTGCTCACCTCAGCCTCCCAAAGTGCTGGGATTACAGGCATGAGCCACTGCGCTTGGCCATCTTTCTTTATTTTGAAGAGAAATGCTGTATTACTTATCTTACTCTAACCCGGGCCTGCTCTAAGCTCTAGATTGCTACAACCATGAGAGCCTATGAAGTATTTGGCCCAGCAAAGAGAGTGCACTTTCTGAGGATTTCTGCCTCCAGCTTTTCAAAGGAACACCTCTTTCTCCCTATTCCATATGCGTAACTCTCACATAGTTGTAATCACAGGTTTGCTTTTTTTTTGAGACGGAGTTTCACTCTTGTTGCCCAGACTGGAGTGCAATGGCGTGACCTTGCCTCACTGCAACCTCTGCCTCCCAGGTTCAAGCAATTCTCCTGCTCTGCCTCCCGAGCAGCTGGAATTACAGGCACCCACCACCACGCCTGGCTAATTTTTTTGTATTTTTAGTAGAGACAGGGTTTCAGTATGTTGGCCAGACTGGTCTCAAACTCCTGACTTCGTGATCGGCCCACCTCGGCCTCCCAAAGTGCTGGGATTACAGGCGTGAGCCACCACGCCTGGCCTGTAATCACAGTTTATGTACACACAAATTTGTGTTCTACTTTGATTTGATGTTATTTTACCAAATATATATACATATAAATTTGTTATACTCTCTTTTTTATTTGATGTTGTTGCATGAGTTTTCTCATCATGAGTCTTATCTTTAAAAACTATATAATTCCATCATGTAGAGATGGCATAATTGGCTTAATCATTTCTCTACTGTTAAACATTTGAGACATTCCTTTAATTTTTTATTTAGTATGGGGAAAAACTATTATAAAATATTCTAAAATAAATAAAATTTCTTTTCCTTCAAATTATTTTTCTGAAAATAAACCCCTAGGGTGCCAGGCGTGGTTGCTCACGCCTGTAATCACAGCACTTTGGGAGGCTGAGGCGAGTGGATCACCTGAGGTCAGGAGTTTGAGACCAGCCTGGCCAATATGGTGAAACCCAGACTCTACTAAAAATACAAAAATTAGCCGGGCATGGTGACGGGCACCTGTAGTCCCAGCTACTCAGGAGGCTGAAGCAGGAGAATCAGCTGAACCCAGGAGGTGGAGGCTGCAGTGAGCTGATATCATGCCACTGCACTCCAGCCTGGATGACAGAGCTGAGACTCCATCTCAAAAAATAATAATAATAATAATTTAAAACTGGTGAAAAGTAGCACCCTTGTCTTGTTCTTGATTTTAGAGGGAAAGCTTTCAGTCTTTCACACTTGAGTATAATATTGGATGTGTTTTTATCATGTTTAGGTATTTTATCATGTTGAGGAATTTTCCCTACATTCCTAGTTTTCTGGGAAGTTTTTTTTTTATGAAAGAGTATTGGATTTTGTCAAATGCCTTTTCTACATCAATTGAGTTGATCATGTGGTGTTTCCCTTTTATTATATTAATCTGATGAATTACATTGATAGTTTTCTTATTTTGAGCCACCATTAGAGTGGAGAGGCATGGATAGAGCACAGAGGATATTTTGAAGGTTTGTTATTAGATGTATAAATGTCAATAATTGCTATGTATCTTGTTGTTTTAATACATTTTATTAATATATGATATAAATAAATAAATTTTTATTTCCCTAATGACTAATGATGTTGCCTAGCCTTTTGTGTGTTTATTTTGCCATCTGTATATCTTTTCTGTTAAAGTGTCTTTTATCTTTTAAAAAATTTGAGTCATTTGTTTTCTTTTTTTGTTTGTTTGCTTGTTTGGGGTTATTTTTGCTTTGTTTTTTTTTTTTTTTTTGAGATGAAGTTTCACTCTTGTTGCCCAGGCTGGAGTGCAATGGCGCAATCTCGGCTCACCCCAACCTCCACCTCCCGGGTTCAAGCAATTCTCCTGCCTCAGCCTCCCAAGTAGCTGGGATTACAGGCATGCACCACCACGCCTGGCTAATTTTGTATTTTTTTTTAGTAGGGACGGGGTTTGTCCATGTTGGTCAGGCTGGTCTCAAACTCCCGACCTCAGGTGATCTGGCCGCCTCAGCCTCTCAAAGTGCTGGGATTACAGGCATGAGCCACCACGCCCAGCCACTTGTTTGTTTTTTTTGTTTTTTTGAGACAGAGTCTCTCTCTGTCACCCAGGCTGGAGTGCCGTGGCTCGATCTCGGCTCACTGCAACCTCCGCCTCCCACGTTCAAGTGATTCTTGTGTCTCAGCCTCCCTAGTAGCTGGGATTACAGGCACACACCACCACGACCGACTAATTTTTTTTTTTGTATTTTTAGTAGAGCCAGGGTTTTGCCATGTTGGCCAGGCCGGTTTTGAACTCCTGACCTCAGGTGATCTGCCTGCCTTGGCCTCCCAAAGTGCTGGGATTACAGGCGTGAGCCACCATGCCCAGCTAAAGAAATTTTTTATTTCCATAGGTTTTTGGGGGATAGGTGGTGTTTGGTTACATGAGTTAGTTCTTTAGCGGTGATTTGTGAGATTTTGGTGCACCCATCACCTGAGCAGTATACACTGCACCCAATTTGTAGTCTTTTATCCCTCACCCCTTCTCACCCTTCTCTCCTGAGTCCCCTAAGTCCATTGTGTTTTTTTTTTTTTTTTTTTGAGACGGAGTCTCGCTCTGTCGCCCAGGCTGGAGTGCAGTGGCGGGATCTCGGCTCACTGCAAGCTCCGCCTCCCGGGTCCATGCCATTCTCCTGCCTCAGCCTCCCAAGTAGCTGGGACTACAGGCGCCCGCCACTACGCCCGGCTAATTTTTTTGCATTTTTAGTAGAGACGGGGTTTCACCGTTTTAGCCGGGATGGTCTCGATCTCCTGACCTCGTGATCCGCCCGCCTCGGCCTCCCAAAGTGCTGGGATTACAGGCGTGAGCCACCGCGCCCGGCCCATTGTGTTATTTTTATGTCTTTGCATCCTCGTAGCTTAGCTCCCACTTATGAATGAGAACATACAATGTTTGGTTTTCCATTCCTGAGTTACTTCACTTAGAATAATAGTCTCTAGTCCCATCCAGGTTGTTGTGAATGCCATTAATTCATTCCTTTTTATGGCTAAGTAGTATTCCATCAGGAAATACAAATTTAAATCCAATGCCATACCACTACAATCCCATTAGAATGGCCAAAATTCAAAAGCTCGATGAGACCAAGTGTTGATCAGGATGTAGAACAGCTAGAACTCTGTTCTGTTGTTGGTAGGAATGTAAAAATGTACAAGTACTTCGAAAATCAGATTTGTAGTTTCTTTAAAAGTTAAAATAAACCTCTCATATGATCCATATAATTCACTCCTAAGAATTTCCCCCAAGAGAATGAAAGCATACAGCATATGTCTATACAAAGACTTGTACATGATTATTGATACAGCTTTATTTAAAATAGCCAAGATTTAGAAACAAGTCAAATGTCTATCAATAGGTGAACAGATAAAGAAACTGTAGCTAACTCTCTGGGGTTGAAGAAAAAAAAAAAAAGAAGAAGAAACTGTGGCAGGTCCATGCAACAGAATACTACTCAGCAACAAAAAGGAATGAACTATGAATCCATGGTATAGGCCAGGCACGGTGGCTCATGCCTGTAATCCCTGAACTTTGGGAGGCTGAAGTGGGTGGATCACCTGAGGTTGGGAGTCTGAGACCAGCCTGACCAATATGGTGAAACCTCGTCTCTACTAAAAATACAAAAATTAGCTAGGCATGATGGCATGCACCTGAAGTCCCAGCTACTCAGGAGGCTGAGACAGGAGAATCACTTGAACCTGGGGGGTGGAGGTGGCAGTGAGCTGAGATCACGCCACTGCACTCTAGCCTGGGTGACAGGGTGAGACTCCATGTAAAATAAGTAAATAAATAAAAATTAAAATTAAAAAATTCATACTATAACATAGATGAATTTCAAAATAATTATGCTAAGAGAAATAAGCCAGACAAGCAAGTGTACCTACTGTGTGATTTCATTTACATAAAACTGTAAGAGCTGGACATGGTGGCTCGGCCCATAATCCCAGCACTTTGGGAGGCTGAGGCAGGAGGACCTCTTGACCAAAGAGTTTGAGATCAGCCTGGACAACATAGAGAGACTCCATCTCTACTAAAAATTAAAAAACTAGCCAGGCACGGCGATACATGTCTGTAGTTCCAGCTTCTCAGGAGGCTGAGGTGGGAGGATTGCTTGAACCCGAGAGGCTGAAACTGCAGTGAGCCGTGACCATGCCACTGCACCTCAGCCTGGGCAACAAAGTGAGACCCTGTCTTAAAAAAAAAAAATGAAATGCAAACTAATGCATAGTGACAGAAAACAGCTCAGTGGTTGTCTGGAGACGGGGTAGGTTTGTGTGGGGGTCCAGAGGAACACAAAGCAACCTTGAGGGCTGATGAATACGTTCATTATCTTGACATTGGTGATGATCACTGGCGTGTTTGTATAACATTTATCAAGTTGTACCCTTTATTATTTATTATTTATTTTTTGAGACGGGGTCTCACTCTGTCGCCCAAGCTGGAGTGCAGTGGCACAATCCTGGCTCACTGCAACCTCCGCCTCCTGGGTCCAAGCATTCTCCTGCCTCAGCCTCCCAAGTACCTGGGACTACAGGCACACACCACCACAACTGGCTAATTTGTGTATTCTTAATAGAGACAGGGTTTTGCCATGTTGGCCAGGCTGGTCTCGAACTCCTGGCCTCAAGTAATCCACCTGCCTCAGCCTCCCAAGGTGCTGGGATTACAGACATGAATCACTGCACCCAGCCACAAGTTATATCCTTTAAATAATGCTGTTTTGAAAATGGGAGAACGTGCTTTCTATTTCTTATTATTATGTTTTTCTGAGATGGAGTCTTGCTCTGTCACCCAGGCTGGAGCGCGGGGGCACAGTCTCGGCTCACTGCAACCTCTGCCTCCCGGATTCAAGCGATTTTCCTGCCTAAGCCTCCCGAGTAGCTGGGACTACAGGTGCATGCCACCACGCCCAGCTAATTTTTGTATTTTTGTATTTTTAGGGGTTTTGCCATGTTGGCCAGGCTGGTCTTGAACTCCTGAACTCAGGTGATCCATCGCCTTGGCTTCCCAAAGTGCTGGGATTACAGGCATGAGCCACTGCACCTGGCTGCTTTCTATTTTTTTTCTCATCTTTGTTGTGATGGTATCTATTTTTTATGCTATCTCCTCATGAAAATAAGTGTTACATGTATTTAAATGTTATTACTCCTAACATGTTTGAGAAACAGCAATAACAAGGGTAACAAATTTTCTTTTTGGCTTCTACATTTATGGGAATCTACATCTTTGGACAGCTTAACCTTTTAGTACTTGATCTTCAAAAGCCTGGACTTGAGCACTGGCACTGATAATTATTAGCTCTAATGTTGAGCCAGTCATTTATCCTTTGTTGATTAAATTTTCTTATCTGTATAATAAGAATAACAGGGTCTACCACATAGGATTGTTTTGATCAAAGAAGGTAATAAATCTGAACGTGCTTTACATCCTGATAATGGCAAATCACATGTAAAATTTTATAAGCTTCATCATCAGATAAACTAATTCACACCTGGGGCTTTGAGAGGTTAGGCTAAAGTGAACGTAATTTCTTTTTCATTTTTTAAGGATGGTAGTGGTAGAGAAAACAGGGCGTAGGCACTAGATTGGAGTTAGATTTCAATGCCTGTGGCATGTACCACATTGATAAACTGGTGGTTCCAGCAACCTAGTTTCTCATATTTAAATATGGCATCAGCATCCTCTTCTTTTAGAATGTAGCCTCCACTCCCTCCACACACGTCCCCAGCACCCTTGACAACCACTAGCCCCACTAGCCTGTGTTCCAGGCCAAAGCTAAATTTTGAGCCTCTTTTGTCCCTGGATAAAACAGAATTTATGTCCATTTCATAGTTAGCCTAAGAGCTTTTCCCTTCCCTGTGATACAGTGTTTCTCAGTGTGTGATTCCCTAGCAGTTTAAGCATCACCTGGCACTTGTTAACAATGCAAATTATCATCATGTTGTGGACTTGTAAAAATTTTAAAAAAGTAAAATTTTTAAATAATTAAAGCAAAACAAACAAACAAATAAACAAAAACCACAAATTCTCAGACCCCAACCCAGACCTAAGGTAAAACCCCTAGCAGGTGGGGAGCGGGGAGGCAACAGTCTGTGTTTTAATGATCCCTCCAGGTGCTTCTGATGCAGGCTAAAATTTGAGAACCACTGCTGTAATATATACTGTTAACTCATATTTTTACTGCCAATGAACTAGCTAGTGGTAAATTAAATAGCTTTTAACATTTAATGAATGGCCCTTTCTAGAAACATTTCTAGAAACATTTTCTAGTTTGTAAGAAGATCAAATTGCATTTGAATTCTCTTTATATTTATTTATTTATTTATTTTTTGAGATGGAGTCTCGCTCTGTTGCCCAGGCTGGAGTGCAGTGGTGAAATCTTGGCTCACTGCAAGCTCCGCCTCCCAGGTTCACTCCATTCTCCTGCCTCAGCCTCCCGAGTAGCTGGCACTACAGGCACCTGCCACCACGTCTGGCTAATTTTTTGTATTTTTAGTAGAGACGGGGTTTCACCGTGTTAGCCAGGATGGTCTCAATCTCCTGACCTTATGATCTGCCCACCTCGGCCTCCCAAAGTGCTGGGATTACAGGCGTGAGCCACTGCACCTGGCCTATTTTATTTTATTTTTTTTGAGACGGAGTTTTGCTCTTGTTGCCTGGGGTGTAGTGCAATGGCACAATCTCGGCTCACTGCAATCTCTGCCTCCCGGGTTCAAGCAATTCTTCTGCCTCAGCCTTGCAAGTAACTGGGATTACAGGCATGCACCACCATGCCTGGCTAATTTTCTATATCTTTTTAGTAGAGATGGAGTTTCACCATGTTGGTCAGGCTGGTCTCAAACTCCTGACCTCAAGTGATCCGCTCGCCTTGGCCTCCCAAAGTTCTGGAATTACAGGCGTGACTCCACCACACCCAGCCACATTTGAATTCTATCTATTGAGTGGGTTATGAGTTTTTGGACACACTTGGCATTGAATTTTGCCATTAGATTATGAAGGCATTTGGGGAGTTACTCTGAATTTTAGTATAATGGAGTGCCATTTAGACAATCAAATTGGTAATTTACCTAATAATATCCAATTCTTAGGAACTTGAAGAATTAAAAAAAAGCCTCCAGAGTCACCTTCCTTATACTGAGGAAGGAATTTTTCATGGGAGACTGTGGTTTATGTTTTGCAAATCCGCACAATGAGCTTGTAGTAGAAGTGGCCATTGTGTTCAGACAAATAAGATAATCTACATGTGAATTAAAGGTAAGCACCAATTTTCAAGTTCAATAGTGCCCTTTTCACCTGTTTGCTATTACCTGGGGCATCATTTGTTCATTTACCCAACAGAGTAAGCCAGATGGTAGCACCAAACTTCTGGCTGGGGTGGGTTGTTATGCAACAATAGATAACTGATATTGTGACCACGTGGCTGCCTGGGGCACTCCAGCTTTGGAGCTTAGCTGGGAGGGAATGGAAATCAGCAAGGGAGGTGACCTATTCTTGAATAGACCATGGTAGTTGTACTAGGAATGTAATCACCCAGTGGATTCTTCCTGCCTGTTGCACAGACCAAATCAATTCACCAACACCATAGCATTGCAGTAGAGAACGAGTTTGATTGAAGTGAGGCCTGCCCACATGGGAGAGTTGAGTTATCACTCAAACCAGTATCCCTGAAGTCTCAGAGGTTAGGGTTTTTATGGCAAATTTGGTGGGCAGGGGACTAGAGAATGGGTGCTGCTGATTGGTTGGGGGGTGAAATCACAAGGATGTGGAAAATGCTCCACATCCATTGAGTCACAGGATCAGTTGAGTCATTAGTTACAAGTCTGGGTGGGGTTGTCTGAAAGATATCTCAAAAATCCAATCTTAGGTTCTACAATAGTGATGGTATCTATAGGAGCAAATGGGGAAGTTGCAAATCTTGTGACCTCTGGCCACATGACCCCTGAGTGGAAAGGGATTATAGAAACTATGCCTATCTTATTAGAATTCAGGTCCCTCCCATAATCCCAACCTTGTGGTCTTTTATTAGTTTTATAAAGGAGGTTTAGTTTTGGGAAGGGCTATTATCATCTTTGTTTTAAGGTAAAACTATAAACTAAATTCTTCCCAAAGTTAGCTTGACCTATATACAGGAATGACCAAGGGCAGCTTGGAGGTCAGAAGCAAGATGGAGTCAACTATGGCAGATTTCTCTTACTGTCATAATTTTTGCAAAGGCAGTTTCATGAGCTAGGGTACATTAGAAAATATCTGTAGTGGTGCCTATAAATTGGGTTCTTGAGTTCTTGGGGAGTATAGAAGCCTCCCAAAATGATGGAGGGTGAACTTCTATCAATCCTTGTAGGGAGTGAATTAAGTTTAATTTGATTTAGAAAAATAAAGAAATGTGATATTTCTTGTATCCAATTGTTATGAAGCAAGTCCAAACAAACTTACGTAAATCTGTTTGTATACACAATGTTTATATTAAGCATGCTTCTTAATTTCCTTTTTTATTGCTGCAAAACTTGGGAAACAGTATTTTATTTTATTTTTTTGAGATGGAGTCTCACTCTGTTGCCCAGGTTGGAGTGGAGTGGTGTGATCTTGGCTCGTTGCAACCTCTACCTCCTGGGTTCAAGCAATTCCTGCCTCAGCCTCCCAAGTAGCTGGGACTATAGGCATGTGCCACCACACCTGGCTACTTTTTGTATTTTTTTTTTTTTTTAGTAGAGATGGGGTTTCACCATATTGGCCAGGCTGGTCTCAAACTCCTGACCTCAAGTGATCCACTTGCTTTGGCCTCCCAAAGTGCTGGATTATAGGCATGAGCCACTGTACCCAACCAGGAAACAGTCTTTTTAAGCAGTGCTGGCTTACAAACTGCAGAAACCTTTTCAGTTTACACTTGTGTGGCAAAAATAACAGTTTTCATGGGAACCACTTCTCTTCATCTCTTTCTTTATTACACAAAAAGTTTTTTTTTTTAATTTGCATACAGTGAGATTGAAACTGCCTTTGCAAAAATTAAGATAGTGAGAGAAATGCAACACTGACTCCATCTTGCTTCTAACGTCACAAACTGTCATTGTTCATTCTTGGGGGTAGGCCAAACTGACTATGGTAGGGATTTAGCTTATACTTTAACTTTAAAACAAAGATGACAACAAGTGCTTCCCAAAATTAATGCACTCCTTGCTCAGGGATTGAAACCTCCTTTGTAAAACTAACAAGGTTAGAATTATGGTTCAGGAGTCATGTAGCTGGAGGTCACAAGGTTTGTAGCCTCCCCAGTTGCTCCTATAGACAACAGCACTATTGCAAAATATCAGATTGGTGTTTGAGGTATTTTTCAGACCTTACGTTCTGATGGACCAGCTGGCTCCACTTAGACCAGTAACCCATACCAAGAAACTAGCTCAGTTGGTCTTGTGACCCCCACCCAGGAACTGACTCAACACAAGAAGACAGCTTCATCCCCTATGATTTCATCGCTGACCCAATCAATCAGCACTCCTCATTCTCTAGCCCCCTGCCCACTGAGCTATCCATGAAAAACCCTACCCTCCAAATTCTTGATGAGGTGGATTTGAGAATTATCTCTCATCCTCCAGCTTGGCTAGCCCCACAATAAGCACACTCTTTCTTTCTTTCTTTTTTCTTTTTTCTTTTTTTTTTTTTTGAGAGGGACTCTTGCTCTGTTGCCCAGCCTGGAGTACAGTGGCACAATCTTGGCTCACTGCAACTGGGTTGCCTCCTGGGTTCAAATGATTCTCTTGCCTCAGCCTCCCGAGTAGCTGGGATTACAGGCACCCGCCACCACATCCAGCTAATTTTTTTGTATTTTTGGTAGAGATGGGGTTTCACCATGTTGGCCAGACTGATCTCTAACTTCTGACTTCAGGTTATACGCCTGCCTTGACCTCCCAAAGTGCTACTTGGGAGGCTGAGGTGGGCGGATCACTTGAACCCCGGAGGCGGAGGTTGCAGGGAGCTAAGATTGGGCCACTGCACTCCAGTCGGGGCAACAGAGTGAAACTCTATCTCAAACAACAACAAAACGGAAACTTATTGGCTGGGTGCAGTGGCTCACACCTATAATCCCAGCATACTGGGGAGGCCAAGGTAGATAGATCAATGAGCCCAGGAGTTTGAGACCAACATGGTGAAACCTTGTCTCTACAATAAATATAAAAATTAGCTGGGCATGGTAGTATGAACCTGTAGTCTCAGCTACTTAGGAGACTGAGGTGGGAGGATCACCTGAGCCCCAGGAGGTCAAGGTGGCAGTAAGCCATGAACGTGCCACTGCACTCCAGTCTGGAGGGCATGAAAAAAAAAAAAGAAATGGAAACATATTAATCCCAAACCAGTGTCAATAAGTTGGGGAAGAAGAGGAGCCATTGAAAAAGATTTTTTTTATTGTTTTATTTATTATTTTTTTTTGAGACAGAGTCTCTCTCTGTTACCTGGGTTGGAGTGCAGTGGTGTGATCTTGGCTCACTGTGACCTTTGCCTCCCGGGTTCAAGTGATTCTCCTTCCTCAGCTTCCCGAGTAGCTGGGATTACAGGCGCATGCTACCATGCCCAGCTTATTATTATTATTATTATTTGTATTTTTAGTAGAGACAAGGTTTCACCATGTTGGCCAGGGTGGTCTTGAACTCCTGAGCTCAAGCAATCTGCCTGCTTTAGCCTCCCAAAGTGCTGGGATTACAGGCGTGAGCTACCTTGCCTGGCCCCTAGTCTTAACTTGTAATAGATACACAATAATTATTTTTAAATTAATTTTTTACAGTAATTATTAAATGAATGAATGAATAAACAAACACTTGAGGCACAGTCTGATGTATTAGAAAGAACGCAGGCTTGGAGTTGTATTAGCCTGTGTTGAATCTTGGCTTTTTGGTGTGTGGCCTTGGGTAAGCTACTTGACTTCAGTATCCATCCCAAAAATGGATTCATGGTTCCTCTCTCTTAGAATCATTAAATAAATGAAATGAAATTAAATTAATTAAATTAAATGGAACAATGCATATGCATACTTATGTCAAAGCTGGCATTCTTTTTCCTATGGGTGAGCATGTAAGGTAGCTCATATTAAGCCTAACTTCTACTATAAAAGGGGAAACCCCAAAATAGGACTCATAAAACCAATGCCAGAGACTAGAGCATAAATTCTATATTATTCTTTGGGGTGACTTCTGTTCCTCTGTGCTGCATTCTGGGAATTTTCTTCTGACCCCTGCTCCATTCACTGATTGATTTGACTGTAGCTAATAAAGTATAAACCCATCTGTTGAGGGTTTTTGTTTTGTTTTTTTGTTTTCTGAGACTGAGTCTCACTCTGCTTCCCAGGCTAGAGGGCAGTGGTGTGATCTCTGCAGACTGCAACCTCCGTCCCCTGGGTTCAAGCAGTTCTACTGCCTCAGCCTCCCAAGTAGCTGAGATTACAGGTACGCACTACCACACCTGGCTAATTTTTATAGTTTTAGTAGAGATGGGGTTTCACCATGTTGGCCAGGCTGGTCTGTAACTCCTGGCCTCAAGTGATTCACCCGCCTAGGCCTCCCAACCATCTGTTGAGTTTTAGGTTTTTATTATTATACTCATGTAATGTAGTAAATTACACATAATATGAAATGTATTTTTTTCTGAAAACATGTCAGTTTCATATAAAACTTATTTTAAAACCTTTAAAAGTGTATAGTTCTGTAGCATAAATATATTCACATTGTTGTGCAACCATCACATCCATCTATCTGCAGAACATTTCATTTTCCCAAGCTGAAACCCGGTACCCATTAAACCAGGGTACAGAGACCTGTATCAGTCCGTGGTCTGTTAGGAACCGCGTCACACAGCAGGAGGTGAGTGACGAGTGAGGGAGCAAACCTTCATCTGTATTTACAGCCGCTCCCAGTCATTTGCGTTACCACGTGAGCTCCGCCTCCTGTCAGATCAGCAGCGGTATTACATTCTCATAGAAGCATGAATTCTACTGTGAACTGCACATATGAGGGATCTAGGTTGCCCACTGTTGATGAGAATCTAATGCCTGATGATCTGTCACTGTCTCCCATCACCTCCGGATGGGACTGCCTAGTTGCAGGGAAACAAGCTCAGGGCTCCGAAGGATTCTACATTATGGTGAGTTGTATAATGATTTCATTATGTATTAGAATGTAATCATAACAGAAATAAAGTGCACAGTAAATGTAAGGCCCTTGAATCATCCCAAAAATATCTTCCCCTCCCATACCTGTCCATGGAAAAATTGTCTTCCACAAAACCAGTCCCTGGTGCCAAAAAGATTGAGGACTGCTGCATTAAACAATAACTCCTGATTCTCTTCCCCCAACCCCAGTCCTTAGTAACCATTGTTGCACTTCCTGTCTCTGTGAATTTTATTACTCTAGTTACCTCATATAAGTGGAATCATGCAATGTTTGTCCTTTTGCATCTGGCTTACTTCACCTAGCGTATCTCATCCATGGTTCATCCATGTTGTAGCATGTGTCAGAATGTCCTTCCTTTTAAAGGCTGACTCATATTACATTGTATGTATATCACGCATTTTGTTTATCCATTCATCAGTTGATGAACATTTGAGTATGTATATCACACTGTATATATATCTGTATGTATATCACACATTTTGTTTGTTCATCCATCAGTTGATGAACATTTCAGTTGTTTTCACCTTTCGGCTATTGTGAATAATACTGCTATGAACATGGGTGTATAAATATCTGTTCAAATCTTTGCTCTTAATTCTTTAGTATGTATATCCAGAAGTAGAATTGCTGGATCATGTGGTAATTTTGTTTAAATTTTTGAGGAACCACTATAGTGTTTTTTTGTTTTGTTTTGTTTTGTTTTGTTTTGTTTTTTGAGATAGAGTCTTGCTCTGTCGCCCAGACTGGAGTGCAGTGGCCTGATCTCTGCTTACTGCAAGCTCTGCCTCGCGGGTTCACACCATTCTCCTGCCTCAGCCTCCCAAGTAGCTGGGACTACAGGCACCCACCACCAAGCCTGCTAATTTTTTGTATTTTTTAGTACAGACGGGGTTTCACCATGTTTGCCAGGATGGCGTCAATCTCCTGACCTCGTGATCCGCCCGCCTCGGCCTCCCAAAGTGCTGGGATTACAGGTGTGAGCCACCACGCCCGGCCTTTTTTTTTTTTTTTTTTTTTTTTTGAGACGGGAGTCTCGCTCTGTCCGCCAGGCTGGAGTGCAGTGGCGCCATCTCGGCTCACTGCAAGCTCCGCCTTCCAGGTTCACGCCATTCTCCTGCCTCAGCCTCCCGAGTAGCTGGGACTACAGGCGCCGGCCACCACGCCCGGCTAATTTTTTGTATTTTTAGCAGAGACAGGGTTTCACTGTGTTAGCCAGGATGGTCTCAATCTTCTGACCTCGTGATCCGCCTTTCTCGGCCTCTGAAAGTGCTGCGATTATAGGCGTGAGCCACGGCGCCCGGCCTTTGGCCTCATAATTCTTTATTTCCTTCCTAGGTCTCTTATTACTTTTAATATTTACCCAACCTTTTTGAGTCATCCATAATGAATGTATAGTTCATTTGATTTGATTTGATTTATTTTTTTGAGATGGAGTCTCGCTCTGTCACCCAGACTGGAGTTCAGTGGTGTGATCTTGTCCCACTGCAGCCTCCACCTCCTGGGTTCTAGTGATTCTCCTGCCTTAGCCTCCCAGGTAGCTGGGAGTACAAGCACGTGCCACCACACTTGGCTAATTTTTGTATTTCTAGTAGAGACGGAGTTTCACCATGTTGACCAGGCTGGTCTCAAACTCCTGACTTCAGGGGATCTGCCCGCCTCGGACTCCCAAAGTGCTAGGATTGCAGGAGTGAGCCACTGCGTCTGGCCATGAATGTATAGTTCAAATACCTAGTCCACTGACCTTGCCTTTTAAAACAGTTGTGTCTGGGCTCAGTGGCTCAGGCCTGTAATCTCAGCACTTTGGGAGGCCAAAGCAGGAGGATTGCTTGAGTACAGGAGTTCGAGACCAGCCTGGGCAACATAGTGAGACCCTGTTTCTTCGAAAAATAAAAAAAATTAGCCAGGCGTGGTGATGCCTGCCTGTAATCTTAGTCCTTTGGGAGGCTGAGGCAGGAGGATCACCTGGGCCTGGAAGGTTGAGGCTGCAGTGAGCTATGACTGTGCCACTGCACTCCAGCCTGGGCAACAGAGAGATCCTGTTTCAAAAAAAAAATTAGTCCTCAATTCATTAGGAGTGTGGTTTACATGAATCGCCAGTAAAAGGAACATAGGGCTTGAATAGGCACTTATCTTTACCTGTATCTCACTGCCAGGGTGAAATCTAAAGCATTTATCACTAGTCCGGCTGAGGCACCTTCAGAACAGATGTTGGTGTAGGGTTGGAGCCCCCTGCTGGCAGCCTCCTGCTGTGCGTGACATTACTCCTTTGGGGGAGTCTCAAACGGGGACCCAGGAAGTTACAGGGAAGGGATGATAAAGGCCACTTGGAAGAACTGGGCAGTGACTGTTGATTAACAGTACGTAAAAGTAAGTAAAGGTGTTTCCATTTTAATGCAGCACATGCTGTCTTATTCCCCTGGGAAGACAAGCCTGGTACAAGGAACTGTGTGTGTAGTTTACTGTGGACAGTGGTGATACCAGGGAGCAGGGGTGGAGACTAAGGAAACTGACCAGGGAAGAAGGAAAACCAAGCCAGTCACATTGGTGACTGCAGTGGGCACGGGGGCTTCCATCCCAACAGCAACTTCTGAGGAGTTGTATACAGATAGTGCCTCAAACTGACCACCCAATGGATGAAAGGCAGAAGTTGTAAGTGTTCCCCCATGAACTCCCATCTAGCATTGACAGAGGGTCATCTTGAAGGTTGTAACGCCCTTGCGCTTGTAGGTTTCACATCAGCGAGTGCCGGGGTGCTCCCGCAGGCACGTCGCACCACAGCATCGGAGAACCTTGCGGGGTCAGGGGAAGATGTACAGCGCATGCTTGAGGTGAGGCAGGGCCACAGGAGGTGAGTTGAAGCCTGCATAGAATTGTGTCCTCAAATAATAGCAGGAATCGAGGTGTGGCCAAGAGGATCCAAGGCAGTGCGTGGAGCACCCAACACTTAGGCATTCCTCAAGAACCTTGTGTTCGGCAAAATCAAGCAGTAAGAGTAATAGGGCTTATGGGGAAAATAGGGTTAGAGGCAGATCACTCGTAATCTGTGGAAATCTGTAACCAGAATGCTAATAAAAATAGTGGTTTGCACATAAGGAGATAACTTGGACTGCCCAGACTGCCTCAGTGTGGCTGGAGACTGTCACAGTAGATATTTAAAATGTTCAATGTGATAGAGTGGGAACATGCTGGCAACACTTTAATTAGAGCTGGTCTGGCAAGTGTTGAAAGAGTGCAGATGGTGGTGGGCTCTGAGTGCTAGTCAGGTGGATCCAGGAAGCAGTGCAACCTGGCTGAGAGCTGGGGAAAAGGGCCCTGGGTGTGTGTGCTCATTGCCATTTTCCTAAAATACAGCTGAAAGGGCTCATGCAATTAGTGTAGCAGCTGAGCTGAGCGCTTCTTCCTTCCCTGATGATGGCTATAATTTTACTTCTGCAGTGAGCTGATTCCCATAACAGAAATGTGCATTCTAGCAGAACAAATGTCTTTCTGGGTCTCACTGTATGGTGAGACTGTGGTGCATACTGATTAAGTATTGGCCCATTTCACTGCTCCCGTGGGCTTGGCTTGCTCCATGCTGATACCGCACTTCCTCATTTCAGCCCTCAGACTCTGAGCCATTGCCCACCAGGTTTCCAGATGCAGTACCCTCTGTAGCTCCTCACCTGCCATTTCGAATCCTGTTTATTGACAGGTGTTAATGTGGACAGCCTATTTATTAATGAACTTCTCCGGCTTAATTTATAAGCCTTTCTCCTCCCATGAGAATGTTCCCCATTTCCCTCATAACTGCCCCCATGAGAATCCCTGATGAGTGAGCTCTGGTGCTTGGACTCCATCTCCCTCTCTTGCTTCAGATGTACCCATTATACATCAAAATGAGCTGCATAGGAGGCCAGCTGCCTCCTGTAATCCCAGTGGCTCACACCTGTAATCCCAGCACTTTGGGAGGCTGAGGCGGGTGGATCACCTGAGGTCAGGAGTTTGAGACCAGCTTGGCCATCATGGCGAAACCCCGTCTCTACAGAAAATACAAAGATTAGCTGGGTGTGGTGGCGCATGAGAATCACTTGAACCTGGGAGGCGGAGGTTGCAGTGAGCCGAGATCATACCACTGCACTCCAGCCTGGGAGACAGAGAGACAGAGCCAGACTCCTAAAAAAAAAAAAAAAAAAAAAAAAAAAACAGAGCTGCATAGGGATGAAGGAGATGAAAAACAAAGCTACCAGTAAAAAAGCAAGTCAGTCATTTATCACAGCTATGGTAAACAATCATTTTTCTAATTATTGAACAAATAAAAGAATAACAGTAATAATACAATGATGTAACTACTTTTATGAGTTGCTATGTGCCAGGTGCACTTTATGCATTATCTCTTTTTTTTTTTTTTTTTTTTGAGACAGAGTCTCGCTCTGTTGCCCAGGCTGGAGTGCAGTGGCGCAGTCTCAGCTCACTGCAACCTCCTCCTCCCGGGTTCACGCCATTCTCCTGCCTCAGCCTCCTGAGTAGCTGGTATTACAGGCGCCCACCACCACGCCCAGCTAATTTTTTGTATTTTTAGTAGAGACGAGGTTTCACCATGTTAGCCAGGATGGTCTCAATCTCCTGACCTCGTGATCCACCCGCCTCAGCCTCCCAAAGTGCTGGGATTACAGGCGTGAGCCACCGCGCCCGGCCTGCATTATCTCATTTAATCCTTATAAGACATTGTGTGCTCAGTGCCATTATTAGTGATATCAGGTTTTTACAGATGGGAAGAAGGCTTAGAGAGGTTATGTAATTTGCTCAGTCACCCAGAGTGGCAGAGCAGGAATAAGAGTGTTAGAATTTGAATTCATACATTTCTAACTATTTTCTACTACCTTCTAGCATAAACCAATAAATAATACAGGAAAAATTGAGCTGCTAGGACATGGTAAAAAATAAGAGTATATACAAAATCTATAAATACGGAAAGGAAGAGATTAGAGGAAATAGCTGCAGCAGATATGATAAAGAATCAGCAAATGCTCTTATTAAATTTATGATTAAGAGTATCAAGAAGCTGGGCAGGCGCGGTGGCTCACACCTGTAATCCCAGCACTTTGGGAGGCTGAGGAGGGCAGATCACGAGGTCAGGAGATTGAGACCATCCTGGCTAACACGGTGAAACCCCATCTCTACTAAAAATACAAAAAACAAAATTAGCAGGGCATGGTGGCGGGTGCCTGTAGTCCCAGCTACTCAGGAGGCTGAGGCAGGAGACCCGGGAGGCGGAGCTTGCAGTGAGCCGAGATCGCACTACTGCACTCCAACCTGAGCGACAGAGTGAAACTCCATCTCAAAAAAAAAAAAAAAAAGTGTCAAGAAGCCAATTACAAACAGACAAGGACACAGACAATATACAGAAAAGAAAATACAAATTTAAGTAAGTGGTAAGCTTTTCAATAGTACTGGTAATCAAATACATGAAAATGGAAATACTAACAAGATGCAATTTTGCATCTACAAATTTGAAACACTTTTGAAAACTAAACACAAGTGAGGCTATGGAGAAATATTAGTTGCTAATGGCATTGTAAATTGGTAGAATTGTACTGTGTAAAATTTAACAATACATATTAAAGGCAATAAAAATGTAGCCCCTCTCCCTCCATTCTGCATATTCTTGGGGGTTTATTTTCAGAAAATATATATATTTTTAAATTTTTTGAGACAGAGTCTTGCTCTGTCGCCCAGGCTGGAGTGCAGTGACATGATCTCAGTTCACTGCAATCTCTGTCTCCCAGGTTCAAGGGATTCTCCTGCCTCAGCCTCCCGAGTAGCTGGGATTACAGGTGCCCACCACCACACCTGGCTAATTTTTGTGCTTTTAGTAGAGACGGGGCTTTACCATGTTGGCCAGGCTGGTCTCCAATTCCTGACCTCAAGTGATCTGCCCGCCTCGGCCTCCCAAAGTGCTGGGGTTATAGGCGTAAGCCACCGCGCCCAGCAGAACATAATTGATAGAAAGAGATTTTAGTTGTTTAAAAATATTTTACAACAAATTTTCCCCAACAAAAGTAGAAATATCTTAAATGCGCAACACTAGAGAAATGATTAAGTGAATTAAGTCACCTTTACAGGACTGAATTATACAATTTTTTTTTTTTGAGACAGAGTCTCACTTTTTTGCCCAGGCTGAAGTGCAGTGGCATGATCTTGGCTTGCTGCAACCTCCACCTCCCAGGTTCAAGCGATTCTCCTGCCTCAGCCTCCCAAGTAGCTGGGATTACAGGTGTGTGGCACCATGCCCAGCCAGAATTATACAATTTTACAAGATAAGATTCACAACGAGGAAACTACTTATGAAACAACACCAAATGAAAAAGAGTAGAGCACAAATATGTATGTACATAAACTGTGATTACAATTATGTGAGATTTATACATATGGAGCAGGGAGAAAAACGTGTTGTTCCTTTGAAAAGCTAGAGGCAGAAATCCTCAGAAAGTGAGCTCTCTTAATTGTGCTGAATACTTCAAAGACCCTCATGTTTGTAGCAGTCTAGAGTATTGTAGCAATCTGGCCTGGGTTAGAGTGAGATAAGTAACACAGCATTGCTCTTCAAAATAAAGACAGACACGTTTTTAATTTCCTGGAGCAAGCAGAGGTGGGCAGAAATGGGGAGAAGATGGTGGAGATGAAGGGTGAGATCAGAGAAAGAAAGGTGGGCAAAAGGACAGGAGGCTAGAGACTTCAAGAGAAGAGATGGCCCAAGAGAATGTTCTAAGAACACCATGAGTCAGAAGTGCAAGAGAGAGCCTTGGGAGAGAGAGGGGGGGAAACAAAATCAAACAAAACAAATATCCCTAGAGAGCTGGAGAATTTAGGATCACCAGGAGGCCGACCTTTGGGTTATAGAGATAAAGACTGGAAGATAAGATTTCAAAAACTAAAAATAGCTACTATATTAGAGTAGTGGAATATAATTGAAAGTTGAAAATTTAATGTACATTTATTTTTTAATTTATTCCTGGGAAAATACCATACTCCTTTTTTTTTTTTTTTTTACTTGAGATGGAGTCTCACTCTGTCACTCAGGCTGGACTGCAGTGGTGCCATCTCGGCTTACTGCAACCTCTGCCTCCTGGGTTCAAACAATTCTCCTGCCTCAGCCTCTCGAGTAGCTGGAATTACAGGCATGCGCCACCATGCCCAGTTAATTTTTGTATTTTTAGTAGAGACGGGGTTTTGCCATGTCGGCCAGGCTGGTCTTTAACTCCTGGCCTCAAGTGATCTACCCACCTTGGCCTCCCATAGTGCTGGGATTACAGGTGTTAGCCACCATGCCTGGCCTGAATACATTATGATATAACTATACAATGAAATATTAGGCAGCTATTAAGCCAGATTTGTTCTCTATTTACTTAGAGGGACACATGAAATAAGCAAAGTGAAGAATATTGTGTATAGTCCGTGTGGCAGAGATTGCCAAATATCCCCCCAAGAGTCATTCTGTTTTTCTTTGGTAATAGAACCTCCAAATTTTAACCAGGCACATGACTAATCAGCTAAAGACTCTGTTTCCAAGCCTCCCTGGCAATTAGTTGTGTATATGGTTCTAAATTATGGCCAAGGGGAAATGACTAAAAATTATCTGTGTACCATTGAGATTTCGTTTTTGTTGTTGTGGTGGTGGTGGTGGTGGTGGAGTTTTTTTTTTCTTTTTTTTTTAAGTTCTGGAATACAATTTGCAGGACGTGCAGGTTTGTTGCATAGGTATACGTGTGCCATGGTGGTTTGCTAGACCTATCAACCTGTCATCTAGGTTTTAAGCCCCGCATGCATTAGGTATTTGTCCTAATGCTCTCCCTCCGCTTGCCCCCAACCCTCTGACAGGCCCCAGTGTGTGATGTTTCCCTCCCTGTGTCCATGTGTTCTCATTGTTCAACTCCCACTTATGAGTGAGAACATGTGGTGTTTGATTTTCTGTTCCTGTGTTAATTTGCTGAGAATGATGGCTTCCAGCTTCATCCATGTCCCTGCAAAGGACATGAACTAATTCTTTTTTATGGCTGTGTAGTATTCCATGGTGTATATGTGCCATATTTTCTTTAGCCAGTCTATCATTGATGGGCATTTGGGTTGATTCCAAGTCTTTGCTATTGTGAATAACGCTGCGATAAACATACGTGTGCATGTGTCTTTATAGTAGAATGATTTATAATCCTTTGGGTATATAACCAATAATGGGATTGCTGGGTCAAATGGTATTTCTGGTTCTATATCCTTGAGGAATAGCCACACTGTTTTCCACAATGGTTGAACTAATTTACACTTACACCAACAGTGTAAAAGCGCTTGTATTTCTCCACAGCCTCGTCAGCATCTATTGTTTCCTGACTTTTTTATAATCACCATTCTAACTGGATGAGACAGTATCTCATTGTGGTTTTGATTTGCATTTCTCTAATGACCAGTGATGATGAGCTTTTCTTCATATGTTTGTTGGCTGAGATTCCATTTTTAAAGAAAAGTAATGTTTCCCCTGCCCCCTTCCTTTTCCCTTCCTGTTGACTGGAATACAGACATGGTGTAAACCATCCTGGAGAATGTGGCTAAGGCAACCCCTGAAGAATGATGAGGCTGTAGTATGGAAGAATCTTGGATCCAAGATGACCTCAGAGAGCTTAGAACCATCTCACTAGTTTTGGGTCACCTTTCTCAGGATGTTTTGGGTGAGAGAGGTCAACTTCCATCTTGTTTAAGTCATAAATATGTTGATCTATTTCAGCAGCAGAATCTCAATCCTAACACAAAGCAATCTATTTTTGGCATATAAAAGAAATAGTAAGGCCAGGCGCGGTGGCTCATGCCTGTAATCCCAGTACTTTGGGAGGCCGGGACGGGCGGATCATGAGATCAGGAGATTGAGACCATCCTGGCTAACACAGTGAAACCCCATCTCTACTAAAAATACAAAAAAATTAGCCAGGCGTGGTGGCAGGTGCTTGTAGTCCCAGCTACTTGGGAGGCTGAGGCAGGAGAATGGTGTGAACGCAGGAGGCAGAGCTTGCAGTGAGCCAGGATCGCGCCACTGCACTCCAGCCTGGGCGACAGAGCGAGACTCTATCTCAGAAAAAAAAAAGAAAAAGAAAAGAAA
Organism: Homo sapiens; assembly: GCF_000001405.40. Lineage (NCBI taxonomy): Eukaryota > Metazoa > Chordata > Mammalia > Primates > Hominidae > Homo > Homo sapiens. Next base: position 96,758,951 of record NC_000010.11, on the reverse strand, counting down.
TAGTAAAACCCTTGGATATATGTGTATATGGAACTTAGAAAAGGTGTGGAAATACACATGCCAACTTGTTAACTTTGGTTTCCCAGCCGGTGGGTTGGAATGGAGTTGGGGATAATGAACTTTATCTCCATGGGAGGGTATGATATTCTCTCAACTGTGTTCTAGGCTGGCATTTTATGTTGCAAGGAAGGGACTCATTAATGGAGTTTAGTGTACAGATTCAAAGAGGTCACAGAAGCTCTAAAATCAGGAACCCAAGAACAGCTGGGTTCAGGGGAACAGGAAAGTAGTCAGGAACTATGGCTCATCTCTGCTTCTCACGGTGGCTTCCTGCTTGTGGCACAGCTGCTACTTGCCCATGGCCAGAAATAGTTGCTTCTTGATAATGTCTAGATCAGTGGTTTTCTAAGTGTGGCACTCTGGCCAGCAGCATCAGAATCATCTGAGAGCACACTAGAAAAGCATATTCTTGGGCCCTACCCTGAATCCACTGAATCAGAAACTCTGTGGGTCCCAGCAATCTATATTTTAACCAGCTCCTCTGGTGATTCTCATGAGCATTAAAGTTAGAGAACAACTGGTGTAGATGATATTCCAGCTCTAATACCTATACTTAATTGGCAATAAGATTTTTTAATTTAAGAGAGAGAGAGAGACAGAGTCTTTAATAGGCTCAATTTACCTTATTTTCACCAGGCTACAGAAATTATAGGTCACTTGTTGGCTGATGGATTTATTGGATCAGGTGTCCATCCCTATTCCAATCAATCTTTGCAAGGAGACCAGATCACAATTTATTTAACTCTTTCCTTGTGGCTATACATTTGCAGAATATCATTTTTTTTGCCATTGTACACACAACACACACACACACGTTCATAAAATCAAAAAGAGTGCAGATCAAAACATCACATTGTACCCCGTAAATATATAATGTATACAATTATTTTATTTTTATTTTCATTTTTACATTTTTTTTTTTTTTGGTCGCCCAGGCTGGATGGAGTGCAGTGGTGCAATCTTGGCTCACTGCAACCTCCGCCTCCTGGGTTCAAGCAATTCTCATGCCTCGGCCTCCATAGTAGCTGGGATTACAGAAGCACATGCCACCATGCTCATCTAAATTTCTTTTTGTATTTTTTTTAGTACAGATGGAGTTTCACCATGTTGGTCAGGCTGGTCTCGAACTCCTGACATCAAGTGATCTGCCCGCCTCAGCCTCCCGCTGGGATTACAGGCGTGAGCCACCACGCTCAGCGATTTTTACAACTTTTAAATGCTAAAAAAGAATGCACAATTTTATGGCCTTTATGTCATTTTTACTTCCATCAGCAGCGTGAGACTGTATCAGCACAGTATCATCAAATATTATAATTAAATTATTCTTGCTTTTTGGCTAATTTAACAACACCACTTTCCAAACAAAAACAAGTCATACCTTTATTTAAAAAAAAAAAAAAAAATGGCGCACCAGGCGTGGTGGCTCATGCCTGTAATCCCAGAACTTTGGGAGGCTGAGGCGGACGGATCACCTGAGGTCGGGAGTTCGAGACCAGCCTGACCAACATGAAGAAACCCTGTCTCTACTAAAAATACAAAATTAGCCGGGCGTGGTGGCACATGCCTGTAATCCCAGCTACTCGGGAGACTGAGGCAAGAGAATCGCTTGAACCTGGGAGGCGGAGATTGCAGTGAGTCGAGATCGTGCCACTGCACTCCAGCCTGGGCAATAAGAGCAAAACTCCATCTCAAAAAAAGAAAAAGTGGAGGGTTGAGAATATGCGGCAAGAGTCAAAACAGAGGCTTAAAGGGTCAGTGTCAGAGAGACACTGCCCGTGTTGTAATAGGCAAGTCATGGGGATGCAGAGAGGAAGGAGGAAGGGCTTATGGAGTGTTGTGGGCAGGGGTCATGGTAAGGGACTTGGGAAGAGGGCAAGGCATGGGCTGGGAGTCAGGGAAAGCTGAAAAGGTACTGGAAGATGTCACTCTTATCCTCTCATCAGAGCCACTTAATAGGTCTGATAAAAGGTGTCTCAAGAATCATGAGACATCTGGTAGCTCATGGGTTAAAAAGTTCACATATGTATGCATTATGGACTTAGAACTTGCTTGTGAAAAAAAAAAGAATTGGAAGAAGTGTATTTTTACATATTTTCAACAATTTTTTTTTTTTTTTGACAGTGTTTGGCTCTGTCGCCTAGGCTGGAGTGCAGTGATGCAATCACAGCTCACTGCAGCCTCCACCTCCTGGGCCCAGGTGATTCTTCCACCCCAGCCTCCTGAGTAGCTGGGAGTACAGGCACATGCCACCACGCCTGACTAATTTTTGTATTTTTTGTGTGTGTATGTGAAGACAGGGTTTCACCATGTTGCCCAGCCTGGTCTTGAACTCCTGGGCTCAAGTGATCCGTCCGCCTCAGCCTCCTAGAGTGCTAGGATTACAGGCATGAGCCACTGAGCCCAGCCATTCAATAACTATTTTTTTTTCCAGAAAAAATATGGGTCATAAAGGTGCGGGGAAAGGAAGAATAAATGGGAGATAATTTTGACCTCCTATAGATAATGAGGTTATTATATTTGGGCACTAACTGAGCTCTGTGAAAGAGAAAGGGAAACCAGGTCTATTTGCTGAAGCAAGTAAGGGCCCAGAATCTAAAGCTTCATGTAGGTTAATACAGTAGTGCCAGGATTCAGAATGCAGCTGCTGTAATTTGCATTTCTTGATTACTATCAATTATGGGCCTTTTAATATTTTTCTGTTTACTATTAATTCTCCTAATGCAAATTGTCTGTTCTTTTGTGCATTTATCCACTGGGTTCTTTTCTTCTTCTTCTTCTTTTTAATAGCTAGAATAAGATCTTTCTATGAACTCTTTTTTTCCCTACTAATCCTTTGTCATATCTGTGATGAATGTACTTTTTTTTAAGACAGGGTCTCACTTCGTCACCCAGGCTGGAGTGCAGTGGCACAATCATGGCTCTCTGGAGCCTCGACCTCCTGGTTTCAAGTGATTCTCCCACCTCAAGCCCCCAGATAGTTGGGACCACAGGTCTGTGACACCATGCCTGGCTAATTTTGAAATTTTTTTGTAGAGTCTGGATTTTGCTATGTTGCCCAGGCTGGTCTTGAACTCCTGAACTCAAAAGATCAGCCCTCCTCAGCCTCCCAAAGTGGTGGGATTACAGACATTAGCCCCTGTGCTTCCCCTATTTTTTAAATCTGATGTCTTCTTATCTTAATTTTGCTTAATTTTTAAGGTGTAGAAATGAAAAATTTTGCATATTTGAATGTCTGGCTTTAGTGATACTTTCTGAGTTGAGAAATTTACCAATCCTTCACAGATTTGATAAATAATCCATTCTCATTTCTTTTCGATTTTATTTAATGTGACTTTTATATTGAATACTTCAAACCATCTGGAGTTTCTTTTTGCAGTATGTTGTTAAGATAGAAATCTGATTTAATTTCTTCCCCAAATTACTATCCAATTATTCCAGCACCATTCAAAGAAAATGCCCTCACCTCAGGGTTTTTAAAAGCTTACAGTATCATATAATGAATTTATATTTAGTGGTGTCTATTTCTGGATTCTCCATTTTGTCCACCACTGTGTGTTGCTTTTCTTTTCCTTTTTTTTTTTTTTTTTTTTTTTGCCATTGCTACATTGTATTCCCTCCCACTTTTGTTAGATAACCGCATATTTAGAAGAGAAATTATCCAGGGCACTCACGGCAGAATCCTATTGTGATATTGTGATAGTTCTGGTTTTTTTTTTTTTTTTTGGACATCTGTTAATATATAACAAATCCATATGATAACATGTACATTTAACAGATAAAAGTACTACTTGTTTATTAGTATAAAAGTTATATATGCTCTTCACAAAGTTTTTGTTAATGACTTTATTATTGAGATATGATTCACATAGCATACAACTGACCCATTTAAAGTGTATAATTCAATAGCTTTTAGTATATTCACAGAGATGTGTAATCGTCACCACAATAAGTTCCAGAATATTCTCATTACCCCAAAAAGAACCTTTGCACCCTTTAGCCATCATCCCCTAATGCCCTCATTTCCTTGGTCTTGGGCAACCACGAATCTGCTTTCTACTTTCTGTCCATAGATTTGCCTATTTTGGACATTTCATAAAAACGGATTCATAAATTGTGGTCCTTTGTGACTAGCTTCTTTCACCTAGCATAATGTTTGCAAGGTTCATCCATGTTCAGTTCAGCATGTGTTAGTATTTCATTTTTTAAAGAAAAGATAGAAATGAAATCTTGCTATGTTGTCCAGGCTGGTCTTGAACTCCCGGCTTCAAGCGATCCTCCCACTTTGGCCTCCCAAAGTGCTGGGATTACAGGTGTGAGCCACAGTGTCTGGGCATCATTTCTTTTTATTGCCAAATAATATTCTGTCATATGGAAGTACTACATTTTATTTATTCATTCATCAGTTGATGGCTATTTGGGTTATTTTCACTTTTTGGCTATTAAGAATAATGCTTCTGTGAATATTAATGTATACATTTTTGTGTGAACATAGGTTTCCATTTCCCTTAGCTATACTCCTAAGAGTGGAATTGCTAGACCATGTTGTAAAAATTTTTAAACACAGGATTGCATAAAGTAAGAGTCATCTATACTGCCCCTCAACATCTCCTTCCCTAAGTCAGTCAAGTACTTTAATATTTGGGAGCATATCCTTCTTTGTTCCCAGGATGCACATATGTACCCCTCTTTTTCTGCTTGTTTTCACTATTCCTTCTTTACTTTCTTAAAAAATTACTTTCTCTTTTCCTCCTTCCCTTCTCTGTCTTTCTCTCTTCTTTAATGAAAATGGAAAGGAACCCAGTGGAGGAAAGATCATAGCCCAGGGGCACAGCCTAGCCTGCAGACCATACATTATTTTGGTCTAGTCTCCTGCTGAGAGCTTTGACCCACCGAACAGAGGAGAGAGTGTAACAGGGAGACTGTGGCCCTTGCTCTCCCCTTCACCATCCCCTCTGCACCTCTATAGGTAATCACCACCATGCTGAACAAAATCATTACATGTAGCAGAAGAGACATTCCTGGGCAACGCTTAGTCTTCCTCACCATCCTCCACCCACCCTTGCTAGCATAGGGTTAGAGTTAGGAGTTCAGTTTGCAAAGGAAAGTTGATATTTATAAAGAAAAATAAAACAAGTGCCTGTTTGTATCATTGTCAATCATACCTTTTACATTTATCCAATATTGCTACCATAGTGACCTCTCTTACCAATTCTAATGGTTTTTAGTTGCCTCTCTTGACTTTTCTAATACAATTATATCTCTGACAAACAGCTTCTATTTTTTCCTTCCTGTATTTTACCTCAGTTACTTTGCTTATAGCACTAGAACGTTGTTTCTTTCCCCCTCCCCTCCCTTCTCCTCTCCTCTCCTTTCACAGAGTCTCACTCTTGTCGCCCAGGCTGGAGTGCAGTGGGGCGATCTCAGCTCACTGCAACCTAAACTTCCTAGGTTCCAGTAATTCTCCTGCCTCAGTCTTCCAAGTAGCTGGGATTACAGGCGCACGCCACCACACCTGGCTAATTTTTTGTATTTTTAGTAGAGACAGGGTTTCACTATGCTGACCAGGCTGGTCTCAAACTCCTGACCTCAAGTGATTTGCCTGCCTCAGCCTCCCAAAGTGCTGGGATTGCAGGTGTGAGCTACCGCACCCAGCCTAGAACAGTGGTTCTTAATTCTATCACATTTATAACAAAGAATATGTAACAATACTTTTAATAATCTAAAATGAAATTTGTAGGCAATATAAGCCACTTAATCTCATAATTTCTAAACCATAAGTATTATGCTATAAGGTAATAAGGACTTAAGGAGAACCTAAGGAAAAGAATTCTATAATAAGATAGTATTACTTCAATATGTAAATGTTAGGGACGGAAATATACTAACAGCCATAATGAAGCTGTCAGAGATACTTCTATCTATGTCCATTACCACTGGGAATGTGACAACACACATTTAGACTGATACTAGGCTACTCAAATATCTACCATGGTGCTACAGGTACAAGATTTTTCCAAATGCTCAACAACTTTTGATACAGTTTGGAAAAAGCAAAGTACGATATTCCCTCACACTATGTGCTAGTTTCATTCTTGGAATTTTTTCAGTGTATTATTAAATCCTTGCAAAGGACTTAATCCTTGAATTCATATGTAAAATATCAACTCCCTGATCATTATGATAACTAAATATGCTCCCACATTCTTCCAATACATTTCCTAGAAGGTATATATGTATACATCTCTAAGGGTGTATGTACCTCCCCTGTAGAGACCCAGTGGTGATTCCAGAATGATACTGCAGTACAATGCTGAGTCATAGATGTTAGCAGGCACTTGTCATTAAAACGCGTGTTTCACCATTCCCTATGATATTTGGTCTTGGTTTCTTTTTCTTTAATTAAAAAAAAATTTTAACATTTTCTTGGATACCAACACTCTTGGTTTCTGATGGATAATCTTTATCGCGTTAAAGAAGTTTTCCCTTTCTTTCTTTCTCTTTCTTTCTTTCTCTTTCTTTCTTTCTCCTTCCTCCCTCCCTCCCTCCCTTCCTTCCTTCCTTCCTTTCCTTCTCTCTTTCTCTCTTCCTTTCTTTCTTTTTTCTTTTTTGACAGAGTCTCACTCAATCACCCAGGCTGGAGTGCAGTGGCACAATCTCAGCTCACTACAACCTTCTGTTGCCTGGGTTCAAGCAATTCTCATGCCTCAGCCTCCCGAGTAGCTGGGACTACAGGCGTGCGCCACCATGCTCGGCTAATTTTTTTGTATTTTTAGTAGAGATAGGGTTTTGCCACGTTGGCCAAGCTGGTCTTGAACTCCTGACCTCAGGTTATCCACCTACCTCGGCCTCCCAAAGTGCTGGGATTACAGGCATGAGCCACTGTGCCTGGCCAGAAGCTATTATTAGTTTCTCTTCATTGTTTTTGTTTCTAGAACATGAGTTTTAACTTTTATTAAACACCTTATTAGCACCTATTGAGGTGATCTTAGGGTCATACTCCTTTATTAACAGAATGATTTATGGCCGGGCGCGGTGGCTCACGCCTGTAATCCCAGCACTTTGGGAGGCCGAGGCGGGCGGATCACGAGGTCAGGAGATCGAGACCACGGTGAAACCCCGTCTCTACTAAAAATACAAAAAATTAGCCGGGCGCAGTGGCGGGCGCCTGTAGTCCCAGCTACTCGGGAGGCTGAGGCAGGAGAATGGCGTGAACCCAGAAGGCGGAGCTTGCAGTGAGCGGAGATCGCGCCACAGCACTCCCGCCTGGGCGACAGAACGAGACTCCGTCTCAAAAAAAAAAACAAAAAAAAACAAAAAACAGAATGATTTATATTAATAGTGTTTCTAATATTTATTGCAAAGTTTTTTTTTGTTATTTGAGATGGAGTCTCGCCCTGTTGCTCAGGCTGGAGTGCAGTGGTAGGATCTCAGCTCACTGCAAACTCCGCCTCCCAGGTTCACACCATTCTCCTGCCTCAGCCTCCCGAATAGGTGGGACTACAGGCGTCCACCACCACGCCTGGCTAATTTTTTGTATTTTTAGTAGAGACGGGGTTTCACCATGTTGGCCAGGATGGTCTCGATCTCCTGAACTCGTGATCCGCCTGCCTCGGACTCCCAAAGTGCTGGGGTTACTAGGTGTGAGCCACCGCCCCTGGCCTATTGCACAGTTTTAATGTAAATTATAGCAAATTAAAATAGCTAGAAAATCAAAACCACCTGATTTTGTTTACTTTCCACATTTTTCTTAATATTCTTGCTTATGTATTCTATTTTTAATCATTTTTGAGGAATATTTTGCATAAAATGCAATTCATTCACTTAAAGTATACACTTTGACTAATTGTCACAAATTTGTATTACATGTAATAACCACTATAGCCAAGACATAGAATGTTTCCATTAGTCTCTAGTTCCCTCGTGCTCTTTTTTTTCCTTTTTCTTTTTTTTTTTTTTTTTTTTTTTTTTAGGAATTAACAGTCTTTATTGGGCTCAGACCAGGAGTCCGTGGGTCTTGAGGACCTCTGTGTATTTGTCAATTTTCTTCTCCACGTTCTTCTCGGCCTGTTTCCGTAGCCTCATGAGCTGTTTCTTCTTCCGGTAGTGGATCTTGGCTTTCTCTTTCCTCTTCTCCTCCAGGGTGGCTGTCACTGCCTGGTACTTCCAGCCAACCTCGTGAGCCAGGCGCCCCAGATAGGCAAACTTTCTTGTAGGCTTCAGACGCACGACCTTGAGGGCAGCAGGAACCACCATCCGCTTTTTCTTGTCGTAGGGCGGTGGGATGCCGTCAAACACCTTGAGACGGTCCAGAGCGGCCTGGCCTCGCTTGGTCTTGTGGGGCAGCATACCTCGCACGGTCCGCCAGAAGATGCGGCTGGGGGCCCGGAAGTGGTAGGGGACTCGGGAAGGGTTGGTGTTCATCCGCTTGCGGAGGAAAGCCAGGTACTTCAACTTGTTTCTGTAGAAATTGCCAGAAATGTTGATGCCTTCACAGCGTACAACCACCACCTTCCGGCCCAGCAGTACCTGTTTAGCCACGATGGCCGCCAGGCGGCCCAGGAGATGGCCTCGACCATCAAGCACCAGGACCTGCACCTCCGCCATCTTCGGCAGCCGCTTGGGAAAGCTCTTTTTTTTTTTTTAATAGAGAGAGTGTTTCACCATGTTGCCCAGGCTGGTCTTGAACCCTGAGCTCAAACAATCCTCCCGCCTCAGCCCCTCAAAGTGCTGGGATTACAGGTGTGAGCCACCGTGCCAGGTCTACCTCATACTTTTTTTTTTTTTTTGAGATGGAGTGTCATCCTGTCACCCAGGCCGTAGTGCAATGGTGCAATCTTGGCTCACTGCAACCTCCGCCTCCCTGGTTCAAGAGATTCTCCTGCCTCGGCCTCCCAAATAGCTGGGATTATAGGTGCCTGCAACCACGTCCGGCTACTTTTTGTATTTTTAGTAGAGACCAGGTCCATGTTGGCCAGGCAGGTCTCGAACTCCTGACCTCAAGCTATTCGCCCGCCTCGGCCTCCCAAAGTGCTGGGATTATAGGGATGAGCTGCTGCACCTGGCCTCATCCATGTTTTGTGTACATCAATAGTGCATCCTTTTTATTACTGATTAGTTAGTATTCCATTGTAAGAATGTTTTTATTTTTAATTTTTATTTTATTTATTTATTTATTGAGACAGAGGCTCACTCTATTACATAGGTGGAGTGCAGTGACACAATCTTGGCTTACTGCAGCTTCTGCCTCCCAGGTTCAAGCAATTCTCATGCCTCAGCCTCCCGAGTAGCTGGGATTACAGGTGCACACCACCAAGCCTGCTAATTTTCAGTAGAGACGGGGTTTTGCCATGTTGGCCAGGCTGGTCTTGAACTCCTGATCTCAAGTGATCCGCCCGCCTTGGCCTCCCAAAGTGTTGGGATTACAGGCGTGAGCCACTGCACCCAGCCTGTTGTAAGAATATATCAGTTTTTTAATCTGATGAACATTTGGGTTGTTTCCAGCCTGAGCTATTATGAATAAGGCTGCTGTGAACATTCATGTATAAGTCATTGTGTGAATACAGGTTTTCATTTATCTAGGAGTGGACTGGCTGGCTCGTGTGTTGTTTATTTAACTTTATAAGAAACTTACCAAACTAATTTTCAAAATGGTTGTACCATTTTGCATCTCTACCTGTAGTGTGGATTAAGGCCTAACTTCTGCTTTCACAAAGGTCATCATCCCCAGAATAGAGCCCGGTCCACCTCTCCCAATCTTTTCTTTCTTTGTTTTCTTCTCTTTGCCTTTCTTTTTTTCTTTCTTTTCTTTTTTTTTTTTTTTTTCTGAGATAGCATCTTGCTCTGTCACCCAGGCTGCAGTGCAGTGGTATGATCAGAGTTCACTGCAGCCTGAACCTCCCAGGTGCAAGTCATCTTCCTGCCTCCACCTCTCAAGTAGCTGGGACCACAGGTGAATGCCACCATGCCCAGCTTATATTTATTTATTTATTTGAGACAGAGTCTCTCTCTGTCACCTAGGCTGGAGTGCAGTGGTATGATCTCAGCTCACTGCAACCTCTGCCTCCCGGGTTCAAGTGATTGTCATGCCTCTGCCTTCTAAGTAGCTGAGATTACAAGTGTGCGCCACCACGCCCAGCTAATTTTTGTATTTTTAGTAGAGACGGGTTTTCATCATATTGGTCAGTCTGGTCTTGAACTCCTGACCTCAAATGATCTGCCCGCATTGGCCTCCCAAAGTGCGGGAATTACAGGTGGGAGCCACTGCGCCTGGCTCCAGCTAATTTATTTTTATTTTCTGTAAAGACAGAGTCTTGCTATGTTTTCCAGGCGAATCTTTGCTTTTCTATGAATGAGTGGGTGCCTAAGTTTGAGAGAAGGAAGTGGGGGTGAGGGGTGGGGTTGTCCATAGAGTATGCTGAGTTTTACGGCAGCCCCGTCTGTGGGCATTTCCTGGGCAGGGCAGTGGCATCTGACCCTTTCAGACCATGGGGCAACAGCTCCAAATTCTCACCTTGGTGGTTGATTCATCAAGTACTGAACAAAGGAAAATACTAAAAGATTATTGAAAGGGGAAGTGGCTAGAATGGGCCCATTGTCACGTGTGTGAATGACTCTTTGTGCTTGTCTTTTACCAGATGGGAATCCTTATCTGCTTTCTGTTTTCGATATTTGTCAGAGAAATGTGTCTAGGGCTTCATCCTTTCCCTTCCCATAACCTTTTACCTCAGGTTGCAGCCAAAGAGGAAGCAGAAGTTCTGCTGTCAAAAGGGGAAGAAGAAAAGGTAATGGTGACTCTCCCCAGACAATAAAAACTCACATAAAACTGGTTTAAAAGTAACACAGCCTAGTGAAGCCAGACTCACCGACAGAGCCTGGGTCTTCAGCAGTTAGACAAGTTGGCCAGGAGCACACCAGGGCAGTTGGGAGCAGGGAGAGCAGACAGCCCTTTACTGCCATCCCCTTCAAAGATGCCCAAGGACATGCCCAGCCCAGGCTGGTCCACTGACAGCAGTGGGGATGGAAAGGCCCATGGCTTTCTGAGGGTTCATTTACCTCCCAGGCTGTCTGAGCATCTGGACTTTTCCCTCTGTCCTTCCTTCCACAGGCAGCGCTTCCAGGAGCACTCCCTGGTAAGCATGCATCGCACACACATAATTGCTTTTTTTTGTTTGAGAGAGGGTCTCACTTGGTTGCCTGCGCTGGAGTGCAGTGGTGTGATCACGGCTCACTGCAGCCTCGACCTCCTGGGCTCAAGCAATCCTTCCACCTCAGCCTCCCGAATAGCTAGGACTACAGGTATGTACCACCATACCCAGCTAATTTTTCTATTTTTTTTTTTTAAAGATGGAATTTCGCTCTTGTTGCCCAGGCTGGAGTGCAGTGGTCCAATCTCCGCTCACTGCAACCTCTGCCTCCCAGGTTCAACCAATTCTGCCTCAGCCTCCTGAGTAGCTGGGATTACAGGCATCCACCACCACATCCAGCTAATTTTTGTATTTTTGTATTTTTTTAAGTAGAGATGGGGTTTCATCATGTTGGCCAGGCTGGTCTCGAACTTCTGACCTCAGGTGATCCACCTGCCTTGGCCTCCCAAAGTGCAGGGATTACAGGTGTGAGCCACTGCACCAGGCCAATTTTTGTATTTTTTGTGGAGATGGGGTTTTGCCATGTTGCCCAGGCTGGTCTCGAACTTCTGGGCTTAAGTGATCTGCCCGCCTTGGCCTCCCAAAGTGCTGGGATTACAGGTGTGAGCCACCATGTCCAGCCGTGCACACTTAATTCCTTCTCAGAGTTTGCTTCCTGGGGAGCACAACTGGGACAATTACTTAGGGAAAAAAGTAAGCAGTGAACTTCTATGATCCTATTTGTGTGACGAATATATATATACTTCCAAATGCGTAGAAAATTTGTGGAACCACACAAAAGGTGCTGTTAACAATAGCCACCTTCAAGGATGAGGTCTGGGATCTTTTGGGATGGGGAAGGTGTGGCTTTATACTCTTTACCATAAACATGAATTACTTTTTCTTTTATCATTAAAAAAGCCTTTTACTTCTGAAGAGGCATGCAGTCGAAATATGAATAGTTGTCATAGCTGCTGTTTGTGAAACACGTTCTACATACCATCTATTTCAGCACGCATTCCCTAGTCCTCACAGTGATGCAAAGAGGTGGATGCCTGATTACACCATTTTGCAGATAAGGACACTGAGTGTCAGAGATGCCAAGTGACTGGTCCAGGAGCATTGGTTACCAGGCAGAGGAACTGGAATAGACTTGGGCTGTCACTCCAAAGTTCAGGTTCTTTCTGAGCTTAATCAGGATGTGTGTCTTTCTGTCAGCCCAAATGATACCTTATGTTCTAAGCCAAGAATATGGTATGGGGGAAAGAGCAAATTACTGGGAGTTGAGCAAGCTTCTGTTCCTGTTGCCATCATTAGCTAAGTGACCTCTGTGCCATTTATTTATTTATTTATTAGAGACTGGGTCCCACTATGTTGCCCAGGTTAATCTCAAACTCCTGAGCTCAAGAGATCCTCCTGCCTTGGCCTCCTGAAGTGCTGGGATTACAGGCCTGAGCCACCATGCCTGGCTTCTCTGTACCATTTATTGTCTCTGTGCTGCACTCACCTCATCTGGAAAATTCCCAAAGGCAGTTTGGTGTAGAGACAGAACCAAAAAGCTCTGGGGTTGACATAGCTGTATCCCTCTATTTACTGTGTGATTTTTAGTAAGTTACTTAACCTCTCTGAGCCTCAGTTTTCCATTCTCTGAAGAAGAGAAAATGGGTTGTAAGACTCAGGGTTGTTATGAGGGTTAAATAAGATAGTGTAACAGCATTTATTGTATTCTAAGCACTCAAAAAAAGAACTCTCTCCTCCTTGAAATATAAACTTTGATTTTGGGGGTAAAGAAAAACTGCCCATAGTTTTAGTATAAGTAACAACACCCAATTTGATGAAGAAAATATGTTTAATGTATGTGAAAGGACTGGTTTGGGATTCTTTTATGGTTCAGCAGAAGAAAGAAACCATTTTTCTCATACCCATAGTCTAACTCCACACAGATCCACTGACAGATCTCCTAGGGGGATAGGCTGTCCTGGATGGGAAGTGAGAGAGCGAGAGGTCCCACCTGGAGAGTGTGAAGGGGAAAAAACGAATCCCTAGACTTGGGAAGAGTGATATTATTGTGGGTTGAATGGTGGCTCCCAAAAACGTGGCCCACATCTTAACCCCTGGAACCCGTGAATGTGACGTTATTTGGAAAAAGGGTCTTTGCAGATATAATCCCAAGGTGAGATCATCCTGGATTATCTGTTGGGTTTTTTTTTTGTTTTGTTTTGAGATTGAGTCTTGCTCTTGTCACCCAGGCTGGAGTGCAGTGGCACGACCTCAGCTTACTGCAGCCTCCGCCTCCAGGTTCAAGTGATTCTCTTGCCTCAGCCTCCGGAGTAGCTGGGATTACAGGTGTGTGCCACCACACTTGGCTAATTTTTGTATTTTTTTTTTTTTTTAATTTTAGTAGAGACAGGGTTTCACCATGTTGACCAGGCTGGTCTCGAACTCCTGATCTCAGGTGATCTGCCTGCCTTGGCCTCCCAAAGTGCTGGGATTACAGGCATGAACCACCACGCCCAGGCCATCCTGGATTATCTGGATGGACCCTAAATCCAATGACAAGTGTTCTTATAAGAGACATAGAAGAGAGACCTGGGGAAAAGAGGTGATATGAGGAGGGAGGCAGAGATCTGAGTTATGCAGCCACAAGCCAAGGAACTCCTGGAGCCACCAGAAGCTGGAAGGAGCAATGAAGGATTGTCCTCCATGTCTTCAGAGGGAGTGCCGTCCTGCTGACACCTTGATTCCAGACTTTTGGCCTCCTGAATTGTGAAAGAATAAACATCTGGTTCAGGCCTGGTGGCTCATGTCTATAATCCCAGCACTTTGGGAGGCTGAGGTGGGCAGATTGCTTGAGCCTAGGAGTTTCAGACCAGCCTGGGCAACATGGCGAAACCCTATTTCTACAAAAAAAATCCCCCCAAAATTAGCCGGATATGGTGACATGCGCTTGTAGTCCCAGCTACTTGGGAGGCTCAGGTGGGAGGATCACTTTGAGTCTGGGGGGCAGAGGTTACAGTAAGCCAAGACTGCACCACTGCATTCCAGCTTGGGTGACAGAGTGAAGCCTTATCTGAAAATTTAAAAAAAAAATTGTGTAGTTTTAAGCCATGAAATTTGTGGTAATGTGTCACAGCAGCCACGGGGAACTAATACAAGTGGCATGGGACAATTTTAGTGGCAACTCTGGGAAAAGAACCAAGATTAAAAGACATCAAGAGAGGACCCATTCAACTAAATATGTAGCATCAGACAATAGGGATGCAGACCTCACACCGACGACATACTAACCTTCTGAAACCAAGTCACACAGAGAGGGAAGTAGGTCAGTAGAACCGACAGGACATCAGGGTAGGAAACCAAAGAGGCCGTGTTGCCTGAAGTGAGGGATGCCGGCCATCTCAGATCCTGCCCCAGCAATGGCAAAATGGATCTCTCAGATGCTGGGAGATTAGACAGAGATATACAAAGAACGAGCACATTTCTGTTAGAATAGGAAAAAATAAAAAATAAAAGGGAAATGGTCAAGAGGTAGGAAGATATAGCTTCCTCTCAAGGAGCCAATAGCCACTGGGGTGTGCTGTTTTCTCATGATCAAAGGTTTGAGAGGGATGACTCACAAGCCTCTACTGAAGGGTCTCACAGAGAAATGCACCAAAAAGAAAGGGTATGGAAGCAACCTAAGTGTCCAGTACCAGAGGACAGGTGAAATGATAGCACAGCCGCACAACAGGGCATGATGCAGCCACAGTGCTGTGGATGAATGTTCACTCAATTGAAATATGTTCAAGACATATTAAGTGCAGAAAGCAAGCGTGAAACAGTAGGTACAATGTAATCCTGTTCCTCATATGTAAAATGCAGATGAAGGTAATAGTAGTTACCCTATAGAATTGTTACAAGCATTTGATTAATATATGCAAAGTGCTTGGCAGTACCTAGAACATGTAGATGCTGTACAGCATCACTGTTTTATCATCACTTATTTTTTTTTAATTCTTAACATTTTTATTTTATTTATTTATGTTTAGACAGAGTCTTGCTCTGTCACCCAGGCTGGAATGCAGTGGTGCAATCTCGGTTCACTGCAACCTCCACCTCCCAGGTTCAAGTGATTCTCGAGCCTCAGCCTCCCAAGTAGCTGGGACTATAGGTGCATGACCCCATGCCCAGCTAATTTTTGTATCTTATTTTATTTTTGAGATGAAGTTTCACTCTTGTTGCCCAGGCTGGAGTGCGATGGTGTGATCTTGGCTCACTGCAACCTCCACCTCCCGGGTTCAAGAGATTCTCCTGCCTCAGCCTCTCGAGTAGCTGGGATTACAGGGGCCCGCCACCACGCCCAGCTAATTTTTGTATTTTTAGTAGAGACAGGGTTTCACCATGTTGATCAGGTGGGTCTCAAACTCCTGACCTCAAGTGATCGGCCCGCCTCGGCCTCCCAAAGTGCTGGGATTACAGGCATGAGCCACCGTGCCCGGCCTAAAACAATTTTTTTTTTAATATGGAATGCTTCGTGAATTTGCATGTCATCCTTGCACAGGGGCCATGCCAATCTTCTCTGTATTGTCCCAATTTTAGTATATGGGCTGCCGCAGTGAGCACTATCATCGCTTCTTTTAAGTATTCAGGTCCACTGTTCTGACCCTTGGGGGTCAATGTATTTTGTGATTCAAACTTTTTCAGATTTTACAAAGGTGTATAATTATGGAACATCCTTAGTGTGCTTGAAGTAGCAACTCACGACAGCCAAATTCATTAATATTTCTGCAGTGAAACATACGAGTATTCACATTAAGTGAGATAACTGAAGAATATAAATAGCACCACATCAGTTTGGATCAGGTGGTGCAGCCAAATAAATTCACTACAAACTTGGAAAACAAACACAAAAACAAAACAACCTTGTGGTTCCAGGGATTTTTGCCTGGGGGAATTACAGATGAGAGACTGTCGACCTGTTTATATAGAAGCATCAGGAAAGCCTGAATGCATTGTCTTGTTACGGTGCTGCTGCTCACTGAGGAGACTGCGGCTTATTTTTATTTTTATTTTTGCCTTTTGACTTTGCTGTTTTAATTTTTCTGCACTGAGTATTAAATACTTTTTTGCCTATAGTTTCTTGAATTTCAATCGATTCAGATAAATGTAACACAAATTTAACCCAAGGAGAATATTGCGTTGCTCAGTGGACCTCAAAAAGATCATAGCCAGCATTGGGTTCACAATTTTCATTTGCACCTTTAAGAAAGTATATTTTTCTGGGGAGGCAGGGAACACTAAAGGAGATGGAGCGGGTTTTTCTATTCTTTTTCTTCTGTCTTTAAGTTGGTCCCACCAACACAGTCCATATCCAGAACTAGTTAATTCCTCATCTAGGGCTTGCTTTACCTCCCCTCCCCTCCCCTCCCTTTCCTCTCTCTCTCTCTCTCCCCCTCCCCTCCCCTTTCTTTTTTGAGATGGAGTCTTGCTCTGTCGCCCAGGCTAGAGTGCAGTGGCGTGATCTCGGCTCACTGCAACCTCTGCCTTCTGGGTTCAAGCAATTCGCCCACCTCAGCCTCTGGAGTAGCTGGGACTACAGGTGCGCGCCACCATGCCCAGATACTTTTTGTATTTTTAGTAGAGACAGGGTTTCATCATATTGTCCAGGCTGGCCTTGAACTCCTGACCTTGTGATCTGCCCGCCTCAGCCTCCCAAAGTGCTGGTATTACAGGCATGAGCCACCGTGCCCAGTCCCTCCTCTTTCATGATAAATATATATTAGTTTTACATTAAAAAGTAAAACAAGGCCAGACATGGTGCATTCTGCCTGTAATCCCAGCATTTTGAGAGGCTGAGGTGGGAGGATTGCTTGAGGCCAGGAGTTCAAGACCAGCCTGGGCAATATAGCCAGACCCGGTCTCTACCAAAAATGAACTGAGTTAGCTTGGCATGTTGGTATGTGTCTGTAGTCCCGGCTACTCGGGAGGCTGAGGCAGGAAGATGGCTTGAGCCCAAGATTTTGAGGTGGCAGTGAGCTGTGATTGCATCACTGTACTACAGCCTGGGCGAGAGAGCAATACCTTATTTCTCTAAAGAAAAAAAATAAGGGAATCAGGCGTTGTAGCTCACGCCTGTAATCCCAACACTTTGAGAGGCTGAGGTGGGTGGATCACCTGAGGTCAGGAGTTTGAGACCAGCCTGGCCAACATGATGAAATTCTGTCTCTACTAAAAATACAAAAATTAGCTGGGTGTCGTCGTGGGCGCCTGTAGTCTCAGCTACTCAAGAGGCTGAGGCAGGAGAATTGCTTGAACCCAGGTGGCAGAGGTTGCAGTGAGCTGAGATCGCACCACTGCGCTCCAGCCTGGGTGACAGAGCGAGACTCTGTCTCAAAAATAAATAAATAAAATTAAAATTAAAAAAAAGGTAAATCAGTAACCACAATAAACTGAAAAATAAATAGAATGTGGGGACAAGTGAGAGAAGTGTGTGTGGACAGGGGAAATGGGGGAAGAAGGACCCTGCAGGGACACGGAGGGGGTTTAGGGGAGGTTTTTAGGGAGTGAGCTGCCTCATGAGTCAGGAAGGAGATGTTGCTGGGCAGAGCTGCAGTCAGTGAGGCAGGGAGAGGTGGCTGTTCTGGGCGACTTTGCAGCTCAGGGCAGGCGCAGGGCCCAGAAGGGGAACGGGAAGTGTCGAAACATCCGTGGGACGCCCTGCTGAGTTCTCCAACCCTGAAACCCGGGACCCTTTCCTGTACAGCTTCTTGGGAGCTTGAACAATTTGAGGGAGGTGACATATCCAGGAGGAAATTTCAATGCACATGTGTGAGGTCTTCTAGTCAACTGTCTATGTGGTTGAGGATTCCTTAGAATGATGAAAAACAAGCACTAATAGAAGGACCTGTGGCTATATCTACATCATCTATGTCTATGTATATATTTATTTTAAATCATGAGCCTTGCCAGACTCGGATTGGCTGATGGTTGAGGGACTTCTGCCAGAGGGCTGGCCAACCTGGGAAAGGGAAGTGTGCCTAAGCTAATGGAGGTTACAGAAGAAGGGGTGGGAAAGGCTTGCAGAAATTCTAAATAGAAAAGGAGCTTTGGATTAGGCAAGTCATATGTGGACTTTAAGGACATTGGAAGGTAGAAAATGCCAGATGAGGAAGACATCATGTACACACAAAATCTATAGCCCCAAGCCCTGATCCCTGTTGTCAGGACCCAAGACCAATTGCTAGTGAAGGGACACAGAGGCGAGAGAGTCCCAGAGGAAGGAGACCCTCCAGGGAAGGGTTCAGGAGGCAACAGCTCCCTCACAGTTCACAGAGGAGCCCTCATCCCCCAGCAAAGTCCATGAGCTGCCCAGGAGAGAAAGCTGATTTCTTTCCCACTTACCATGCGTAGGAGGACCCCCATGAGAATCTGGGCCTACCCATATGGCCAGCTCTTGGAGGCCTAGGACGGCCCAAGGGGCAAGGCTCAACAGAAGGTCAGGGCTGCCTCGGTGGAAGGGCTGCTGAGTGTGTGTGACGGACCTATGACGTGTGACCTGGCAGTGACTCTTAAACTAGGCTTTGCGGTACCCTGGACCAAGGCAGTCTACAGCTAAAACAGGAGTCTTTTCTGCATTTGTAGATAGAATTATCTTAATTTTAAAAATATTATTTTGGCTGGGTGTGGTGGCTCACGCCTGTAATCCCAACACTTTGGGAGGCCGAGGCAGGCAGATCACCTGAGGTCAGGAGTTCAAGACCAGCCTGGCCAACATGGCGAAACCCCATCTCTACTAAAAGTACAAAAATTAGCCGGGTGTGGTGGCACATGCCTGTAATACCAGCTACTGGGGAGGCTGAGGCAGGAGAATCGCTTGAACCCGGGAGGCGGAGGCTGCAGTGAGCCAAGATCGCGCCATTGCACTCCAGCCTGGGCAACAAGAGTGAGACTCCGTCTCAAAAACATAATTTCTTTCTTTCTTTCTCTCTTTCTTTCTTCCTTCCTTCCTCCCTCCCTCCTTCCCTTCCCTTCCTTTCCCTTCCCTCCCCTCCCCTCTCTCTCTCTCTTTCTTTCCCTCCCTCCCTCCCTCTCTCTCTTTCTTTCTAGATGGAGTCTCTCTCTGTTGCCCAGGCTGGAGTGCAGTGGTGCAATCTCGGCTCACTGTAGTAGTCCCCATCTTGGTGTAGAGTAAGTAGTTCCTGCGACTTGGGAGGCTGAGACAGGAAGATTGCTTGAACCAGGGAGTTTGAGACTGTGGTGAGTTGAGATGGCACTATTGTACTACAGCCTGGGTGACAAAGTGATACCCTGAAAAGAAAGAGAGAGAGAAAGAGAAGGAAGGAAGGAAGGAGGAAAATAGAAGAGGAGTCATCACTACTGATTTCATGGACATTAAAAGGATAATAAAGCAGCTGGGCCTGGTGGCTCACACCTGATCCCAGCACTTTGGGAGGCTGAGGCAGGTGGATCACTTGAGGCCAGTAGTTCGAGACCAGTCTGGTCAACATAGTGAAACCCCCTCTCTACTACAAATACAAAAATGTAGCTAGGCGTGGCGATGCGTGCCTGTAATCCCAGCTACTTGGGAGGCTGAGGCACGAAAATTGTTTGAACCCAGGAGGCAGAGGTTGCAGTGAGCTGAGATCACTCCAGCCTGAGCAACGAAGTGAGACTTCGTCTCAAAAAAAAAAAATATTATGAACAAACTCTATGCCTACAAATTTGAAAACTTAGATGAAATTAACCAATTCCATGAAAGATACAAACTATTTTACTATCTTATATGGGCACAGTTCTGGGTGCCCTAAAACAATTGCAATAGTAACATCTAATATCACTGATCATAGATCACCATAACAGATATAACCATAAAATAAAGTTTGAAAGATTGCAATAATTATGAAACTGTGACACAGAGACACTAGTGATCACATGCTGTTGGAAAAACGTACCAATAGATTTGCTCAGTGCATGGTTGTCACAAACCTTCCATTTGTAAAAAAACACAAAATCTGAGAAGTACAATAAAGTGAAGTGCAATAACACAGGGTATGCCTGTAACTCAAAATGGATTATAGATCTAAATGTAAAGCACACACCTATCAAAATTTGAGAAGCTCACATCAGAGAAAAGCTTGGTTACTTGGGTTTGGCTGTTACTTTTTAGATATAACACCAAAGCACAACGCATGAAACAAGAAAATTGACAAGTTGGGCTTCATTAAAACAAAAAACTACTGCTCTGTGAAAGTTTGACACTGTTCAGACTGTAAAGAGAAGCCATAGATTGGGAGAAAATTTCTGCAAGACATGCACCTGAGAAATAAAGAACTTGCATCCAAAATATACAAGGAACTCTTAAAATTCAACAGTAAAAAAACCCCAAACAGTCCGATTATAAAATGGACAAAATACCTAAATAGGCACTTCACAAAAGAAGATATACAGATGGCAAATAAGTATATGAAAAGATACTCAACACCATATGTCATTAGGGGACTGCAAATTGCTGTATAATTCAGCAATTGTGCTTCTAGGTATTTACCCAATTGAAATTATGTCCACATAAAAGTCTGCCCACAGGCCAGGTGCTGTGGTTTAGGCCTGTGATCCCAGCACTTTGGGAGGGCCAAGCAGGAGGATTGTTTGAGCCCAACGTAGCAAGCCTCTATCTCTACAAAAAGTTTAAAAATTAATAGTCCTAGCTACTCAAGAGGTAGGAGGATTGCTTGAGCCCAGGAGTTCAAGGTTTTGAGGTTGCAGTGAGCTATGATCCTACCACTGCACTCCAGCCTGGGCAACAGAGTGAGATCCTGCCTCAAAAAAAACCCTGAAAAACAAAAACTAACAACAACCCTCCACGCAAATGTTCGTAAGTACCTTTAATCACAATTGCCAAAGGCTGGAAACAATCAAGCTGTCCTTCAATAGGTGGATAAACCAACTATAGTATATCCATACAATGGAATATTACTAAATGATAAATGAAGTGAGCTCTTAAGCCATGAAAAGACATGGAGGAAACTTAAATGCATATTGCTAAGTGAAAGAAGCCAGTCTGAAAAGGCTGCATACTGTATGACATTTGGGAAAAGGCAAACTTTATTAGTCTGTTCTCACACTGCTATAAAGAACTACCTAAGACTGGGTAATTTATAAAGAAAATAGGTTTAATTGACTCACAGTTCCACATGTCTGAGGAGGCCTAAGGAAACCAAGCACCTTCTTCATAAGACTGCAGGAGAGAGAGAGTGCGCAGGAGAAACTGCCACTTCTAAAACCATCAGACCTTGTGAGAACTTCCTCATTATCATGAGAACAGTATGGGGGAAACCACCCCCATGATCCAATCACCTCCCACCAGGTTCCTCCCTCTACACATGGGGATTACAATTTGAGATGAGATTTGAATGGGGATAGAGAGCCAAACCATATCACAAACTGTAGAGACAATAAAATGATTAATGGTTGCCAGGAGTTCAGGAGTGTTCAGGAAGGGATGAATAAATGAAGCACAGTGAACTTTTAGTGTGGCAAAATGATTGTTTGATACTGTAATGGTGGGCACATGACATTATACATATATCAAAACCCATGGAAGTATACAATACAGGGTAAATCTTAATGTAAACTATGGACCTTAGTTAATAGTAATGTACCAATATTGATTCATTAATTGTAATAAACGTACTACACTAATGCAAGATGTTAAAAATAGGGAAAACTGTGGTGGGAGGGGTTATATGAGAAGCGGGCAGGATATATGGAAACTCTGTACTATCTGTTCTATTTTTCCTTAATTCTAAAACATCTATTAATTAAAAAACATAAATGTCTGAGAATAACCAATTAACAAAAAAAGAATGGGGATGGGGAGGGTTTACCTAACTAGATGTGGCTGAGACTAACTAGGTGCCTTTTAACATCTAAAGGACTTTGTTTCCTTGCTTCCCTTTCAGATGGGAGTATAAATAAATCTGTTAGGTGAGAGTTTCAAAAAAGCTTTTAAAAAGGAGGCAGAGAGTTGGCCTGTGCCCTTTTGGCCCTTCCCTACTCTGTTTGCTTCCTACCTGGAATAAGGGATTTATGGCTGGAGATTCAGCAGCCATCTTGGAGCATGAGGAGATCATAAGAGTGAAAACCACAGTTAAGAATATAATGGAAGAAGTCTGTTTCATGCACGTCCGTGTGAAGAGACCACCAAATAGGCTCTGTGTGAGCAACATGGCTGTTTATTTCACCTGGGTGCAGGCGGGCTGAGTCCGAAAAGAGAGTCAGCGAAGGGAGATAGGGATGGGGCCGTTTTATAGGATTTGGGAAGGTAATGGAAAATTACAGTCAAAGGGGGTTGTTCTCTGGGGGGCAGGGGCGGGGGTCACAAGATGCTCAGTAGGGGAGCTTCTGAGCCAGGAGAAGGAAATTCACAGGGTTAATCACTCAGTTAAGGTGGGGCAGGAACAAATCACAATGGTGGAGTGTCATCAGTTAAGGCGGGGCAGGGCCTTTTCATTTCTTTTGTGATTCTTCAGTTACTTCAGGCCATCTGGGCGTATACGTGCAAGTCACAGGGGATGCGATGGCTTGGCTTGGGCTCAGAGGCCTGACATTCCTGCCTTCTTATATTAATAAGAAAAATAAAACAAAATAGTGTTGAAGTGTTGGGGCGGCGAAAAATTTTGGGGGGTGGTATGGAGAGAGAATGGGCGATGTTTCTCAGGGCTGTTTCAAGCGGGATTAGGGGCGGTGTGGGAACCTAGAGTGGGAGAGATTAAGCTGAAGGGAGATCTTGTGGTAAGGGGTGATATTGTGGGGATGTAAGAAGAAACATTTGTTGTATAGAATGATTGGTGATGGCCTGGATATGGTTTTGTATGAATTGAAAAACTAAATGGAATAAGAGTAGGAGAAAAACAGGTATAAAAGGACTAAGAATTGGGAGGACCTAGGGCATCTAATTAGAGAGTGCCTAAGGAGATTCAGCATAGTCCTGCCAGCAAAGATTATTTATTTACTTCAAGAGTTTAGAGTGGCAGTTTGGGGATAGCACTGGGAGATATCAGCTGTGATGGCTTGGAGAAACAGTGTAAACCGGCAGTGTAAACAAGAGCAGGGCATGTATGAGTAGTTGAGAACGGTGAATAGGAGTATGACTAACAGATGAGGATGAAATTTGGGCTTGACTGAAGTAATGGGGGCTGTCTGTGAAGCTTTGCAGCAGTACAGACTAGGTAATTTGCTGAGCTTGATGGGCGTCAGGGTCAGTCCAAGTGAAAGTGAAGAGAGGCTGGGATTAAGGGTGCAAAGGAATAGTAAAGAAAGCATATTTGAGATCTGGAACAGAATAATGGGTTATAGAGGCAGGTATTGAGGATAGGAGAGTATATGGGTTTGGCACCACGGGGTGGATAGTCAAAACAATTTGGTTGATAAGGCGCAGATCCTGAACTAACTTGTAAGGCTTGTCTGGTTTTAGGACAGGTAAAATGGGGGAATTGTAAGGAGAGTTTATAGGCTTTAAAAGCCCATGCTGTAGCAGGCGAGTGATAACAGGCTTTAATCCTTTTAAAGCGTGCTGCGGGATGGGATATCGGCGTTGAGTGGGGTAAGGGTGATTAGGTTTTAATGAGATGGTAAGGGGTGCATGATCGGTCGCCAAGGAGGGAGTAGAGGTATCTTATACTTGTGGGTTAAGGTGGGGGGATACAAGAGGAGGACGCAAAGGAGGCTTTGGATTGGGAAGAAGGGCGGCAATGAGATATAGCTGTAGTCCAGGAATAGTCAGGGAAGCAGATAATTTAGTTAAATTGTCTCAGCCTAATAAGGGAACTGGGCAGGTGGGGATAACTAAAAAGGAGTGCTTAAAAGAGTATTGTCTAAGTTGGCACCAGAGTTGGGGAGTTTTAAGAGGTTTAGAAGCCTGGCCGTCAATACCCACAACAGTTATGGAGGCAAGGGAAACAGGCCCTTGAAAAGAAGGTAATATGGAATGGGTAGCCTCCGTATTGATTAAGAAGGGGATGGGCTTACTTCCCACTGTGAGAGTTACCCGAAGCTCGGCGTCCGTGATGGTCTAGGGGGCTTCCGAGGTGATCGGGCAGTGTCAGTCTTCAGCCACTAAGCCGAGAAGATCTGGGAAGGAGTCAGTCAGAGAGCCTTGGGCCAGAGTTCCAGGGGCTCTGGGAGTGGCTGCCAGGTGAGTTGAACAGTCCGATTTTCAGTGGGGTCCCGCACAGATGGGACACGGCTTAGGAGGAATCCTGGGCTGCGGGCATTCCTTGGCTTGGTGGCCAGATTTCCGGCACGTGTAGCAAGCTCCTGGGGGAGGAGGTTCTGGAGGAACGCCTGGCTGCTGCGGTTCAGGCGTTTGGAAGTTCTTGTGTGCTGGAGATGTGGCTGGGGTTTGTCTCACAATGGAGGCAAGGAATTGCAACTTTTTTCTGTTATTGTACACCTTGAAGGTGAGGTTAATTAAGTCCTGTTGTGGGGTTTGAGGGCCAGATTCCAATTTTTGGAGTTTTATTTAATGTCGGGAGCAGATTGGGTAATAAAATGTATATTGAGAATAAGACGGCCTTTTGACCTTTTAGGGTCTAGGTCTGTAAAGTGTCTCAGGATTGCTGCTAAACGAGCCATGAACTGGGCTGGATTTTTATATTTGATGAAAAAGCCTAAATGCTATCTGATTTGGGATAAAGAAAAAGGAGCATTAACCTTGACTATGCCTTTGGCTTTTTAAGAGTAAATTGCTGGGCAGGTGGGGGAGGGCTAGTCATGGAACGAAACTGTAAGCCGGACCAGGTGTGAGGAGGGGAGGTGATAAAAAGATTATAGGGTGGAGGAACGGAGGCTGAGGAAGAATTGGGACCTAGCTCGGCCTGGCGAGGAGCAGCCTGGGGAGGAAGGGAGAGGTCAGATGGGTCTGTAGAAAAGGAAGATTAGAAAGACTCAGCGACGCTTGGGGTTGGTACTGAGGGGACAGGCCAGAGGGAAAGGAAGATTTGGGACGAGTTGCACTGGGCAAGGAGACTAGGAAGGGACTGATGTGTAAAAGAATGCCTGGACGTCAGGCACCTCAGACCGTTTGCCTGTTTTACGACAAGAATTATTTAGATTTTGCAGGATGGAAAAATTCAAAGTGCCATTTTCTGGCTATTTGGAACTACTGTCGAGTTTGTATTGGGGTCAAGCGGCATTGCAGAAGAAAATAAGGCATTTAGGTTTTAGGTCAGGTGTGAGTTGAAGAGGTTTTAAGTTTTTGAGAACACAGGCTAAGGGAGAAGAAGGAGGAATGGAAGGTGGAAGCTTACCGATAGTGAAGGAGGCAAGCCCAGAGAAAAGAGTAGAGACACGGAGAAGGGGTGGGGGGTTCTTGCACCAAATTTCATGCGCATCCGTGTGAAGAGACCACCAAACAGGCTTTGTGTGAGCAACATGGCTGTTTATTTCACCTGGGTGCAGGCGGGCTGAGTCTTATAGGCTGAGTTTTATAGGATTTGGGAAGGTAATGGAAAATGACAGTCAAAGGGGGTTGTTCTCTGGGGGGCAGGGGCGGGGGTCACAAGGTGCTCAGTGGGGGAGTTTCTTAGCCAGGAGAAGGAAATTCACAGGGTTAATCACTCAGTTAAGGTGGGGCAGGAACAAATCACAATGGTGGAATGTCATCAGTTAAGGCGGGGCAGGGCCTTTTCACTTCTTTTGTGATTCTTCAGTTACTTCAGGCCATCTGGGCATATACGTGCAAGTCACAGGGGATGCGATGGCTTGGCTTGGGCTCAGAGGCCTGACAGTCTGGGCTCCTGATAAGCATGGTTCTTCCATGCCAATCCTGGGCATCCTATATCAGACTTATTTTTGTTTGTTTGTTTTGAGACCGAGTCTTACGCTGTTGCCCAGGCTGGAGTGCAGTGGCAAGATCTCAGCTCCCTGAAACCTCCACCTCCTGGGTTCAAGTGATTCTCCTGCCTCAGCCTCCTGAGTAGCTGGGACTGACTATAGGTGTGCACCACCACACCTGGCTAATTTTTTTGTATTTTTAGTAGAGACAGAGTTTCACGTGTTGACCTGGCTGGTCTAGAACTCCTGATCTCAGGGGATCCACCGGCCTGGGCCTCCCAAAGTGCTGGGATTACAAGTGTGAGCCACCACACCCGACCCTGTATCAGACTTCTTTTACATGAAAGAAATAAAATTGCTTCTTGTGTAAACCTCTGTTATTTATATCTGTTGCTAGCAGTCAAACATAATTCAACCTTGTATACTACATCATAAAACTTACTACAATGCTATTATAATAAAAACTATATGTATATATATAGCACAGAAATAAACAATACAAGTAGAATCTAATAAGGAATCCAGAAACAAATTCAAATGGGAGCTTGATATAAATAAAGATGACATTTCATTCAGAGGGGGAAGGATGGTTTACTTAATATATGGTGCTAGCAGAACTGACTATCCATCTGGAAGAAAACAGTTACACTTCTACCCCACTTCATATGCAAAAATAAACTCCAGATGGATTAAAAGCCTAAATGTAAAAAATAAAAATATTAGATACAAATGTAAGAAGTTGTTTATAAAATTGTAAAGTAAAAAAGACCTTCTGAAGTAGAAGATGAAACTCAGAAACCCTAAGAGTCACATCTAACAATAAGTCACGCATCACCTTTGAAAAATTAACATATTTATATAGTGAAAGAAATAATAAGTCAGGAGACAAATGATAGGCTAGGGTAAATACTTAGAATATATATGACAAAGGAGAAAAGTTGCTAACATACCTTAGCTCTTACAAACCAATAAAAAAAAAAAAACAGACAATCAATCCAATTAGAATTTGGCAAGCATGTCCCCAGGCGCTTCCAGAAAAAAAATGCAAATCATAGGCAATATGAAATGATTCTTGGCTGGGTGCGGTGGTTCACGCCTATAATCCCAGCACTTTGGGAGGCCGAGGCGGGAGGATCATGAGGTCAGGAGATCAAGACCATCCTGGCTAACACGGTGAAACCCCGTCTATACTACAAAAAGACAAAAAAATTAGCCAGGCTTGGTGGTGGGCGCCTGTAGTCCTAGCTACTTGGGAGGCTGAGGCAGGAGAATGGCTTGAACCCGGGAGGTGGAGCTTGCAGTGAGCCGAGATTGGGCCACCGCACTCCAACCTAGGTGACAGAGCAAGACTCCGTCTCAAAAGAAAAGAAAAGATTCTTAATCCCACTGGTATTCAAGGAAATGCCAATTAGCATAATAATGAGCATAACTTTTTTTAATCCATCAGATTAGCAAAAAATAAGAAAAGATTAGTGAGAGTATTGATATGGGTGTGGAATGATAATTTCTTTCTTTTTTTTTTTTGTGAGACGGAGTGTCGCTCTGTCGCCCAGGCTGGAGTGCAGTGGCGTGATCTCAGCTCACTGCAAGCTCCGCCTCCTGGGTTCACGCCATTCTCCTGCCTCAGCCTCCCAAGTAGCTTCTTCAGACTCTCTGGGAAGTATTATAATAACATATATTTTGAAGTGCACATATCCGTTGATCCAGCAATACTGTTACAGGAAAGGAGTCCCGATCCAGACCCCCAGAGAGGGTTCTTGGATCTCGCGAAGCAAGAATTCAGGGCAAGTCCATAGAGTAAACTGAAAGCAAGTTTATTAGGAAAGCATAGGAATAAAAATAGCTACTCCATAGACAGAGCAGCCCCGAGGGCTGCTGGTTGCCCATTTTTATGGTTATTTCTTGATGATATGCTAAACAAGGGTGGATTACTCATGCCTCCCCTTTTTAGACCATCTAGGGTAAGTAACTTCCTGAGGTTGCCAAGGCATTTGTAAGTTGTCATGGTGCTGGTGGGAGTGTAGCAGTGAGGACGACCGGAGGTCACTCTCGTTGCCATCTTGGTTTTGGTGGGTTTTGGCCGGCTTCTTTACTGCAACCTGTTTTATCAGCAAGGTCTTTATGACCTGTATCTTGTGCTGACCTCCTTTCTAATACTGTAAGTAAGAATGCCTTAGCCGTCTGGGAATGCAGCCCAGTAGGTCTCAGCCTTATTTTACCCCGCCCCTATTCAAGATGGGGTTGCTCTGGTTCATATACCTCTGGCAATAGTTTTGTAATCTATCCTACAAAAAGAATAGTACCAGCACATGAAGAAATATGTTCAAGGAGATTTACTGTAACATGGCTTTTGTAGGGGCAAAAAGATGTACTTAACCTGAAGGAAAATAACTGAACTTCCCTGAGTAGGGAATTGATATATTATGGTATACCTATACTATGGAGTATTACACAACTTTTAAAAAGAATGAGTTAGGCCGGGCACGGTGGCTCATGCCTGTAATCCCTGCACTTTGGGAGGCCAAGGTGGGTGGATCACGAGGTCAGGAGATTGAGACCATCCTGGCTAACACGGTGAAACCCCGTCTCTACTAAAAAATACAAAAAATTAGCTGAGCGTGGTGGCGGGTGCCTGTAGTCCCAGCTACTCAGGAGGCTGAGGCAGGAGAATGGTGTGAACCCGGGAGGTGGAGCTTGGAGTGAGCCGAGATCATGCCATTGCACTCAGCCTGGGCGACAGAGGAAGACTCCGTCTCAAAAAAAAAAAAAAAAAAAAAGAATGAGTTAGATATATGTGTATTTACCTAGAAGTGTGTCCAGGTTAATGGGAACTTTCAACTTTCTTTGTTCTTAAGTGTCCACTTGAGGACTGTGTTTACTTAATCAGGAAACAATTTGCATCTCATGTATTAGATATGGAGTCACACATAGAAACTTGAGTTAGGCCAGGGTAGTGGCTCACCTCTGTAATCCCAGCACTTTGGGAGGCTGAGATGGGCAGATCACTTGAGTTCAGGAGTTCGAGACCAGCCTGAACAACATGATGAAACCCCGTCTCTACTAAAAATACAAAAATTAGCCAGGCATGGTGGTGCTTGACTGTAATCCCAGCTACTCAAGTGGCTGAGGCATGAGACTCCCTTGAACTCAGGAGGCAGAGGTTGCATTGAGCTGAGATTGCGCCATTGCACTCCAGCCTGGGCGACAGAGAAAGACTTTGTCTCAAAAAAAAAAAAAAAACTTGAGTTAATTGGCACCATATATCTGATTTATTCCTATGATGTTTTAGCATTCCTTACAGAGTGGCACCTCAGGCATTGCTCAGTGAGTCCACCTCTTTTTTGGGCTCAAGATGCTCCCAACAATACACGAGTTGTTTCTTGGACCAGTCATACCAGAGGCAGCACTATTAACTGGGCAAAAGAAACACAAACAAGAACCTAAAGGCAATGGAGAACAAGAAAAAAGTAGCCAAACACTGGAGAAGAGCCAATGCTTAGAAGAAAGGAACAGCACTGGGGTTCTCAGTTTCCAGCTTTTCGTCAGAGGGCAGGCCCCATTCCATGTCCTGGGCCGCGGCTAAAATTCAGATAGATCCTATACTGTGTAACTGCGTTGGAGAACCAAAGGACACAGCAGCTGCAAAAGGAGGGTGTTATCTCAGAAAGGAGTGAGCAGTAGAGGAGAGCTCCAGGCCCTGTGCATGAACTCTGCCCAAACCTCTGGCCGACTTCTGTAGGGAAGGCTCTGAGCAGCCCATTACAGGCTGAAAAAACTGGGCAGCGAGTTCTGCTGCTGCCCACCACAGTAAAGAAGACAGAGTTTGCAGTCTGAATCAAGCCAAAATAACTACTTGCTTAAAAATAAAACTTTTCAGAGGCATAATGGAATCCAGATTCTCTACAAGTGTCACGTACAATGTCAAGTACAATCCAGTATTACCAGGCCATCTTGATTTGATTGACACTGTACCCAGTAACTGCAGAATACACGTTCTTTTCAAACGCTCATTCACCAAGATCGATCATAAGCTGGGCCATCAAACAAGTATCAATAGATGTTTTTAAATCTTATTTTTACTTTTATATTTTTAACAAAGATTTGAATAAAAAAATCGATAAATTTAAAAGGTTCATACAGTCTGCTTTCTGACCATAATTAAATTAGAACTCAATAACAATAATATATATTTTTAAAAGCCTAAATATATGAATATTAACTCACTTTTTACTTTATTTTTGAGACAGGGTCTCACTCTGTCACCCGTGCTAGAGTATGGTGGCACAATCTCAGCTCACTGGAGCCTCGACTTCCTAGGCTCAAGCAATCCTCCCACCTCAGCCTCTCAGGTAGCTGGGACTACAGGCACACACCACCACACCAAGCTAATTTTTTTTTTTTTTGGTAGAAACAAGGTCTCACAAAGTCCTGGGATTACAGGCCACTGTGCTCAGCTTAACTCACTTTTAAATAACCTATGGCTCCAAGAAGAAATCACAGGGGACATGAAAATATGTTGAACTAAGCTACAGTGAAAATGCAATATATCAAAATTTGGGAGATACAGCAAAACTACTAAATTGGGGAAATTTATAACTTTAAATTCTTACATTAGAAAAGATGGAAGGAATAAAATCGGTAGCCAAAGTTTCAACCTTTGCTATATAAGAGCAAAGTGAACCTTAAACTTACTAAAGTAAGTAAAAGGAAGGAAATAACAAAGACGAGAACAGAAATCAATGAAGTAGAAAACAAACAATAGAAAAATTAATAAAACCAAAAACTAGTTGTTTGGAAAGATCGAGAAAATTGATAAACATCTATCCAAGTTGATACAGACAGAGATACACACACACACACACACACACACACACACACACACACACAGGAGAGAGAAAACACTAATTCCCAGTATCAGAAATGAAAGAGGAAATATTTCATATACCCCATAAATATATATGCCTACTGTGTACTCGTAAGAATTAAAAATTAAAAAAAAAGAAATGAAAGAGGAGCTATCATTACAAATCTTGCAGGCATTAAGAAGATAATAAGAAAACATTATAAATAACTTTATGTCAATAAATCTAAAAATACAGATAAAATGGACAAATTTCTTGAAAAAGACAACTTACTAATACTAGCACCAGATGAAATATAAAATCTGAATAGCCTCATATCTATTGAGGAAATTGAAATTTCTAGCAAAATCTCACAAAGAAAAATTTAAACCTAGAGAATTTTATTGGCTAATTCTATCAAACATTAAGGAAACACTTATCTTTGTCTACCAGAAAATAGAGAAGGAACACTTCCACACTCCTTTTATGAGGCTAGATTAACCCTGATACCAAAAACTGACAAAAGGCATTACAAAGAAGAAAATTACAGACCGATATCTTCCATGAACATAGTTGCAAAAATTTTTAACAATATTAGTAAATTGGCAATATATAAAAAAAAATGATATATTATGACCAAGCGAGGCTTATGTAAGGAGGTTCAAGGTTTGATTAGCCCTCTAGGAGCTAGTGGTAGATTTACAGAGAACTACAAAGTTAAAGCGTCAGATCAAGAAAATAATTTCTACAGTTACTTTTTGAATGTACTGGTAGGGAGAAAGTAGGTGGTTGGATATAGCAAAAAGGCACCAGATTAGGAATAGGGACCAGGGTTCTAGTCCTGGTTCAACCTCCAACTCAAAGTGTGGTGTTAGAAAGGTCACTTTGCCTCTCTTGGCCTTAGTTTCCACATGTGTCCAATAATGACCTATTAGAGTGATTTCCACCTCTAACACTCTAGAGTCTATGAAGCCAAGTCCTAAAATTTTTTGTCACAGCTGCCTAGACTTTCTGCTTCATCACCTCAAAAGGCAGAAGTAGGAAATGTGCAAGATATGCATTCATGCATGAATGAAGTCACCATCTGCACGGGACTTGAAGTGCCTAGGATTCACGGTGGCCCTGACTTGAGAGCACCACATGTCCTCAGGGAGTACTTTCTTTTCTTTCTTTCTTTCTTTTTTTTTTTTTGAGACGGAATCTCGCTCTGTCACCCAGGCTGGAGTGCAGTGGCGCGATCTTTGCCCACTGCAAGCTCCGCCTCCCAGATTCACGCCATTCTACTGCCTCAGCCTCCCGAATAGCTGGGACTACAGGCACCCGCCACCATGCCCGGCTAATTTTTTGTATTTTTAGTAGAGACAGGGTTTCACCGTGTTAGCCAGGATGGTCTCCATCTGACCTCGTGATCCGCCCGCCTCGGCCTCCCAAAGTGCTGGGATTACAGGTGTGAACCACCGTGCCCGGCCCTCAGGGAATACTTTCAAATCAACTGTCTGGAAGCCATTCAGTATGTCATTGTACTGTCGGAAGATCATGGACTCTGGGCTCAGACTGATCTGGGTTTGTTGGTGGTGGTGTTGTTTTTGAGACAGAGTCTTGTTCTGTCACCCAGGTTGGAGTGCGGTGGCCGAGCGATTTTGGCTCACTGCTACCTCCTCCTCACGGGTTCAAGCAATTCTCCTGCCTCAGCCTCCCAAGTGGCTGGGATTACAGGCATGCGCCATTGCGCCCAGCTAATTTTTGTATTTTTAGTAGATACGGGGTTTCTCCATGTTGGCCAGGCTGGTCTTGAACTCCTGACCTCAGGTGATCTGCCCACCTCAGCCTCCCAAAGTGCTGGGATTACAGGCATGAACCACCACTCCTGGCTCTGATCTGGGTTTGAACTCCAGGTCTGCTGCCAGCTGAATGACCCAGGAAACATTATCTAATCTCACTTACTCTCAGTTTCTTCATCTTTGAAGTTATTATTGTGAGAATTAACTGAGATAGCATAAGAGAGTTCGTGGGTCATAGTCAGTGCTCAATAAATGCTAGCTTCCATTCCCTTATCAGTGAAGAATGAGGTTTGGCTACACATAGCAGAATACCCAAAATATCATGGCTTGATCAAGGCAGAGATGTATTTATTTTTCCTCTCCTGTAAATGTTGTCAGAGATGTGAAACCTGGAGCTTGTTTGGGAGCTCCACGGTCATCAGGGAATCAGGCTCCCCAGCTTTCTGCTCTACCATCTTTAGTGTATGGGTTCCATCTACATGGTCACCTCATGATCTAAGAGGGCTGTTGGATCTCCAGCCATCCCATTCACATTACAGGCAGGAAGTAAAAGAAAAAGAGACAAGCAAAAAGGGTGTCTGTCAGCAGAGTTAAGTCTCTTATAAAGAATTTTCGGGGACACCCCAGCCATTTACACCTTATCAGTCTCCTCTTATAAAGAATTTTCAGGGCCACCCCTTACATTTACACCTTATCAGCCTCCTCTTATAAAGAATTTTCGGGGACACCCCTTCCATTTATACCTTATCAGCCTCCTCTTACGTTGCAAGAGAGGCTGAGGAATGGAGTCTTTTAGTGGAGCACATTGTGGTCCCCAAATAAAATTGGAATTCTGTTCCTAAGAAACCAGGGGAGAATGAATATTAGGTGGGCGATGAGCAATCTCAGTGACATCCCTTTTCCTTGTTGCTAAGGTTAGTTTTGGTAGACCAGTTGTTAAATTCTGCCATCAGTGATGGAATCCTGAGTTGAAACAATCTTGACAGGCTGGAACACTGGACCGAATCCAACATATAATGTTTGTTGTTGTTGTTGTTTTTCCTTTCTTTTTCTTTCTTTTTTTTTGAGATGGAGTCCCGCTCTGTCACTCAGGCTGGAGTGCAGTGGCGTGATCTTGGCTCACTGCAACCTCCGCCTCCCGGGTTCAAGCGATTCTTGTGCTTCAGACTCCCGAGTAGCTGGGATTACAGGTGACCGACACTGCGCGCGGCTACTTTTTGTATTTTTAGTAGAGACAGGGTTTCACCATGTTGGCCAGGCTGGTCTTGACCTCTTGACCTCAGGTGATCCATCCACCTCGGCCTCCCAAAGTGCTGGGATTACAGGCGTGAGCCACTGCTCCCGGCCCATATGTTTAATTAAGCATTAAATTATTGCAGTTGGGTCCCAAGCACCCACCAACAAAGCAAACACAACTGTACAACTGTGATGTGGCAAAGGGAAAGGTGTGGCTTCTACAAGTTACATGAAAAAGAGCTGGCGTTCTGAGGTGACCACGTGCTCAATATGAATCAGCAAGGTGGCACAACTGCTCTAAGATGTCGTCCTCAGCTGCCCTTAAGAACAACGGCCATGAGACAGCTGTCATGGCTTCTAAATCACCACACATGACAAGGGAGGCAATTCTGGCATAATAAATAGATTTGAATTCAAAATCTAGCTTTGATACTTACTAACCCAGTGACCATGAGTCAGGTGAATTATCTTATCAGAGCCACATAGCAGATACCCAACATTTTGTTTCTCTGAATTTGAGGTCCAGGGCCTGGAAATGGGCACTGCCACCACTCAAAATGGCCCGAGCAGGGGCCCACAGGTGGTGGCATGGCCTTCATGGGGAGTGGCCATTTCGGTGAGTAGGGAAGGAGGGGTAGGCTTCTAGGTTTCATCTGCAAAGATACTTGTTCCTGAAAGCCACAAATGTCCCCAAATTGCCTGCATCAAGTTTTGATATTATGTCCTACTGGGTTGGAACTGGGTTGAAATTGCCTCAGGCAGATAGGAAGGGCAGCAGTCTTTATAAAAGCCAGGGAGTTCACAAGGCAAAAACAGGCACTGGTGCTCTCGAACTCCTTATCCCTGTCCCCACCTGTGATGTCTTACCTGCCACCTGCCAGTCCTATATAGTCCAATCTTCGCACACTCCACCCTATCCATATGAACACGCCTGAGTCCTCTTGCTCTGCTGAACAAAATGAAGAGCAAGTGCTTTGAATGAAAGCTGTGGGAGCTTAGACAGCTCATTCAACCTGTATGTCGGTATCTTCATCGGTAAAACAAGCAGGTTGGACTTGATAATTTAAAAACAAAGCAGTTACGTACCCACTGTGTGCTGGGCATCAGAGATGCAGTGGTGAAAGAGATATAGCAGTTAGGTCCCATGAGTATGAGACACTGATGGTCTCATAGGACACTGACAGGGAGGTGGGCAGGGAGGTAGGGGATGCTGGGGGCGCTCCAAAGTGGGGCTCTGGATGTTTGTCCTTTGTGAGACTAAGGCAATTCTGGCAGAGCAGGGGAACTCACAGGTGACAAAGAGCTACTGTCTACCTGCAATGTGAGGTGATGCCAACAAAGGCTAGTGGTGACTTGTGGGGCCCTTAGGTCATAGCAGGGCCTGCTTCAAGCATTTACCACCTAATCTAGTGGGCAGAAGCATGGGCTCTGAAGCCAGACTGTCTGGGTTCAAAACTCAGCACTGCAAATTACTAGCTATGTGCCCTTGGGCAAAAGCTATTTAATTTTTTTTATATATATATATTTTTAGACAAAGTCTTGCTCTGTTGCCCAGGCTGCAGTGCAGTGCAGTGGCACAATCTCGGCTCACTGCAAACTCTGCCTCCTGGGTTCAAGCTATTCTCCTGCCTCAGCCTCCTGAGGAGCTGGGACTACAGGTGCGCGCCACCATGTCCAGCTAATTTTTGTATTTTTGGTACAGACGGGGGTTTCACCATATTGGCCAGGCTGGTATTGAACTCCTGACCTTGTGATCCACTTGTCTCGGCCTCCCAAAGTGCTGGGATTACAAGCGTGAGCCACCGCACCCAGCCTATTTAACTTCTTATCTGTAAAATGTGTATACTCTTAGTACCTTCCTCATAGGAAGGTACTCCATGAAAGTACCTCTATGAAGGTACTCCACTTTGGATGGATCATGAGCATCCATGGTGACACACTGCTCCACCTTCACATTTTGTCCTAGTAAGGGAGGTTTTGCTAACCAGGGAAAAGGCTCTGATCCCCAGGTCCGACAGGCTATGAAATAACACTTTGAAGATGTAAAAAGCAGGGATTTCTGCTGCCCTGTCCTCAGGCCCCCATTCCTTAGGATGACACATGTTTACCTCTCCAGCCTCTCCCTTTTGCCAGGCCAAACAGAACTGTAGGGCAGCAGCCAAGTTCGGGTTCTCCATTCTTCCTCGAGCCAATTCACCTACCACCCAGTGTTGCAGGGACCGACTGCAGAACCTGGAGAGAGCCAGTGCACGGAGTGGAGCAGGGTCTTCCAGAGGGGCAGCTGCTCTCCTCCCTATCCCCGCCACTCCCATTCTGCAAAACCCGCCACACGGAGGTGCAAAACCAAACAGACACTACTTTCCCCAGTCTGGCTCCACCTGTTATACAAAGAAATTTGTTGAATGAAATTGCCAGAGTCAGGGACTAGTCATGTCCTCTCACCAAGGGACTGTTGCCTCTGAGTCCTTTTCTCGCTCTAATTCCAGTGGTCACTGCTAGCCAGGAGTGGGAGCAGAGTTTGGATAGCTGACCTAGCACCCAAAACCTTACCTGCAAGTGGCAGGTGCCTTCTAATGGTTTAACAAGTTAGAAATATCCTTTAGGTTAAAAGTTGTCCAGATGCACTTGGTTAGGAGGAAGGAAAGAGCCTTCTCTCCCTAACATCCGGAGCTGGAAGGGAGGAACATGCGTTTGAACAGTGGGAATGTTAGGGGAGTTGACCTTGAATAGACAGATGCATGCTCAGTAGAAATGTCTATGACAAAGAACACAAACTGGCCAGGCCCAGAGACTTGTGAAGAGCGAGAGAGGCTTTGGGGAGAGAAGGAAGAGGGTGGAGTCAGGAAGACCAGTGTTCAGGCAAGGTTCTCCAAATAGGGAGATTTTCCTGGCTTATCTAGGAGGGCCGAATGCAATCACTAGGATCCTTTTTTTTTTTTTTTTTTTTTTTTTTTTGAGACGGAGTCTTGCTCTGTCGCCCAGGCTGGAGTGCAGTGGCGGGATCTCGGCTCACTGCAAGCTCCGCCTCCCGGGTTCACGCCATTCTCCTGCCTCAGCCTCCCAAGTAGCTGGGACTACAGGCGCCCGCCACTACGCCCGGCTAATTTTTTGTATTTTTAGTAGCGACGGGGTTTCACCGTTTTAGCTGGGATGGTCTCGATCTCCTGACCTCGTGATCCGCCCGCCTCGGCCTCCCAAAGTGCTGGGATTACAGGCGTGAGCCACCGCGCCCGGCCACTAGGATCCTTAAAACTGGAAGAGGGAGACAGAAGAGAGTCAGAGAAAGGGATATGATGACAGAAGCAGGGCCATCTGGCTTTGAAGATAGAACAAGGAGGCCATGAGCCAAGGAATGTGGATGGCTTCTAGAAGCTGAAAGAGCCAAGGAAATTGATTCCCTTCTATTTGGCAGAAAGAAACCCAGCCCAGCCACCACCTTGATTTTAGCCGATGGAGACTCATGTCACACTTCTGAGCTACAGAACTGTAAAATGATAAGTTGGTGTTGTTTTAAGCCACTAAATTTGTAGTAATTTATTATGGCAACAGAAGAAAATGAATGCACGGCCTCATCCTGATATTCCCGTTCTTAAATCCATTTCATTTTATTTCCACCTGGACTTCAGCCCTAACCTTGCCTCATCTCTGCTCTCTGGGTCCATCTTCTGGCCCCTGGATTGTTGAGAACTCCAAGGGGATGTGCTATTCAGTTGAATTTCGGCAGCAGGCAAAGGGAGGAGTCCAAGAAGAGGGCAGGTGAAGGCAAGGGTTAAGCAAGAGTTCTAGCTCTGGAAGCAGACTGGCTTGGTACTGAACCTCCGGGAGCTTTTGTTCTCTGTGGAAGCCTGAGCAAGGTATTTGGCTTGTTTCTTTGGCTCCAATGTAAAGACAGTGATAGGTGCTACCTCAGAAGGTTGCTGTGAGGATGCAATGCGATAATGTGTGTAAGGTGCTAAACGCAGCGCCCAGCAGACAGGAACACAGGAAATGAATGGCAGAGAAACTCTATTAGACATTTATCATGTGACATTATAATTAATGTTCATGTGCCATCAGGAGACCAGATCCAAGGAACGGCAGAAAGATCACAGGAGGGCACTCAAGGGCAACGCCGAGCACCCAGGGCCAGGTGCCCAGCCCTCCTCCTCTTCCCCTTCCTGTCCCCTCCCCTTTCCTGCTGGGGCAGCAGGGGCTTAGGGACAAAGCCCCAGGCGATGAGGAGGTGGCTTGGACAGCTGGTGCTCACACACACACACACCCCCGCCCTGTCTCCCAGAGGCCTGGCAGCCCCACACTCTCCCCCTCCGCCTCCTCCCCACACCCCCTCCACCTCGGGCTGCCCTTTGGTGGCAGATCAGGGCTGGTTTCCCGAGGAGTGGGGCGCACGTGGCGCGAAGCCCCCGCCTTCTCGCTGCCCCTGAGCAGGGGGCCGTGGGGGGAGCTGGCCGGCGGCCGGCATGGGGTTCTCACTTCCCCTCCCCAACGGCCGCGGGTGCAGGTGCCGCGGGCCGAGTCCCGCAGGCGGGGCGGACTCTGTGGACACGCCCTCGTGGCGAGGCCGGGCTGCCCTGAGGGAGGAAGCGCCAGAGCGGCGGCCGGTCCCGCGCGGAGCCCGGCGCCCCTCCAGCCCGAGCCAGGACGCCGCCGGCCCCGGTCCCGGCCCCGGGCACGCAGCGAGCCAGGGATGTGAGCGGCGCCCCGCGGCATGGCAGCCTCAGGTGGGTAGGCAGGCGCCGCGGGTCCCCGGGCTCCCGGCCCCTCTCTCGTACCCCGCATCCCTTGAGGCGCGCTCCCCCGCTTGCTTCTGTTTGCGTCCTCTGTGCGGGGATCTTGCCCTCTTTCTGCTCTTTTCTATGTTCCCTGTCGCAAACTTCCCACTCCAACTTTCCCACGTTTCCCGTCCCAGCCTGTGGCGCGATTCTCTTCAGCCCCTGCCTGGCCCGACCCCCTCCCACTTCTTCAGGGTCTCCTTCGCTCCCTCCACCTCTGGCCCTAGGAGTGTCTGAGCGTCGCTTCCCCTGTCCCTCCGACTCTGAAGCGAGAGGCGAGTTGAGAGAAGCGGAGGGCGGGCGATGTGGATGGTCTACAGGGCCAAACGCGTCTCCTGGGCTCCGTGGACCCACAGGGGGCGCTCAGGCAGTCCTAGGTGGTGCGGAGAGATCAGCCGGGGAGGCCCTTGGGACAGTTCCCCAAGCCCCGTTCCTCCACCCCTCCCAGGCTTTGTGTTTTGGGTCTAGAACTTTGCTAGGGATCTAGGAACACTATTCCTTGAACTTTACTTTTCCTGCGTCCTTTGCAGAACTTTGGGGAATGGGGAGAGTTGGCGGTCACTGGGTAAATGTACTCATCAAAGGGTGCCAAGCGTCTTTTCTGGCTGGTCTTGGGTTGCCTTCTGGTTCATGGGTGTACACACTTGGCAAGTCGCTCACTGACGGAGATCCAGGACAAGCCACATAATGATGATAACGGAGACAATTAATGAGTCCTTACTATTGCACTCCAATGGATACTGTGCACCTAATATGTTCTCCATGGTGGGCAGGAAACACCTAGTCTCTGCTCTCCAGGAGTTTATGGTCCTGTAGAGGAAAGCAATAAGTAAACAAGGAATTACTAGATGAGAGGAGGTAGAGTTACAGTGTTTACAAATGGGTTTACTTGTATTTTCCCAGCCCACTTTATGATGTTTTAGTAGGGATAACCTGTGAAAACAGGTTGCAGGTGCCCCTTGAAAAAGAAAATCTAGGTGGCCAGGAGAAGGCACTGTTCTTACAGGAGGTGAGCAAACACTGGAATGAAGAGCCAGCTCTCCCCAGATCCTCTGAGGGTCTGGTAAGGGTGCTTCGGAAGCAGAGGTAGAAAAGGCCAGGAGTGATTGTTCCATGTACTACAGGCTCATTAAAGGGGATGGGAAGGTAGTTAATCACAGCCTCCTGGCTCTCCAGCTGGGCTCTGGAGGCTAAAAGAAGCTGTGTTGTGAATAAGGAGGCCTAGTAATAGCAGGTAATATACACTTAATAAGGAAAATCTCTGGTATGACATGTGTTATGGGAAAACGATAAAGAAGGGTGAGGGAGACTGGGGTTAGGATTTTCAAATGAGGTGGCCAGGGTGGAGAAAGGCACATTTGAGCCAAGATTTCCAGGGGGAGGAGGCTCTTTGGGGAAGAGTGCTCCAAGCAATGAGTGTATGTGGTGCGTTAAAGGAAAGGGAGTAGGCCAGAGTGGCTGGAGTAGGTGGGCTGTGGGGGAGAGGGAGATGAGGCCAGATAATAAACCAGTGAAGCCGCCTCCTCCTTCCATGGTCAGGAACAGGCCCTGGGCTGCTGAGTCCAGGAAACCGCAAACTGGGAGGGCCTTTGGGTGGAAGAGTCTGAGAAAATGGCCTCTCTTTTCCTCTTTTCCAGCGTCCTGTGTACCTCTCTCCAGTGGACACAGCCGAAGGAGCTAGGAAGGCGAGCTCCAGTTCAGAGGGGGACCCTAGTCCGGTGGGCAAACCTGGGGCTATTTATGGGCTCTGTAGCAGCTTCTGCAGGTGTTTGTAATGGTTAGAGCTGTCAAACTGTCTTGCTGTCTGCGTCTTCTGTGGCGAGACACCACTCCAGGTGCTGTAATTGAGAGTTGGGTCTCTGGAGTCCCTCGGGTTCCCTGAGGTTTGGAAGTACAAGGACCCATGGGGGAAGATCACAGTGGTGAGAGCAATGCCGCTCGCCAAGGTGCTGTGGGCTTTGGAGTCATCCAGCCACCCTTCTGTATGTTCTTCTTTTCTTTTAAAAGCAGCTTTATTGTGATATAATTCACATGCCATACAATTCATCCATTTAAAGCATACAATTCAGTGGTTTTTAGTATCTTTACAGATATGTGTAGCCATCACCACAGTCAATTTTGGGACATTTTCATCACCTCAGAAAGAAACCTTGTATGCTTTAGGTATCAACCTTTTATTCTCCTCTCCTCTCCCAGCCCTAAGATCTACTTTGCCTCTATAGATTTCTCTACTCTGGGCTTGTATATGAATGGAATCACATAGTATGTGGTCTTTGGTGACTGGCTTCCTTTGTACAGCATAATATTTTCAAAGTTCATCCCACTGTAGCTTATATCAGTACTTCGTTCCTTTTTATGGCCTAATTCTTAAATTCCCTTCCACTGAAGGGGAAGCATTAGTCTATATTGTTTTCTGAAAGATGTCTGCTTGTTGAAATCCAGGAGAAGTTAGGCTCCCTGTCTTTGAAAGGACCTTGGGTAGGAAGATAAAATGAAATGGACTTGGCCTATTCCACAAAATTCTCTAGGCCCCTGATGGCATCTTGTGTATTTACACGTGAGAGAGAGGAAAGAGAGGATCCGTGAGTGACTTTCCCAAGTGGCCAAGTCTGTGGCTGGGTGAAGAAAGACTAGTACTCTCTCCTCTGTGTATCAGCTCTCATACCGTCTCTTGCCCCCTCTCTCCAAGGCTCTTCTCTTTAGATCCTTCTACTATTCCTGGACTTACAGGACCATGGAGCTTGAAGGGACTTTTAACCTTTTTGTGACCTTAACTTCCATGTGATCCTTGAGGCCTCTCAATACTCTTGCCAGTACCTAAATTTGAACAACTTCTGGGGTGGGAAGCTCCTGATATGATTGACCACATCTCTCCTTATCCTGGTCACCTTCCCTATCTCTCATCCCTCTTCAAATATGGTGTTCAGATTCAAACATGGGGCTCCAGGATGGATGAATGGGGTGCCAGAGTCACCTATAGGCTGAAGAAATGGTCTGGGCTGGGTGGTTTGAGAAGCTTTCTGGCACTTCCTGTCTGTACTTCTCTCCAGTGAGTTTTTTTTTTTTTTTTTTTGAGACGGAGTCTCACTCTGTCACCCAGGCTGGAGTGCAGTGACACGATCTTGGCTCACTGCAAACTCTGCCTCCCAGGTTGAAGTGATTCTCGTGCCTCAGCCTCCCGAGTAGCTGGGATTACAGGTGCCCACCACCATACTCAGCTAATTTTTGTATTTTTAGTAGAGACAGGGTTTCACCATGCCAGGCTGGTCTTGAACTCCTGGCCTCAAGTGATCTGCCCTCCTTAGCCTCCCAAAGTGCTGGGATTACAGGTGTGAGCCACCACGCTCGGCCCTCCATTGGGCTCTGAATCCTGCAAAGGCACCTCTCTTTCAGCCCCAGCTTTTCACCCCATGGACTCCCTGCTGCTACAGCCTCCCCTTCCTCTGCTGTGATCCATTTCTTTCTCCTTCTGTAGCCAAACCTGTTCTTGACGTTTTACGAGGACAAAGAAAGACCCTTCCTCATTTCTTTCTAGGGCTTGTAGACTCCTTGTTAGCTCATGTGTTTCATTTCTCTTAATAAATGAACAAGCAAAAAAAAAGAGAGATGTGATTGAGGATAAGTGGAAAAGCTACTTATGGTTAAAGGAAGAGGATTATTGCTGAAGAAAGGAGTTTCCCCCATATAAGGCAGAGTTGCTGACAAAGCATTTAGTCCTATATTGTTACCCAGCACATCAGAAAGGGACTGGAACTTTCACTTTGGACTTTTTAAAAACTTCCCCTTCTTTCAGTTTCCCAGCACAGCAATATTCGGGAAGGTGATAGATTTCATTGTCCTCATTTACATCAAGGCAAATTTGCCTAGACTTAGTAATTGGTCTAAGTCACACCACAGGTTAGTGACCAAATAGGTTGTAATGTTAACTAGTCTGAGGCAGTAATTAATTTCTCCTCAAATACTTTCACTCAAAGGGAATTGAATTTAACACTAGAACCCCAGGAGTGAGACATTGTGCATTTATTTATTTATTTATTTATTTATTTAATGAGACAGGGTCTCACTCTGTCATCCAGGCTGGAGGGCAGTGGTACGACCTGGGCTCACTGCAACCTCTGCCTCCCAGGTTCAAACAATTCTCATGGCTCAGCCTCCTGAGTAGCTGGGACTACAGGCGCATGCCACCACGCCTGGCTAATTTTTGTATTTTTTTGTAGAGTTGGAGTTTCACTATGTTGGCCAGGCTGGCCTCGAACTCCTGGCGTCAAGTGATCCGCCTGCATTGGCCTCCCAAAGTGCTGGTATTACAGATGTGAGCCACTGTTCCTGGCCAGGAATGAGACATTTTGAATAGCTGTTCTGTTTGTTTATTTGTTTGTTTTTTAAATATAGGAGATTTAAGTGCTCTTTATTTCAATTGTACTTTTTTTTTTTTTTCTTTGAAATGGAGTCTCGCTCTGTTGCCCAGGCTGGAGTGCAGTGGCATGATCTCAGCTCACTGCAAGCTCCGCCTCCCGGGTTCATGCCATTCTCCTGCCTCAGCCTCCTGAGTAGCTGGGACTACAGGTGCCCGCCACAATTCCCGGCTAATTTTTTGTATTTTTAGTAGAGACGGGTTTTCACCATGTTAGCCAGGATGGTCTCGATCTCCTGACCTCGTGATCCACCCGCCTTGGCCTCCCAGAGTGCTAGGATTACAGGCATGAGCCACCGCGCCCAGCCTCAATGATACTTTTAAATAAAATTTTATTTTAGAACAATTTTAGATTTCCAGAAATACTACAAAGATAGTACAGAGAGTTCTCATATAGACCACATCCAGTTTCACCTATTATTGACA
Source organism: Homo sapiens (assembly GCF_000001405.40). Taxonomy (NCBI): domain Eukaryota; kingdom Metazoa; phylum Chordata; class Mammalia; order Primates; family Hominidae; genus Homo; species Homo sapiens. The sequence goes on along the minus strand of NC_000010.11, from coordinate 96,715,490 downwards.
TCTTACATTAGTGTGGTTTTTGTGACAATTAGTTAACTGATACTGATAAATTATTAATAACTAAAAGTTCAGGCTTTCCTCAGATTTCCTTAGTTTTTATGTAATGTCCTTCTTCTGTTCCAGGAGCCCATCTCAGGTACTACGTTATATTTGGTAGTCATGTCTCCCTAGGCCCTTCAAGGCTGTGATTTTCTCTGATTTTCCTTGTTTTTGATGGCTTTGACAGTCTTGAGGAGTACTGGTCAGTTATTTTGTAGAATAGCCCTCAGTCGGGATTTGTATGATATTTTTTCCCATAATTAGACCAGGGTGCTGGGTTTCAGGGAGGAAGACCACAGAGGTAAAGTGCCAGTCTCGGCCCATGGTATTCAGGGCACACACTCTCAACATGATTTGTGACTGTCAATGCTGACCTTGATCACTGGGTTTCTCTATTGTAAATTTACTCTTTTTTTTTTCTCCCTTTCCACACTGTGCTCTTTGGAAAGAACTCACTTGACACAGCCAAACACTAAGTTCTCTGTATAAGGAGTTACACTCTACCTCCTTGAGGGTGGAGTTATCTATCTACATAAATTATTCAGAATTGTTATGCATGGGAGATTTGTCTTTTTTCCCCAGTGTATTTATTCAATTATTTATTTTGTATCAGTATGGACTCCTGTATATTTCTTTTATGCTTTGGGTTATAATTCAATATTATTTTATTTATTTTGTTGCTCAAATGGTTCCAGCTTTTGCCACTGGGCGCTTTGAGTTGACTCGTGTTCCTTTGACATATGCCTGTCATTGAATTTTTGTTTGAGCATTACTTTCTGGCACTACAAGATGCTCCAGGCTCATATTGAATATTTCCTGCCCCAGGAAGTATTTAATCCTAGACTCATTCCTAGAATCCATCATTTCACTAAGGAATCCTGGATCCTTTTATTGGAGAATGGTATGAGAAACCCATGGCACTAGATGTATTTTATTAACTGTATTTTCTAAACTATATTCTGTATTTCCTTGACTTTTTAAATTGGGTGCAACTTAGAGATTAAGAGCATGGACTTTGGAGTCAGATCCCTGCTCTGGCACTGACTAACAATGTGCACTTGGGCAGCAGCAGCAGTAAATCTTCAACGAGTTTTAATGTCTGTGTCTGTAAAATGGGGCTTTTTGATAACATATACTTTGTGGATTGTTCTGAGGATTAAATGAGAGAATGTACATGAGATGCTTAGCAGAGTGACTAACACATGATCAGTGCTCAGGAAACAGAGCTGAATCACGATTTAAACTTTCCTTGATGACTTGGAGTCTTTTTTTTTTTTGAGACGGAGTTTCGCTGTTATTACCCAGGCTGGAGTGCAATGGCACGATCTCAGCTCACTGCAACCTCCGCCTCCCGGGTTCAAGTGATTCTTCTGTCTCAGCCTCCCGAATAGCTGGAATTACAGACGCATGCCACCATGCCCGGCTAATTTTTGTATTTTTAGTAGAGACAGGGTTTCATCATATTGGTCAGGCTGGTCTCGAACTCCTGACCTTAGGTGATCCGCCTGCCTCGGCCTCCCAAAGTGCTGGGATTACAGGCTTGAGCCACCGCAGCCAGCCCTTGACTTGGAGTCTGTAATGAACAGCAAGTATTATGATGTGCTGTTCACAGAGGAGCAGGATCTGCTGTTAGCTGGTGAGGCAGGATCCAGGGGGAAATGAGTACCCATTCCCTCAGTGGCCCTAGAGTTTATAATTTTAAAAATGTTCACTTACTTTTGGATCACTAAATTCTTCTTATAAAATTGGAGTAATCACTCATGGCCATGTGGTCTTTAGAACAGTGTAAAGCTGTTGCTTTTCTACTAAGTCAATCAGTGCCCCAAAACCCAAGCTGCCTCTCAGTCTCAAGCAATCCTCCTACCTCAGTCTCCTGAGTAGCTGGGACTATAGGAGCACACCACCACGCCTGGCTAATTTTTGCTTTTTTTTTTTTTTTTTTTTTTTTAAGACGGAGTCTCGGTCTGTCTCCCAGGCTGGAGTGCAGTGGCGCAATCTCGGCTCACTGCAAGCTCCGCCTCCCAGGTCCATGCCATTCTCCTGCCTCAGCCTCCTGAGTAGCTGGGACTACAGGTGCCTGCCACAACACCCGGCTAATTTTTTTTTTTTTGTATTTTTAATAGAGACGGGGTTTCACCGTGTTAGCCAGGATGGTTTTGATCTCCTGACCTCGTGATCTGCCTGCCTCGGCCTACCAAAGTGCTGGGATTACAGGTGTGACCCACCGCGCCTGGCCTAATTTTTGCATTGTTTGTAGAGACGGGGTTTCACCATGTTGCCCAAGCTGGTCTGAAACTCCTGAGCTCAAGCAATCCGCCCGCCCTGGCCTCCCAAAGTGATGGGATTAGTAATGAGCCACTGGGCCTGGCCCCAAGCTGCCCTCTTAAGGGTTCTTCTTATGCTTAGGAAATTTTCTTCTTCCCTCTTCTTCACTTTTTTGCCATCACTTGCCAACCCTATTGAAAACACTACTTATGGTTTCTTCATCACTAGTATATGGGACCACAACCATCCCTTCCTGAGATTTTATTCTCCTTCTGCTTATTGCACAAATTGTTGACATGATACGCATATGTATGCAGAGGAAGGTGGTGGCTACCCTTTTTCACTTTTGCATTTTTACAAAATGCTCCAGGCTCCTTGCACAGCATCACTAACATTGCATCCTTAATGTTATAATGAAATGTAAAGTCTTGCACCTGTCCTACCTGATGGCTCGTGCCCATGCACGCACATCTGCAATAACACTTGACACTTAGAAGAACGTTTGCCTCTTAAGATAAACCAGCCACATAGGAAGGAAGGACAGAAAGAAGGTAAATATATTCTGATAATTTAACTCTGCTTCTCAATGTCAGTTGCATAGTTATGTAGCTTTGCCAATGTTATACCTTCTATAGTTTTGAAATGATTTTTCCATTGAGGTATAAAGAAATATTCTACACAGAAAAAAAAAATCCAAGCAGCAAAGATTTTTATTTATTTATTTATTTTTATGGCAGGCTGCAGCACTGGTGCATTAACTTTTTGTCCTTAATCTGTGTAAGCTTTGGAATCAGGGTAGGCATTCCTGAAAAGGACCATTATGTTCACAATTGAGGGAACAGACCGTGATCAGAATTGAGTTCTCTGTAGAACCACAAATGTCCAGGGCATCGTCAGAATTGCGGACTGGTTTTCGCCAGTTCCATACTGTTTGTCTAAGATTGCCTTTTTAAAAGATTTGTACACCTTCCCTTCAAAAATACTCTCAGGCGGATCAACTTGCTCCTGCTAAGAAGTCTACTGTGGGCTTTATATTAGCACTGGATTAGGGCTCCAGAAAACCAGGGGGACTCAAAACAGAATGAAACTGCAAACATTCGTTTTATTTGCTATTTTTAAAAATTTGGTAATATGGCCGGGTGCGGTGGCTCACGCCTGTAATTCCAGCACTTTGGGAGGCTGAGGTGGGTGGATCACGAGGTCAGGAGATCGAGACCATCCTGGCTAACACGGTGAAACCCCGTCTCTACTAAAAATAAAAAAAAAAAATTAGCCGGGCGTGATGGCGGGCGCCTGTAGTCCCAGCTACTTGGGAGGCTGAGACAGGAGAATGGCGTGAACCCGGGAGGCGGAGCTTGCAGTGAACCGAGATCGTGCCACTGCGCTCCAGCCTGGGCGACAGAGCGAGACTCCGTCTAAAAAAAAAAAAAAAAAAAAAAAAAAAAAATTTGGTAATCTCATCCTGGGGGAAATCAGAACTATGTTGGGCTTGCATTGTACATGTTGCTTTTTGGTTTGAATATAGTGGTGGATTGGATGGGGGCAGGCAAGAGGATTCATCCTATGATCTTTTCAGAGCCTCTAGGTCTTGCCTAAGTCCTGCCTCTGTCCTTTTCAACAGGAAGCATCAATGAAATGCGGCCCAGGCCTAGCGTTTAATTGTTTTAGTCTACAACTTAGGTGGTTCCCAACCTTCATAAAATGTGACCAGCTTCCTTCTCTGAGTTCCCTGTTGTGTTGTATGGACACTTTATACTCACCTCTTCCAAACCACACACAGAACAGTTTGTTGAATTCATGGAGAGATGATGACCCAAAACAGTGGTAACAGTTACATTAAGAGCCAAGCTTTTTTGAACTTTGGTAGTTGGAAGCTATGACTTACTACTCGTAAGATTCTTGACATAGTTCCTGATGGGTGGTGCAGGTGAGTTGGGAAGGAGGCTGGACTGGGAACCAGGGAATAACCTGAGTGTCAGTTCTGGCTCTGCCAATAATCTAGAGTATGAAGTTGAGCAAGTCCCTTAACCTTCCTAGATGAAATGTTTCTTTCATCTGTAAATGAGGAGTTTGGGCCAAGTGATCCCTAAAAGCCCTTTTTGACTCTCTTTTTGGCATTTGTGCTTTGTTAGAGGAAGAAAGCCTATGTTATAGGCCAGGTGTGGTGAGGGACACCTTGCAGATTGTATTGTGGAGGTAACAGCATTAATTCACAACTACCATGCACTTTAATATGATACATTATTTATATTCATGTGAGGATGATGACACCAGCTACCAATTCCTGAGGGTTTTCTATATGACAAGCACTGTGCTTAGCAGTTTACATGAAATATCTAATTTAACTCAAATCCTTACTTGGCCACTGTGAATCTTGTGCAAATTACTTAACCTGTCACACCTCAGGTTTCTCATTTTTTTAAAGAATGGGCTAATAATAGTACCTACCTTCTAAAGTTGCTGTGAAGATGTAATGAGTTTAGTAGGCAATGTGCTTGGAAGAGTGCCTGGAACATAGTAACCTCTATATAAGTGTTTGCTGTTGCGATTATTATTATTTATTATTATTGTTATTATTGTTATGATCTCATACTGCTTCAGGTGTGGGGGGAAGGTGCATGCCAGGCAGAAGCAATAGCTCGTGCAAGGATCTAAAACAGTATGGGGTTGGGCCTGGTGGCTCACGCCTGTAATCCCAGCACTTTGGGAGGCAGGGATGGGTGGATCACTTGAGGTCAGAAGTTCAAGACTAGCCTGGCCAACATAGTGAAACCCCATCTCTACTAAAACTACAAAAATTAGCTTGGCGTGATGGCAGGCATCTGTAATCCCAGTTACTTGGGAGGCTGAGGCAGGAGAATCGCTTGAACCCGGGAGGCAGAGGTTGCAGTGAGCTGAGATTGGGCCACTGACTCCAGCCTGGGTGATAGAGCGAGACTCAGTCTCTAAATAAATAAATAAATAAATAAATAATAAAACAGCGTGGTATGTTTGGGCAAAGATAAGGAGTCTGGTATGATTGGAACACAGACTGTAAATGGGGAAAGAAATGCGTGAGTGAGGTGTGCTGGTGTGCTGGAGGCACACCACGAAAGATTGTGGGTGCCAGACCCAGTGTCTGGATGCTCTACCTTTGCAGGCTGTGGGGAGCCACCTAGAAGGGGAGGTGTGCTAACATGCTTCTGTGCCTCATTCTTGTCCAGGGGTGCCCAGAGGATGCGACATCCTCATCGTCTACAGCCCGGATGCCGAGGAATGGTGCCAGTACCTGCAGACCCTGTTCCTGTCCAGTCGGCAGGTCCGCAGCCAGAAGATACTGACTCACAGGCTGGGCCCCGAGGCCTCCTTCTCGGCAGAGGACCTAAGCCTTTTCCTCAGCACCCGCTGTGTCGTGGTGCTGCTGTCCGCGGAGCTGGTGCAGCACTTCCACAAGCCCGCCTTGCTGCCCCTGCTGCAGAGAGCTTTCCATCCTCCGCACCGCGTGGTCAGGCTGCTCTGCGGCGTGCGGGACAGCGAGGAGTTCCTAGACTTCTTTCCAGATTGGGCCCATTGGCAGGAGCTCACCTGTGACGATGAGCCAGAGACCTACGTGGCAGCTGTGAAAAAAGCCATTTCCGAAGGTAAGGATTTCTTCTAAAGATAAGCAAGCCCTAGAAAAGTTGCTAATCCAGGTCCTAGGTGTAAGTTTATATTCCAAAATGAGCGGGGATCTCACTATGTTAAGAGACCTGGTCATATTTATGGGTTTAGAGCAGCCTATTTCTGGGGTGGGATAGGGGCAGGACAGCTCTCCTGGACTATCAGGAGAGGAAGAGGACACTGTCCCTTTTCTTCTGTACTAGGGCAAAGGCCTTCTTTCTAGAATTTTCTGTGCCTTGGAAGACACAGGACAGAGTTCCAGCCTAGAAAGTAGTTGGGGCTGGGAGGCAGAGACTTAGTTTGCTGTTGGTGTGAGGAACAAGACTGCCCACTCTCCTGCTTGCATGTTACTTCCATTTTATCATCACGCGAACTTCACATTTTTGTTAAAAAAGGGTTTTTTTTTTTTTTTTTTTGAGTCGGAGTCTCCCTCTGTCACCCAGGCTGGATCGCAATGGTGCGATCTCAGTGGACTGCAACCTCTGCCTCCAGGTTCAAACGATTCTCCTGCCTTAGCCTCCCGAGTAGCTGGGATTACAGGTGTGTGCCACCATGCTTGGCTAATTTTTTTCTATTTATAGTAGAAACAGGGTTTTATCATGTTGGTCAGGCTGATCTTGAACTCCTGATATCAAATGATCCACCCGCCTCAGCCTCCCAAAGTGCTGGGCCTACAGGCATGAGCCTCCGTGCCCCGCCAAGGCATTGTTTTTTTCGATAACATGTTTATAGAGAAATAGCCCTCTTCTCTATTTCCCACCAGCCTAGCTTCTATATTTTGCCATTTCTCCTTTTAGAGTAGGAAAATTCCGATCCTTTCTGCCGGGGTTAGTGACTTCAGTGGCCCCAGGAAGTGTGACACACACTCTGATTAACAGTAACAGAAGACATGCTCTGGGATGGACACATATCACAGCTTTTCTTCCTCTTTTTGCTTTCTTTTTGCTTTTTTTTTTTTTTTTTTTTTTTTTTTGAGACAGATCCTCGCTCTGACGTCCAGGTTGGAGTGCAGTGGTGTGATCTCAGCTCACTGCAACCTCCACCTCCTGGATTCAAGTGATTCTCCTGCCTCAGCCTCCCGAGTAGCTGGGATTGCAGGTGCCCACCACCACACCTGGCTAATTTTTGTATTTTTAGTAGAGACGGGATTTTACCATGTTGGTCAGGCTGGTCTCAAACTCCTGACCTCAGGTGATCCACCTGCCTCGGCCTCCCAAAGTGCTGGGATTACAGGCGTGAGCCACCACGCCTAGCCTCTTTTTGTTTTCTATTTTTGCCTCACTGTGGGCTATGAATGGGCTATGTGTTTATATTCTGTTCTCTTGCCACATGAGATCTTATATACCTGACGCCAGCAAAGAAGCCTGGAAAATTATGGTCCTGATTTAACTGTGCCTCAGTTATCCCTGGTGTGACTTGGGCATTAATTTGTCTCACCCACCCCTATGCCATCTGATAAATGAAATCAAGAATTTACTAATTTTCAGTGGCCTTAAAAAGGTAATGTAACTTCCTAGGTGCTTTTATCCCAGGAATTGGCTACTCTAAACCAATAAACATGACCACGTCTTTTAACAAAGTAAGATTCCTTCTCATTTTGTAACATAAATCACTAGTGTGAATGTAAAACATGTCTCACCTGAAATGCCGGGACCTGGATTAGTACTTTTTCTAGAGTTTGCTTATCTTTACGTTAGAAAGACAATGATAGAAAAAGCATATAATTCATTTTTGCATGATTGCCTTTCATTACTTTGAAGGAATTGTGATCTGCCCAAACTTACAAAAAACTGAGACACAACTGGTTGTTTCTGTGGATGATCTTATGTCATTGCATCGGTCCATTAGGATCTCGCAGGCCAGCCCCTGGAACCCACCATGGATGTATTGCCACTGACTGGGCATCTCATACTGTACGCTGTAACAGATTGTTCTTTAAAATATTACAGTAGTGTGGCTGGGCGCAGTGGTGCACACCTGTAATCCCAGCACTTTGGGAGGCCGAGGCGGGCGGATCATGAGGTCAGGAGTTAGAGACCAGCCTGGCCAATATGGTGAAACTCCATCTCTACTAAAAAAATACAAAAATTAGCTAGTCGTGATGGTGCGTGCCTGTAATCCCAGCTACTCGGGAGGCTGAGGCAGAAGAATCACTTGAGCCCGGGAGGCGGAGGTTGCAGTGAGCCGAAATTGTGCCACTGCACTCCAGCCTGGGCGACAGAGCAAGACTCCGTCTCAAAACAAACAAACAAACAAAAAACAGTAGTGTTATTTTTTGAAGTAGATAGAAAAAAGGATTATTTTAATATTGTTTGGATGTGTCCAGTGATTCAATACCTGGATAAATTGATCTCTTCTACTATTTCACTTTTTACCAAAGACTGTAGTTCAGTATGCTATGAGCCTTTAGCTTCAAGTGTCTCGGAAAGAATGAACTCATTTACAGGGTGCTCCTGTTCTAAGAGCAGGAACTTCTCATCAGAAAGAGATTACTTTAATGGGAGATTAAAATAAGCTGCTTAGTGGGATATCTTTGCAGTTCAGAATCAATGGATATAGGGACAAATGGAATTGTAAGAAAGAGAAGAGGAGGAAGGAAGCCTTATAGCCTCAATATAACTTTCTTATCTGGTATTAGGTTTGTGAATTTGGGGATTCAAGATCTCTGTCGGTGCTAGGATGACTTGGGTTTGCTTTTTGGGTATTCCATAGCCATGGCCCTTGGTTGGCCTTGACTCTGAGGCCATATTCCTGATTTTTTTTGCTGGACAAGCTTTCTTAACAAACCTGATACTCAGAGTCTGGCAGTGTAGAAAAAAGAGCATTGACCAGGGTTAGGGACACTGCATTACCCGGCTCTGCTGCTAACCAGATGCCTAGTACTGAGCAAGTCATTTTGCCTCTTTGAGTTCCAGTTTCCTTTTCTGTAAGTGGCAGATTTAGACTTGATCTAAGACACTTCCCAAGGCTAAAAATCTGTGATTCACCTAGGCCAGAAAATCTTAAATATTTTTGAAGTATGACCTTCTTGCCACATTTCATACCTGCTTTGACTCCCAGGAAGCTTAGGGCTAGAACAGTATCTAAAGACAGTACTCTCCCTACACTACATTTCTGGGATAATTGTGTCCTTAGGTACATTCCCTATAACTTGTGATAACCCATCTTTTTAAAAAATACTCCTCTTGCATACATGAGGTTTTCCTAAGGTACCTCAAAATAAAAGCAAAAGCTAATATTTTCATATACGTTACTACACCAGCTGCCCAGTCCCATGAGAAATAAGTACATGAAACTTGTTTCTTTGACTTTCTCTGTTAAAAAAAAGAATCCCAATAAGAAATTGGCTGGGCATGGCCGGGAGCGGTGGCTCACGCCTGTAATCCCAGCCCTTTGGGAGGCCGAGGCGGGCGGATCACGAGGTCAGGAGTTTGAGACCATCCTGGCTAACACGGTGAAACCCTGTCTCTACTAAAAATACAAAAAATTAGTCGGGCGAGGTGGCGGGCGCCTGTAGTCCCAGCTACTCGGGAGGCTGAGGCAGGAGAATGGCGTGAACCTGGGAGGCGGAGCTTGCAGTGAGCCGAGATGGCACCACTGCACTCCAGCCTGAGTGACAGATCAAGACTCCATCTCAAAAAAAAAAAAAAAAAAAAAAAAAAACAACTGGCTGGGCATAGTGGCTTATGCCTGTAATCCCAGCACTTTGGGAGGCTGGAGCAGAAGGATTTCTGCTTTGAAGTTTGAGACCTGTCTGGACAACATGGCAAAACCCTGTCTCTACAAAAAATACAAAAATTAGCTGGGCATGGTGGTGTGTACCTGTTGTCCTAGCTACTTGGGAGGCTGAGGTGGGAGGATCACCTGAGCCTTGGAGGTTGAGGCTGCAGTGAGCTGTGACTGAGCCACTGCATTCCAGCCTGGGGATCAACAGAGTGACACCCTGTCTCAAAAAAAAAAAAAAAAAAGAAATGCAATGGAAAATTGATAATGGGGATGAATTAATAGTAGAGACAATAATTGTGGAGTTATTGATTGTAGGGCTATTGAAACTACAGGGAGACAAATTTTAGGAAAAACTTCCTAATTATTAGAGCTGTGTGAAGGTGGAATGGGTTGCCTTTGAAGGTGGTAAGTGCCACATCTCCAGGAGTAAGAGAGTAGATACTGCAGACGTGCTGTAAAGGGATTTAGCTTTGGGGCCAGGGTTGGGCCATGTGACCTTTACAGCCTTTTGATCATAACATTCCCTTACAAGAAGTTCCCCTTTTCACCAGGAACACATTTCTCTTCTGAATTCAATTTTCCTCCTTCACCTGGTATACCTGAGGTTTTTGACTCCCAACTGAAGAAATACTGGTCATGTTCCTACTCAGACCCCAGCAGTAAATAGCATGAAAAATACCTCACTTTATAATTTATGTAACCCTTTAAAATGGTAAAAGTCCCAGAATATTTACATGGCTATATGTCTATTTTTCTTAACTTTGAGATACCTTTTGATAAAAAGGACTATTTAATGAGATATTCACTAAGCCCATTTAAAATTTAGGCTAAATTTTAGACCATGTAAAGTTTAAAGTAAAGCTTAAAGATCAAAGAGAGTGGAGTGGGTAATAGAGTAGAGGAGGTTATTTTATTCTTGAAACTTAGATTACAGGTAGTCAATTATACTTTCTTTTGCTGCTATGCTAGCTAAACAATGCTTCTCAAATTTTAATGTGCACAGAAGGACCTGGGGATCTTGTAAATATGCATATACTGACTCCTTGGGTGGGGCCAAGATCCTGCATTTCTTTTTTTTTCTTTTTTCTTTTTTTTTTCTTTTTGAGATAGAGTCTCGCTCTGTCACCCAGGCTGGAATACAGTGGCGCAATCTCGGCTCACTGCTACCTCTGCCTCCCTGGGTTCGAGCAATTCTCCTGCCTCAGCCTCCCAAGTAGATGGAATTACAGGCATGCACCACCATGCCTGGCTGATTTTTGTATTTTTAGTAGTGATGGGGTTTCACCATGTTGGCCAGGCTGGTCTTGAACTCCTGACCTCAAGTGATCTGCCTGCCTCAGCCTCACAAAGTGTTGGGATTACAGGCGTGAGCCACCGCACCCAGCCAGATTCTGCATTTCTAACAAGCTCACAGGTGATGCTGATGCTGCTGGTCCAGGTACCACTGAGTACAAACAAGGGGTCTAAGCCACCTTTCTGTTGTCAGGTCAATGGTCATGTACCTCTGTCGCATGGGAAGTATTTTCTCTAATCTCCACTTCTCCGGAAATGGAGGCACCATCACATCAGGGCAGCTCCTGGACACCCATCAGTTAGATATAAAATTAGGCCAGTATTTGGTGCTTAGGCCATCAGACTTCAGGGTAGAGCTCCTGCGTTCTCTTCCTTTGCCCCTGCTCATAGATTCGGTGCGTTCACTCTGGCAGTTTTTAATCTTTCAGGTTTCTAGATGTTGGGATGGGGTGCTACTGAGATCACAATCTTTACTCTTTCTTCATTTAATAAGCCCCTTGATCAAAATTACTACTAAAATATGTTTTGGAGGTTTTATTTCCCACCCCACTCTCCAAATTTGTCAGCCACCTTAAAATTAAGCAGATGTTTTAATTGGAGTCTTCAGTGTGTTGGATCAGCCAGTTTATTTTCCAAGTTCTTCATCTGTAAAATGATGGGGTTGGACCAGATAATTTGGAAGGTTTCTTTCAGCCTCCAGCACTGTAATATACCATTATAAGTTTTCTAAGAAGATGGCAAATTCCCGAGAACCTTTTTAACTGATTCAGTTTAGTTCCAAAACGTTTGCAGTGATATATACCTGTGCATAGAAGACTGGACTATTGATCTGACTTTTTGGACTTGTTGGAAGATTATTTTAAATTAAGGAAGTGAGAAAACCCCAGGTACAGCACAGAAATTATTTCCTCTTTTTACTGGGGCTCTATTCTTTGCTTCAAATCTCAATGGAATATAAAAATAGATTCTGTTAGACTGTGTGGGAAAGGACTCTGTGGGTGATATTGAGTGTTTTTGCAAAAGTTCTCATTCGTGTGATGTGCATTTGTGTGTGTTGAGGGTGGAGGGAAGCATTAAACCGAATTCTCCCAATATTATTTATTAATAGTATTACAGTGGAGATCTTGTCTGCTTCTTTTTATGCATTATTTTCTCTTTGCCTCGCCCCTCCCTCTCCATTCCCATTGTGTTTCAGAAGCTCTCATGGTACCCACAAGTATCATATATTTTGCCTTTGATTTCCATGGGAAAAATTTAGAGGGATATGTCTATATATCTACATCTGGCCTGCCTTTGTTGATATTAATGTTCTAGTCTGAATATTAAACTACAGTTTAAAAGAAAAAATAAGGGCTGGGTGCAGTGGCTCACAACTGTAATTCTAACAGTTTGGGAGACTGCGGGGAACAGATTGCTTGAGGCCAGGATTTCAAGACCAGCCTGGGCAATGTGGTGGAAACCCTGTCTCTACAAAAAATACAAAAATTAGCTGGACGTGGTGGCATGTGCCTGTGATCCCAGCTACCGGAGAGGCTGAGGTGGGAAGATTGCTCGAGCCCTGGAAGTTGAGGCTGCAGTGAGTTGTGATTGCAGCACTGCACTCCAGCCTGGGAGACAGAGCGAGACCCTGTCTCAAAGAAAAAGAAAAATAAAGGAATATTTAAAAATGCTTTCAGCTAATCAAATAGATTCCAAAATGTTTTCCTAAGTTAATTAACTAATTAATTAATTAATATTTTCTAGTTTTATTGAGGTATACTTGACAAATAAAAATTGTATATATTCAAAGTGTACAAAGTGATTTTTTTATACATATACTTTGTGAAATGATTATCACAATCAAATTAATTAACACATACATCAGCACACATAGTTACCATTGTGTGTGTGTGTGTGTGTGTGTGTGTGTGTGTGGTGAGAACACTTAAAGTCTAGTCTTAGCAAATTTCAAGTAAAAAATGTGGTATTATTAACTATAATCACCATGCTGTACGTTAGATGCTCAGAGTTTATTCTTTTTTTTTTTTTTTTGAGACGAAGTCTTGCTCTGTCATCAGGCTGGAGTGCAGTGGCGTGATCTCGGCTCACTGCAACCTCTGCCTCCACGGTTCAAGCGATTCTCCTGCCTCAGCCTCCTGAGTAGCTGGGACTACAGGCACGTGCCAACACGCCCAGCTAATTTTTGTATTTTTAGTAGAGATGGGGTTTCACCATGTTGGCCAGGATGGTCTCGATGTCTTGACCTCATGATCCTCCCGCCTCGGCCTCCTGAACTGTTGGGATTACAGGCATGAGCCACCGCGTCTGGCCTGAGTTTATTCATCTTAAAACTGAAAGTTCAACTCTTTGACCAGCATCTTCCCAAGTCCCCTTCTTTACCCCTGTCCCTGGTAAACACCGTTGTATTCTCTGCTTCTATGAGTTCAACTTTTTTGGATTCCACATATAAGTGAGATCATTCTGTATTTGCCTTCCTGTATCTGGGTTATTTCACTTTGCATAATGTCCTCCAGGTTCATCCACATTGTCACAAATGGCAAGATTTTCTTCTTTCTTATAGCTGAAAAATATTCCATTGTGTAACTTTTCTTAAATTTAAAAAGAAACTTTTTTCTGAAATAATTTGTGTTTGTCATAATGTTAAAGAAGAAAAAAACCCCTGTAAGTTCTAATTTTTCCCCTTTTATAAATAATATTGCAATAAATGTTCATACAGCTTCATGCCTAAATCTTTGTGAATCTCTGTTAATTTCCTCTGGATCATACTGCTATAGAGTCCCCAGAGACAGGGTTGCAAGCCTGCTCTTAGCATCTCCCCACCCTCCCCCATGCAACCTGAATCTACCGCCTTCCTTACTGCTATTTATTTTATTTTATTCCCTTTATGCTTGGTTCAGTCTGTCGTTTACATTTGCAGTTTCTCTTGCAAGGATAGTCGTATGGAGAATGTGTACCCTCCTCCCCTCAGGGAAATAATTCATAAGAAGATGAATGGTTTTTATGACAGTTACCCTGTGTAATGCATCAGGTGTTTTACATGTATTTATTCCTCCCACAACCCCAAGTGCACAGATGGTTTCAGCGCCATTTTGCAGATGAGAAAACTAAGGTTCAGAGAGGTTAAATGATTGGGGTAAGCACTGGAACTCACTTTGGAACACAGGGCCTTTGGGCCTAGAAAGCTTACACTTGGCCTTGCTTCTCCCCTAAGTCTTTCCTCTCCACCCTCCTCTTCCACACTGAGATAAAGAATGAAGAATGCTCAAGGAAGAGAAAGGATCAGAGAAAATGACGCTTCCCTGAGTGCTCCAGGCCATAAATTTCCAAGTCAGGCTGAGCATTGGCAATTTCCCTGCACTATGTTTAAAATGTGGATACCTGGGCCCCACCCCAGACCTACTGAATAGGAATCTCTAGAGGTTTGTCCTGGGAATATGAATTTGAAAAAGCCTTCAAGTTGGTTCTGCTATGCAGCCCAGCTTTGAGCTTTGCTCCATGCCTGGTGTCTTGTCTTTCGGTTTTTGGGTCACAGGAGCCCGCGGTAGCTCAGGCCCTGTGGTCTGTTATAGGCTATTATGGGCTGTTATGGGCACAGTAGTCCCAAGGGGCTCAGAGCCTGGCCTTGGCGCGTCACAGGCAGCAGCCCTGAGAGAAGAGAAGGGAGTCAGACCCTCTGAGCAAAGGGGAAGTTGCTGCGCTCTGCTCGGTGTCGTGGCCTCGCAGATGGTAAGTCATGGACGACTTCTGGGGCTTATGGGGCACTTTGCAGGACTGAGGGGAAAATCTAGGCTTGGATCTCTTGAAAGCAACGATTGTGGTGCTGCTGTCCTGGTGCCTTGTGCCTGTGGGCTGTTGGGTTGCTCTTTCTCTGCTGTGGGTTAAGCCACTCTGCAATTGCCTCCTCCAGGATCCTCCTTAAATACCCCCTGCTGAAGGACGCTTTCTTTTTCTCTTCCTTTTTGAAATGATCTTTTTGATTTGGGGAAGAAGATACCCAGCTGGGATAGTGAAATCCTTCCAATGTCACTAAAAAGCTACAGCCTGTCCAAGAGTCACTTGGGGTTTCCCCTGCCTGATACCCTAACTGCCTTGCGGAATCAGGGGTTGTTCACACTCCTAACTGTGGGTCACTGCCTGCTGCTCCTGGAATAGTTAACGAGGACTAATGCCTACAATAGATTTTGTGCCCATGGAAATTTTCCCCTGAGCCTTCAGAGTCGCCCAGGATTACAGTTTTCCTGCAAAGCCGAGAGATCTCGGTGGGGTGGTAAACTCGGCCTCTCCTGCCGCTTCGGCGGCCACCCAGAGAGGGCCTTCTCCTGTTCGCGTTACACTTTCATGGTCCCTCAAAGAAGTGTCTGCAAGTCCCTATGTCAACTGTGTTTGGTGAGCCACGGGGAAAAGGGAGTCACGAATGCTGAAATTTCCGCTCGTGTGAGAATTTCAAGTTTGCACCTGTCTCTGTCTGAATTTTCTAATGTATGCCAGAATGGAAACATCAGATGTAGGAATTTTATCGGTCAATTTCTTACCCTGTTGTTTCAGTATTTTTTGCATCTCACTTCTCCTGGCACTATTACTAGAAGAGAATAGTAGAATTCAGGAGGGACCTGACATCTGTGTTACCCTCTTTCAAAACCCTTTTATCGACATTATTTCATTTGGCCTGTGCAGCTTCCCTATAAGGCAGATGTTAATGTTATTTCCGTTTTAAAGATGACAGAAACAAGGCCCAGGCAGGTTCAGTGACTTGCCCAAAGTCACACACCTGCTTTTCCATTAGGGCTAGGATCAGGGTGAGGGCCTCCTGTCTTGTAGTCCAAGGCCTGGTTATTGCCTTATGTAGAAATCAGAGCCAACTGTTCATCTGATGGTTATTTATGGAGCATCTATTATATTCTCAAGGCCCTGTGTTGGGTGCTCAGTTAGAGCAGGAAAGACAGTCACTGCTGTGATGGTGTCTACATTCAAAACCAGCGCTATCCAAAAAATGTATAATGTGGGCCATATGTGAAATTCAAAATTTTTTAGCAGCTGCAGTAATTTAAAAAAAGTAAAAAGAAACAAGTAAAATTAATTTTAATGATATAGTTTATGTAATAATATATCTAAAATATTCTCTTATTGATATATAAGCAATGTAACAATTACTGAGATATTTTACATCTTTCTTTTATATTTGAAATTTAGTATGTGTTTTATAGATAACACAGATTTCGAATGTTCAGTAGCCATATGTAGCCAGTGACTGCCATATTGGACAGTGAAGCTCAAAAAGAATGTTTACTTTTCAGAGAATAGGAGCCATCTATCAGTTAATAATTTAATTTTAATTTTTTTTTTTGAGACAGAGTTTTGCCCTTGTTTCCCAGGCTGGAGTGCAGTGGCACCATCTCGGCTGACTGCAACCTCCACCTCCTGGGTTCAAGCGATTCTCCTGTCTCAGCCTCCCAAGTAGCTGGGATTACAGGTGTGCGCCACCACGCCTGGCTAATTTTGTGGGGTTTTTTTTTAGTAGAGATGGGATTTCTCTATGTTGGCCAGGCTGGTCTCAAACTCCCGACCTCAGGTGATCCACCCACCTTGGCCTCCCAAAGTGCTGGGATTACAGGCGTGAGCCACTACGCCGGGCCTAATATTTTAATATTTTAAGTGTTAAAAGTACACTTCTTCTAGTTTCTTCACTCATTCATTTATTCAGTCATTTCAAAGGTATTGAATGAGCATCTGCCAGGTGCTGGAATGTTGTATAACACTGCTTTATTTATTTTACTTATTTATTTATTTATTTATTTTGAGACAGAGTCTTTCTCTGTCACCCAAGCTGGAGTGCAGTGGCATGATCTCTGCTCACCGCAACCTCTCCCTCTCAGGTTCAAGCAGTTCTCTTGCCTCAGCCTCCCGAGTAGCTGGAATCACAGGCATGCACCACTGCACCCAGCTTAGTTTAGTTTAGTTTAGTTTAGTTTTTAGTTTAGTTTTTAGTTTAGTTTAGTTTGGTTTAGTTTAGTTTTAGTTTAGTTTAGTTTAGTTTAGTTTTAGTAGAGATGGGGTTTCACCATGTTAGCCAGGCTCGTCTCAAACTCCTGACCTCAGGTGATCCATCTGCCTCAGCCTCTCAAAGTGCTGGAATTACAGGCGTGAGCCACAGCGTCCGGCCTATTTTTTTCTTTCTTTCCCTCACTACTGACCTCTTCTTTCTTGTTTTTCCTTCCCACTCCCCCCTTCTTTGTTCCCTTCTATATTTTGTCACCTGTTTAGCTTTGTTCCCAAGCTCCAGAAATACAGTGTTAGTTGAGACAAAATTGGCTTTGATTAACAATAGAGTTTCTGTCCTCGAAATGACAGCTTACCATCAGAACTAATGAAACGGAGCTCCTGGCAGCCTTTGTGAGGACAGAATCAAACCAGGGTGCTCGTCTGCCCTTCAAAAAATAATGTTTGGCCTTGGGCCCAGTTAAATAGATTATTGTTGCATCTATGCAATGGAATACCATCCAGACCTCAGAGAGAACCAAGCAGTTCTCTTTGTGTTGATATGGAAAGTCTGCCAGGATTTATAAAAAGAAAAAACTAAGATACAGAAGAATGTGTATAGTATAATGTGATTTAGGTATGTTTTAAAAAGAAATATATTTATGTTGGTATATGCATTACTTTTTTTCCTGAAAGGATATACAAAAAACTGTTGATAGTGGTTACCTTTGGGTGGATGGAGGACATTTGGAACTTTTTGTTTTAGACATTTCTCCAGTGTTTTAATTTTTCTGTGTTCATGTGTTACTTTTTGTTGTTTGTTTGAGACAGGGTCTTGCTCTGTTGCCCAGGCTAGAGTGCAGTGGCACCATCATAGCTCACTGAAGCCTCAACCTTCCAGGCTCAAGCGATCCTCTCATCTCAGCCTCTTGAATAGCTGGGACCACAGGCATGCACCATCATGCCCGGCTAATTAAAAAAAAAATTTATTTTGTAGAGATAGGATCTCACTATGTTGCCCAGGCTAGTCTCGAACTCCTGGACTGAAGCAGTCCTCCCCTTGTCCTCCCAAAGTGTTGTGATGACAGGCATGAGCCACCACACCCAGCCTGTTTTACTTTTAGTTAGGAATTTTGAAGAGAAAAATGATAGACTCTAGAGGAAGATGTTGGGCTTGCACTCAGATAATCCAAGTAGGGTACACTTCAAGTTAAGTTCGCGTGTACAGACCTGGTGGCCTTTTTCCTTAGCTTCATTAGGGTGATGTGATAAGTGGAAGCAACATGGTATTGGTTTGTGTTATTGCTGTAATGACTGCACCGTCACTCACTCGGGGTGGGCTAATACCTATAACGAGAGAACAGCTACTTATCACGGAGTCATATTTTGACTCTTGTCAAATTTAGGCTGATGTCTTCTTAGGTTACTACAATCTTTATGACAATCAGTAAGAGAATAAGGGTGTGTATTTCCAGATTACAGAAACTGGTTGAGCCACCTGAGGCAATTCACTTGGCCACTCTGTATCTATTTTTGTTCTCTTTAAAATGCTTATGGGAAAAATATGTTGACATCTCAGACATTTACAACCATGAAATTTCTTAATTCCAACTATGTGTGATTTTACATACCTTGCATTTCATTACTGGGTCTCGATCTAATATTTTTCCAAATCCTATCAAGGTATGGTAGTGTATTCACTTCAGCTAACAAATTATCCTTCACAATAGAATTTTAAATGAAACTTTAAATGCATTAATAATAACTTTCTGTTTATGGACATTAGCTCAAGTTGAGTCTTAGGAGTATATCACATTATACCATTATCTGTGTGGATATGAAGGAATGTATGTATTTAACATTTTACATGTACTGTTTACTATGGTCTGCATGAAGATTTATGCATGTGGGTTCATAGAAAGATAATGGGGGCAGAGGAAATGGGGGTAAATATGCATTACAGAATGGGTTTGTTAATTTCCCTGTTATTACAGGATGTTTTCGCAGCTTTTCAATTTGGTTTCCACCAGCCATTCACATGACCCAGAGTAGGTCTGAGATGGCCCAGGAAAGAGGATGATTTAATGCCTTAAATGATTCTTGATCTGCCCATTGGAGAAATTATTGAAACCACAATAGGGCTTGTCATATGGTCTTCATTCTGGGCAGAAAATTTTCAGTTTCAGCCAGTTTGGTAAAATTTAGACTGAAATAGGACAGTTGGTTTTCTAAGACACAGAAAAATTAACAAAATCAGTAATTGATCAAAATTGCCTGTTCTGTGGGGAAAAACTTGGGGACTTTTAAAATTTTCACTGTTTACGTTTAGAAAAACAATACTGGTCTCTTACTGACAATGTTTTATGTGTGGTAGATGCCTAGTAAATGGTGGTTGGATGGATGACTGGAGGAGTGAGTATATTCATGAGTTATTATCCATTTTCCTAACTCTTGGGACCATTTTGAATGTCCCAGTTGCAGAAAAGATGTCCCTCCCATGAGCATCTTATGTAGAGGCTTGATGCCCTTTGGATTGTCAACCATTTCCATGGAGCAAATTTGTCTTCGGTAACATAGGGTGTTTCTAAACAGAAAATTACTCTTCAAGTTCAAACAGGAGCCTACACAGCACATGTATTTTTCTGTGTCCATACTTAAAAATGTGCCAGATACAACAACCTGTCCCACAGAAGAATTAAGTATGCCAGTCTAGGAGCTAGTTAACAATTGGAATTGTTAGTTCCTTGGGATATGTATAGGTCTGTCTCTGCAGAGATTAAATTGGCTGTGTCTTTTTTTTTTTTTAAAGGAGAGCATAAAAGTGAGGCAATCTATAGAGTTTTGGAGGAAACCTCTAGAATTGGGTTAGTCATTTTGGGAATTCCTTGGTACTTTTTCTTCTGGGTTTATAACTTCTGAATATGTGCATCTTCTCCATCACCATTAAGAAGTCAGACCATCTTAGGTTCTTATTTAAGAAAATGCTGGTTGAATATGCCTATTTTGTCTACCAGCTTGCCAGTTTCACAGACTGCTGGTTTACTCTCCAACATCTGATAACACAGGAAATAGCGGGGGAGGCTGATGATGAAATGAAAATGCTCTACTTTTAAATTAGACTAAAATAAGTTTCTTTTTACATGTACAGCTAATGTTTGAGGCTGTAGTTGCAGTTAAAGCTTGCAATAAGATAGGAAGGACGTTCATCATAACTAGCAGATAGAATAATATTAGCACTAGCAGTTGACTCGGCTTTTAGAGCATGTGAAATGTGGGAAAACATTTCTGTTGCAGGATCTGGCATTTAGTATTCCAAACAGAACCAACCTGTTAACTTGTTCTGAACCAGGGTTTTCCTTTTATTTTCTAAAATTTTCTGAATATCCTTGCTCAAAGCCTGAGTTTGTTGCCAGAAAAGATCTCTGACTGTGATTGTGTTTTTGTGTTATAGATTTTTTTCTGGAAAAATGTAATGCTGAAATAACTGTATAGTTATTTGGCAGACTAAATATTTATTTTTATTTTGTAGTCACTTGAATTAGGAATCCCCGTAGGTTATAGAAATCCTTTAAAACAGTGTTTTGCCCTAGTCTTTCCCATGGTCCGGGGCATGCATGTGATTAAAACTTGCCCATACTCTGCAAAACAATCTAGCTTTAGAGTCTTTGATGGGGAAACAGAGGCAAGAAGCCATTGAGTCAACAAGATGGAAATATGGAATATGAACATTAGAAAAGGGCCAGTGCAGCACTTTGGGAGGCTGAGGCGGGAGGATTGCTTGAGCCCAGGAGTTTGAGACCAGCCTGGGCAATATAGCAAGACCTCCATCTCTACAAAAATAAAGTAAAATAATTATCTAGGCGTGGTGGCATGCACCTGTGGTCCCAGCTACTTGAGAGACTGAGGTGGGAGGATCGCTTGAGCTCAGGAATCCAAGACTTCAGTGAGCTAGGACAGCCCCACTGCACTCCAGCCTAGGCAACAGAGGGAGACCCTGAAAAAAAAAAAAAAAAGAAAGAAAGGAGGGAGAGAAGGGAAGCGAAGGGGAGGGGAAGGGAGGGGAGGGGAGGGAAGGGAAAAGGAAACTTTGGGATCATCTGGACTAATCCCTTTAGTTTAAAATGAACAAAGTAGGACCCAGAGGGGTTAGATGACTTGCCCAGTATTACACAGTTAGTGGCATAGATGAGACTGTAAATTTATGTTTATATTCATCAAATATTTATTGAGTTTATGGAGTGTCTGCCATGGGTGCAGCACTGTGCAAGATCCAGGGGAGACTTGATGAAAAAGTCAGATGCACCCCCTGCCATTGTGAAGTTTATGTGTCCTAGCAGGAGAGGGACACTAAACAGTGTTACCCTATTACTTAATGCCAGGAGTATCCAGAGGTATGAAGGATGCTCCCTTTGAATCATAAAGCAGACCTGAGATATCATGGGGGCCTCTTTGATAGGTCCTTACAGCATCCTTTAAAGAAAAAAATGACTGTCCTGAGCAACCATCTTGAAAAAGAGAAGAAAAGGCCCAGCTTGTAATTATGGCAAATGTTACATGCTTGGCTATTTAATGGTATCCTAGAGCCCAGGTTAACTATGGCTTTCAGGCAGGGCAGTCATTTTTTCATAGTAGTAATTAGGACTATCTAAACTTTTAGAGTAGCTTTATTCAAGCACTTAATTTTAAAATTAGCATTTTACTTCTTAAGTTTGTAGACAGCAGTGATGCTGATGTGCATATATTAATATGTTCCCGCAGTTTGCAGATTTTACATTCTAAATGTGTGTCTGTTGCAAAGTAATAAGGATCAATATAAAATTCTGCACAGAGTCCAACAGTTGCACAAGAACAGGATAAAGGGATATGTATTTTAAGAGTAGCATATGTAAGATCTGGTGGCTTTAGTTGAAGACATGAGTCAACAGAGCAATGTCACTTCCAAGAAAGTGTTACGTGAAGGTTTATGAACAGAAGTATTGGCATCAGAGAAGAAGCTCTTCCTCTACCCTGCATTTGTCAGCTTATCTGGAGAAGTATTCAACATTTTAGTGGCAGGCTGAACGAGGAGTACACACACAAATCATCCATCCATCCATCCATCCATCCATCCACTCATCTATCTATCCAACTATTCATCTTTCCATCTATCCATCCAGTTATCCATCCGTCTGTCCATCTGTCCAGCCATCCATTCATTTATTCGCCCATTTTGTTTATTGTCCCTTTAACAGAATGGAAGCCTCCCTCAGAAGAGCAGGGTGGGGTGGGAAGTTGGGGGGATTGCTCACTGCTGTCTTCCTGGGGCCTGTAACAGTACTTGACATGGCAGGCCCTCAATAAATTGTTGAACGACTGAATAGAATGAATGTGAGAATTTCAAATTCTGTCAGATGAGAAATAGTTGAAGGAAGTGAACTTGTTGTAAAGAAAAGTTTTATTGGAGCCACGAGAACTATCAGAGTTTTGAAGGCCTGTCACATGGAAGAACAGAGGGGCAGGGCCTTTTCTATGTTTCTACAGTGGACAGGGCAAGGAGCAATGGATGAAAGCTGCAACAATGGCAGGAATGGCAACAAGGCAGGTTTAGGAAGCCCTCATAATCTGAAGACAACTGATCCTGGGAAAAGCTCATTTAAGGTAGATACAATTAAGCCTGGGTTAAAATTTCATAGTAAATACAAAAATAAATTCTTGATTGGGACTTTTATTTTGAAAAACAAAACTGAACATTAAGAAAATAAGTTTATTTATTATATTAACACAGTTTTGATTATAATTTCAGCTATAGGCTAATTCTGCAGTCAAATGCTCTGCCACTGAGCTATACCCCTTTTATAGGCTAATTCTAAAACCCCACAAGGACTAAATCAATTGTTGTTAGGTTTTGTACAGGAGGGTTTGAGTACATTTTTATGACGTAATTTTATGCTAAAACAATATAACATTTCTTTCTTTTCTTTCTTTCTTTCTTTTTTTTTTTGAGATGGAATCTTGCTCTGTCAGAGTAAGCTGGAGTGCAGTGGCGATCTCGGCTCACTGCAATCTCCAGCTCCCTGGTTCAAGCGATTCTGCTGCCTCAGCCTCCCAAGTAGCTGGGATTACAGGCATGCACCACCATGCCCAGCTAATTTTTATATTTTTAGTAGATATGGGGTTTCACCATGTTGGCCAGGATGGTCCCTATCTCCTGACCTTGTAATCTGCCTGCCTTGGCCTCCCAAAGCGCTGGGATTACAGGCATGAGCCACTGCACCCAGCCACAATATAACATTTCTTAGTTCACATTTGATTTTTTAAAACAGCTGTATTGAAATATGATTCACAACACATTTGACCTTTACAATTTTCTTAAGGCCTCCTCTTAACCACCATGTGATCTTATTTGATTTTGATTATTGGAAAGCATCTGTATGGGTTTTCTTCTGTCCAGTAGGTAACCTCTCTAACTGTCAGCAGCTTTACTTGTGATACAGTTTTCCAACATCACTTTCATCAACTTCAAAAAATTTCTCTTTTGCAAAATCTAGAATTACCCTGTAAAACCAAATCACATTGCACTCATAGTTTATTGTGGAGAAATCTTAAATCTGGGAGAGACTAAGCAACAAAAATATGACCTGATGGATGAAAACATGCACCAAGATTAAGCAAGCAGAGATGTTTAAGTAGGGACTGATTTCATAAATGAGCATTTTTTTGTTAGTAAATAATTTTATGTTATAAAACATTTACCTTCCCAATGTTACCATAACTATGGGAACTTGAAATAGGAATACTCAGAAAATGATAAGAGTTAGGAGCCACTAACATGGGTTAAGTGTCCCAAGCTTCACTTCACCAAGCAAAGAATGAAAGGAATGAATATCCTGGCACGTCTGTAATTCATTCTATTGGTAGACCAGTTGGGAAATTCTGCCATCAGTGATGGAATCCTGAGTTAAAACAATCCCGATGGGCTGGAACACTGGCCCCAGTCCAACGTATAACATTTAACTAAGTTAAGTGTTGAATTATTGCAATTAGGTCCCAAGCCTTGCCCACCACCTCCCCCATCCAAGAAAAACATAAAATAAAACCCAACTGTACAATCATAGCATGGCAAAGGGAAAGGCTTGGCTTCCACAGTTTACATGAAAAACAGCTCAAGTTCTGAGGTGACCACATGCTCAGTATGAATCAGCAAGGGGGCACAATTGCTCTAAGGTGCATCTTGAGTTTCCCTTGCGAACAGTGGCCATATAGCAAGATATAACATCCTTTCTTGTATTATACACAAACTCCATTTACCCATCTGGAGTTGCTGTTTGCGGGAGGTGGGGAGAGTGGGGAGTTAGTTTGAGGGTTTCGGGGAGGTACAGACAAGCCTCAGCTGTCTCCATGTGAGGCCTGCTTTGAAAGGCTAATGTATTGCTTTGTGCTTGTTTGCTTGGAAGGAGGGAACTCCAACCTGGGAAAAAGAGGAATTAAGCAAGCTATGGGCAGGGAACGGGTGCAGTTGGTCCTCAGAGATACCTGGAGCCAAGGACTGGAACTCCCTGGAGTTACCTCTTCACTTCTCATTTCTATGTCTCCGAATATTGGCATCATTCTCTCTGATGAGTCATCTCCAAGAAGAAGAATTACAGCCCCTAGGAGCTTCCATACCTCACGTCTTCCAACTCCAGCCCTAAAGAGGAACCAATGTTTATTTTCTCTGGCCCAAAATTTAAAAATCTCAGGGTAGGATCTAATTGATCAGGTGCCTTACTCTAGGCTGATTAACTGTGGCCAGGAGATTAGAGGACTATGATTGGTCCACTCTGGTAGCCTGGAGTGTGGGCTTTCTAAAAACTTGGCAGCTGCCATTCACACCACTTGGTGAATGTGGAGGGGTCAAGATTTTCCCAAAAGGAGATTGCTGTTCTTATCATGCGACACAAAGATGAGCGATCTGGACACATGCCTGGGCCTGAGGAATAGAGAAAGAACGGGGAGTGTTTAATTTTGGACTTTTGGGCTGGGTGCAATGGTTCACACCTATAATTCCAGCACTTTGGGAGCCAAGGTGAATTGTATGAGCCCAGGAGTCTAAGACTAGCCAGGGAAACATAGTCAGATCCCATCACTACAAAAAAAATAAAAAATTAGCTGGGCATGGTGGTGCACACCTATAGTCCCAGCTACTCAGGAGGCTGAGGTGGGAGGATCACTTGAGCCCAGGAGGTCAAGGCTGCAGTGAGCTGTGATTGCACCACTGCACTTCTCTCCAGTATGGGTGACAGAGCGAGACTTGGGGTGGGGTGGAACTGAGGGACAGAGGCTCAGCATTGACAAATGACCTGCCCAAGGATACTCAACTGGTTAGAATCAAAAGCCCCAGGCCTCCAACACTGAACTCAGAGTTTCATCCTCTATACTTTGCTGTCTTCCTAAAGAAGAAAATACCAAGGAGATACATGATAATTACCTTCAAACACGTGAAGGACTTTTATGCGGAAATAAGCACAGTGTAGTCTGAAGATGCTCTGAAGGGCAGATTAGGATTCCTGGACAGTAGTAACAGAGAACAGAATTCTACTAGATTTAAGAGAGAACACTGACACCTGGAATGGCCATGTCAGGCAGGGCTGGAGGCTGGAGGCTGGATCCTGGGCACGTGGCTGCTGCATTCTTTCAGGGGAGAGGTGCTGTGGGCCTGCGCTGAGCAGGGGCAGTGAGTAAGGAGAAGAAGGAACACTTTGGAGGGGTAAAAAGCAGACAGGACCAGCAGGACATGGTGCATGATTGTGGGGTAGAGGGAAGACGGAGAACTCAGTGGGTGAGTTCAGTTCCTAAGCATGGAAGTTGCCTGCTGTGGGACTGGCATGTACATAGAATCTGCAAAATAAGAAAGGGCTTTCAATGGGGTGGACAGTTGAAAACTTCATGGAGAGGATGACACTGAAAGAAAGGATTGGATTTTAAGAGGGTTGGATTTTTTTTTTTTTTTTTTTTTTTTGAGACAGAGTCTTGCTCTTGCTCTGTTGCCCGGGCTGGAGTGCAGTGGTGCGATCTTGGCTCACTGCAAGCTCCGCCTCTTGGGTTCACGCCATTCTCCTGCCTCGGCCTCCTGAGTAGCTGGGACTACAGGCGCCCGCCACCACGCCCAGCTAATTTTTTTTTTTTGTATTTTTAGTAGAGACGGGGTTTCATCATGTTAGCCAGGATGGTCTTGATCTCCTGGCCTCATGATCCGCCTGCCTCGGCCTCCCAAAGTACTGGGATTACAGGTGTGAGCCACCACACCCGGCCAGGAGGGTTGGATTTTAAGAGGCATCGGTAAGGATTAAAGGGAAAGACATCCCAGGACGAGGGAACTCCATGGGCAAGGCACAGGGAGAGGAAAGCACAGGATGCGTTTGCATTTGGGCTGAGAAGTGGCCTGAGTCTGGGATAGTGGGGAAAAATGATTATGAAGGTTATATTGAGTCAGTGGAAGAAGAACCTTCAACATCAGGATGTGGTAAGAGCCTTACCCATTTTATCTCAGAGGGCCTTCTGTTGCCTGGGACAGCAATGTGACCAAAATGGCATTTGGAGAAACTATGGAAATGGTCCAGCTAAAGGGCTATCTCTTGTTCTTTAGTCGGTTGGATGTAGAGATAAGCACATGTAGATCCTACCTACGTGAAAGATGGGGGGTGGGGGTAATGCGTATTTTAATTAGCCAGATCTAGCCACTTTATGATGCATGCATATTTTCTTTTCTTTCTTTCTTTCTTTCTTTCTTTTTTTTGAGACAGAGTCTTGCTCTATCACCCAGGCCTGGAGTACAGTGGCATGATCTCAGCTCACTGCACCCTCCGCCTCCTGGGTTTAAGTGATTCTCCTGCCTCAGCATCCTGAGTAGCTGGGACTACAGGCATGTGCCACTACGCCAGCTAATGTTTGTATTTTTAGTAGAGATGGGATTTCACCATGTTGGCCAGGCTGGTCTCGAACTCCTGACCTCAAGTAATCCACCTGCCTCGGGCTACCAAACTGCTGGGATTATAGGCGTGAGCCACCGCGCCCAGCCTAATGTGTGCATATTTTTAAACATCATGGTGTACATGATAAATATATGTAATTTTTATGTTTTAATTAGAAAATTAATTTTAGAAAGAAATGAGAGCCATGTTATAAACATTTTCTGAGGAATATATCATAGCACATTTCCATGGCCTCGTATTTTATTGAGATAGTATCAAGTGCTAAGTTCCTGTGACTTATCCTCGCCCTTTGATTCTTATCACCAACCCCCTTTACTATCACTATTTATGAACTTTAGAGGGCTCAGGTGGTGTGTTTTTGCAAGGCCTCATCTTCATCCTGGGTGGGGAATGACATTGGCTGGGAGGAGCAAAAGGCCCTGAAGTGCCTGTCGAATCAACAGTGAAAATGCCATGAGGTGCTTGTGGGTGGGTGGGTGAGTTGTTTGTCCCTAAATCTGCAGTAGCCCCCTGGCACATAAACATAACGTTGAAGAGAAAGAGTGTGCTTACTCTGCCAAGGCTTCTTCAAGGGAAATTTCCTGTCCCCCACCCCTTCATGCCTCCCCATCAGATTTGCTCCAAACCAGCTCTGTGAATAAGTCACCCTAACTAGCTTCCCAACCGTTGCCTACCCAGATGCCACTCCAGGCTCAGGCCTTAGGATAAAGCAGGGACAGGGCTGATGGCAGAGAGGGATGGGCAGGCTCCATGTGCAGTTCATGCGGAGGAAGGAAGAGCAGTGGTGAGTTCCACAGACTAGGAAGGGAAGGAAGGGTGGGTCTAGTGTTTACATGCTTCCCTGAGTTGTGGAGGAAGTTAGTGCACAAGGTCTTTAATGCAGGCATGAGGGTGGTTAGGGCCTCAACGGATGGTGGCCTTGGGATTAGAAAGCAAGAGATACGTGTACGAGATTTAGGAGGGAAATTCAATGGGAAAAATAGAGAAAGCGGGACAAGAAGATAAGATTTTGAGCGTGGGTGACTGGAAGAATGATGTCACTGACAGAAATGATAGTCTACAGGGGCAGCTAATTTTGGAGGAGGGTTGGGCATTCACTCTCAGGAGTGCTGATCTGGTAATGATTACACAACCCAAAATCACTGCAGAGTGGACATTTGGAAGTGTGAGATTGGCACTCACGGGGTGGGCCTGGACAAATGGATGTTTTTCTTAATTCACTATTTATCAAACACCCACCATGGACCAGGCTCTGTGCTAGGGATGCAAAATCAAAGAAGGCTCCAATTCATCCTTGAAAGGAGGAGATCTTTTTTCTTTTTTTTTTTTTTTTTTTTTTTTTTTTTTGAGATGGAGTATCGCTCTTTTGCCCAGGCCGGACTGCGGTGGCGCTGTCTCGGCTCACTGCAAGCTCCTCCTCCCGGGTTCACACTATTCTCCTGCCTCAGCCTCCCGAGTAGCTGGGACTACAGGCGCCCGCCACCGCACCCGGCTAATTTTTTGTATTTTTAGTAGAGACGGGGTTTCACCGTATTAGCCAGGATGGTCTCGATCTCCTGACTTTGTGATCCACCCGCCTCGGTCTGAAAGGAGGAGATCTTAATCAGAGTCATCTAACAGAGATCAAGAGATCAGTTTCTAAAACACAGAGGGAAAAAGGAGCGTTCAAGGCAGTGGCTTTCAAAGGCACGGCCTGGGCACACCCACCTCCATCCATCCTGCCCTTCACAGGGCAGAGTGGGCCATTGTGGGATCCATGTTGAAATTTTATGTATTTTTTCTGTAAATGTTAACGAACCAAGTTGGTTTGGATTTGCATTCTAGATGTTGAGTGGAAGAGATATGACGCACAGCTGCACACGCAGTCTGCAGGAACCTGACTGTGCTGTCTCTGTATTTAACAGAGGATGGTCGGGGCATAAAGTAGTCCTAGTCAAGCAGCCGCACAATGCTGAGGGCTGACTGGGTGAATATCATGAAAGCTACGGGTGCTCTTGTGGATACTGTGAAATGCTGTTATGTTCTTAAGAGGCTGGGGGAAAATCTGTATCTTTTTTGTCTTTCTTCTTTATCCCACTGCCTAAGCCCATCCAACTCAAATTCTGTTACCTGTGGTTTCTCTTTGCTCTGGACTCCTGTGGAGCTCATTTGCGGTACATCCACGGGTAAAACTCATTTATCGAATTGTCTCCTGAATTCCAGTTTGGTTCCCGAGCTAGAGTGTGTAAATCCAGTAGGAGCAGGGCCCACATATTATTCTGTGGGATTTTCCTTTTGCTTAGCACAGTGTGGGCTCTCAGAGATCTTAGTAAATGCTGTTTAGTTGGCTGGCTGTTGGGTTGAAGTCTTGGAGCACAGATATTTTAGTTAGTTCTCCGCTGAAGCAGCTTTGGAACAGAGTGATTAAATTACTATCTGGTTAGGGTGATAGTCATTATCTGACAAAAATATGCGTTGACTGCCTACATCCTGAATTGTGAAGGAAAAAAATGCTTTTGGAACACTCATGATCTAAATAAAGCATCAAATGCAGTTTCATATTTGCCTCAGGTGCTTCTGCTGCCCTCCCACTAATATGTATTTATTAAACATCCACCCCTTGAATTTAGTGAGGACTTGGTGCTATATGGGACGTGGCAGAGGGATTACAGATTCTGTAGCAAAGACAGGCCCTGCTGTCCAGGGTCTCAGGAGCTCAGCCAGTGTGTGGGCATTAGTCTGTTGGTGGCTAGTTTCAGCATCTGGGACTTACTACTCAGCAGGGATGGGCACACATGTCATCCCTGAAGATGCCTCCATGCTCTGCCCTGTGTTGTCAGAATTAACTCTTTAGTTCCCTACTGCTGCATCGGACCAGGACATGTGGACATGGACCCTGGATATGAAGGAACTCAGTTGGCCAAAGCCGCAAGCCTAAGATTCAGTTTTGCAGAACTCTAATCCTGGCTCTAGTCACCAGCTCTGGGTTATGGGGCAAGACTTTCATAGGCTTCATTTCAGTTGTGGGTAAAATGCAGTGAAAATGCACACCTCGCAGGGCTGTGGGAGATGTAACTGAGATGGTGAATGGAGACACATCTCCCCTCTTTCCTTGCCACCACCTTCCTCACCCACGGCTTGTGTCTGCTATTTCATCAGCATTGGCTACCAGCCCAACTATGGCTCCAGGGGCTGTGGGCAGATGAAGATGGTTTGTGTCCTTTCTTGCCCAACCACAGCCTGGCTGCCTCTGCTCCTCCCAGCTTTGTGGACCTGAACAATGAAGTACCAGGATGGGGGAGATTTGGAGGTGCTCTCTCTTTGCCTAGTTCATACCAGCGATGGGTTTGTGCATCTTGAATTTGATGACCACTGGAATGACCACTCCCAAACCATGCAAGGATCATTTTAGATTTGACACTGGTTATCTAAGGAACTCTAAAAAAGAAAATCACAGCATAAATAACTCATAAGCTGAATTTTGTGGCATTTGTAGATATATTTATTTATATTTTTCAAAAGCAGTATAAGTTTACAGAAGATAACCAAAACATTCTTTGCTTCCTTCCTCCGCAAAAGCCACACGTCTGCATCATTTCTAGGAGGCTGTGTTGGGGAGATTGTGATCTTCCTACCGATCTTTTAAAAAAGCAAACACAAACAAAAAACCAAGAATCTGGTGTTGGTTGCAATGCATGTATTGGTTCAACTCTTACAAAAGGATTTTATCCTTATCCTCAGCTTGTCCTGTTAATTGGCAACATCTATCAGAGAGTGCCGCCTCAACTGCTCTGATCTTTAATTTTTGTGATCTTATTTAGGTTTTCCATTGCTGATGGTTCTTGGTGAAGTTTTTTTAAAATTTCAGTATGGAATATATTTGTTTGGCTCTTATCTTTTCCAACCATTTGGAAGGTACCCATTCTGTCTTAAGTTCTGCCAATTGCACCTCAAAGTTTTTCTTAAGATTGCCAGCACAGGTTCATTGGTCTTTGAAGGCACTGGGATGTTCTTTCTGATTATTTCTGCAAACTCTCTCCAGTAACTCAGTGGCATAGGTCTGCCTCTCCCCCTGCAGCATGGTCCAGGCTGCCTTGGACAGTGGAACACATTGTACAGCACAGCCTGTCTGCTCCCAGATCAGACTTTGTGGGTGAATCAAGACATCTTGTCTCACTGAGCTGGGCCTTGGCCTCAGCACAAGCCTCGCTCAGGGGAATGGCCATCCACTGCCGTTCCACTAGAGTTGGCACCTGGGAGGAAACCAGCATCCCATTCCTGGACTAGCGTTTTTCTTGTATATATTATCACACTTAATATGCAAGACTTCTCACTTCTGGGCATGTAAGATACTTTGGCAACTATTTGGAAATAACCCACTCCTTGCTCACATTGCCTAACTAGCTATGCCAATGGTCTTTAATAGAAAAGAATGGCTGAGAAGCTTTAAGAATGGCTTATTTTTGCTCTACACAATGCCTAACTGTTAGGAGTATTTAGAGGAGTTTCTTTGTCATTTGGGGTGGAATTCAGCCCTATCTCCTAAGTGGCAGAATGGCACTGGAACTAAGTCAGGGCGTTTTCAGAAATCTCAAAATAAATGCCCTGTGGTGAGGCCTACCAGGTCTTAATAATAAAAGTGGTAGACTGTTAGCCATCAGTCTAATTCAAGTGTCCAGACTGGAGTTATTACAATGAGTAGCACAGCCATGTGACCAGCATTACTTCCTATATATACAGTCTTGAATGTTTATTCAGAGGAAATGGATTACAATTTCCCTGACATTTGGGCATAAAACATCTGCCATCCTATGAATTAGAAAAGTAATGAGGTCTTGGATGATATGTCACTTATCTTTATTAAATGCAGCTCTCAGCACGTAGTAGCATCTAGTGCTCAATAAATGCTTGATGAATGAATTAAATGAATGGACTATCACTACATCATAGTTCGGCTGTAAATACATAGAATAAAATGATTTGGCTTATGGAAAATGACTTGATTTTATTATCTCAATTTTCAATACAACTGAATTGCCCAGTTTCTGGGATTCTAAGTAGCAATGGAATGAGATGTATAGAAGTGATGAGATGGGTGGGCTTCATTAATTTGTTAGTGGGATTAGTGTCATAAGTAGATTTTTTTTTGTCAGTACATTTTCTGAAAGTGTCTTTTCTTACCTTTTTCTAAATCTGAAATACATTTCCAACATCTCTGAATATTCAAGGCCTCTCTTACAGCATTGTACTCATAGAGTGAGAAACATTTAGACTCCTTGAATGAGGATTTATCTCTTTATCTGTGGCGTACTCTCCTTACAGTTGCCTATTCTCACAGTCTTAAGCCACTTTAGCAATTGAATAATTCCTCTTGGATGACTAGGTGAATTCCAGAAATTTTGGGGGATTTGCCAATTACACACTGAACAGTCCAACCTTGTTTTATTTATTTATTTTTAGACATGATGCGGACATCCTTTAGAAATTAACAGAATTGTATGCCCTGGCTTGCAGTTGTTATCTCAGGGCACCTTTTAAGTTTTGGTTGTGACAATTTTCACAGAAGCGTTGTTCGATTCTTAACACTGGACCAAATCCTGGAGACTTGTGCAATGATGGCCACCATTTGGGGGAATAAGTGTATGTTACTAAGTGTCTAGAAACTACTTCAAATACCTGTTTTAAGAACCTTGCTACAGTCTGTTTAAATGTAGTTTTTTCAAAATAGATTTTTAATGGTTATCTTCTGAATAGCTTGGATTTGCAATTGAAGAGGAAAGCAGCTCTTTTTAAAAAAGTAGATTACATCAGAGATGGAAAAGTTGTATCTAATTCTGTGTGATGGTTGCTATGGTGATGATTGAATGTAAATTTCAGTTTATGGAAAACCCTGTTAAGGTTTTGATTAGAGACCAGAGGTGAGGCTTGGGGTCAGTTGGTGAAGTGGCTAAAAAGCATCTATTAATGGGGCGAAAAGAAAAAAGAATGACGGGGTCACATGCAGCTCGCTCCACACCCAGGTATCAGTCAGCACAGGCTTATCTCATCATGGGGAGACGGTACAAATTAGAGCAGGGAAGGAAGAAAGGTGCTTCCCTTTTCCCTTGATTTCTTCCTTGAGGAAACGGAAGACGGGAAAGCATCCTTGGAGAGAAGGCAGCTCTTGCAAAGGTGAACTCCCATGTGCCAGTGTCATTGGTTTGAAGTAGGCATTTGGCATGTGGGAAAGGAGCTTCAAACAACAGATGCAGGAGCTGGACTCAGCCATCTTGATGACCCTGCAGTCACGATTCCCATCCTTTGAGTACCCGCTCTTACCAGCAAGAAGGAAAGGAAAAAAAAAATCAGCAGAGGAGTAATAACATCAAGTTACCCTAAAGCTTCAATCGTTAGAATTGTAAATCAACCTGGAGAGCAGGCTTTGCCCCTTAAGTTAAGCCATTTAATCTAAGAAGGGACACTTAAGGATCAGGAGTAACTGATCTATGAACAGGTGTTTGTTTATCGAAATCTTACTCTATAGTGCTAGCTATTTCATTCTCTAGTATTTGTGTGCAGTTGCTCTAATAGTGCATCCCCCCCTTGTTTCTCTCTCTCTCTCTCTCTCTCTATATATATATATATATATACACACACATATATTTATGTATGCATATTTTTTAAAGTCTATAAGAGTGAGAAAGTATACCAATTACTTTTCATTAACACATCTATAAAAACCTGGATCTTTAAGTCCCTGAGCAAAATGTGGTCATCACTGCCCTCGTGGGTAATTGCATACAGGCATAGTCACTCTGTGATACAGGCACTCAGGATAATTTTAAAAGTGTTCCAGATGCAGTTGCTGCTACCCATGTCCTAAGTAAAATTGGGAAGTCACCAAATTTGCCTTCTGATAACCTTCCAGCTCTTCTTCCCTTACCCTTCTCCATTATGACTCATCTTCTGCACAGCAGCCTCCGGTTCGGTGCCTTCATGTCCAGAGTCACCTACTTTGACTGTGGAAACATCCTACTAGAGCCCCCTTTTGGGCCCAAGTTTCCAGAATGATCTTTCTCTTCAACACTCTCCCAAACCTAGCTGAAATCTGCTCTCCAAAGAGACTGATCTCAGCATAATATGAGAGAATAATTGGATTAATGGTCGTCCTTGAGGGAGTGTCTAGAGGAGAGCCAGCAGCCCTGGTTTAGGTTTCGTGGCCAGTTATTCTCTGACTTTGAGGCATACACAGAAGTCAGACATCACATTTGTTATGGGATGAATTGTGTCTACCTTATATTCATATTTGGAAGTCCTAACCTTTCGTACCTCAGAACCCGACTGGATTTGGAGATAGAGTTTTTAAAAAGGTAATTAAGGTAAAATGAGGTCATATAGATGGGCCCTTATCCAATATGACTGGTGTCTTTAGAAGGAGAGGGGATTAGGACACAGATGTGTGCACACACGGAAGAGAAATTATGGAGGACAGAGTGAGAAGCCAGCCATCTGCAACCAAGCAGGGAGGCCCGAGAAAAAAACAACCCTGCTGACACCTTGATCTTGGACTTGTGGCCTCTAGAATTGTGGGAAAGTAAATTTCTATTGTTTAAGCCACACAGTCTATGGTGTTTTGTTATGGCAGCCCTAGCAAATGAATACAGATTTATTGATGGATAACACTCGTAGGTGACTGGGTAGATTTTACACTGAGTGACTGAAGCATTATTCAACATTGTCTTGATCTAGTTCAATATGATAATCCTGAGTTCTGCTTTTAGGTCCATAAATGCAATTGAACTAGTGCAGCACAGCAGAAATCCAACATGGCATCAACATGTGAAAGTGAATTGCAGGATTTATAGTTGACTACCTGTTAAAAAGCAATCAATAGTATGAATACCAAAGACGTAGACTCAACCTAAATGCCCACTAATGGTAGACTGGATAAAGAAAATGTGGTACATATACACTGTGGAATATTATGCAGCCATAAAAAAGAATGAGATCATGTCCTTTGCAGGAACATGGATGGAGCTGGTGGCCATTATCCTTAGCAAACTAACAGAGGAACAGAAAACCAAATACTACATGTTTTCACTTACAACTGAGAACTAAATGATGAGAACACATGGATACATAGAGGGGAGAAACAGACACCAGGGCATTCCTGAGGGTGGAGGGTGGGAGGAGGGAGAGGATCAGAAAAAATAACTATTGGATACTAGGCTTAGTACCTGGATGACAAAATAATCTGTACAACAAACCCTCATGACATCCATTTACTTATATAACAAACCTGCACATGTACCCCTGAACTTAAAAGTTAAAAAAAAAAAATCAATAGTATGATGTGGCCGCTAAAAGCTACCACAGTATTAAGCTACCTTAATAAGAGAATGGCTCCTTTGTCCTAGAATAATTTCAGTATGTTCTACCAAGAATGGTGTTCCATTCTGGGTGCCACCTTTTTAGAAGGAAACTGGCTGACTAGAATATGTCCAGAGAAGAACAACCAAGAAGCTTGGAACCATTTATGCACCATTTTTTGGAAAGGGCTGAGGCTGTGTTCTGAGTTGCAAGGTAAGGGAGATCTCTATTTGAGGTGGAGGTTGCTGAGAGGAAGGAAGGGTGGACATGATAGTGGGAGTCCCATCACTCTTTCCACCCTGGGTGATTACAAGGTTGGGGATTGCATGGCACTCCCCTGGGGACAGTGACTGGTCATGTGAACTAAGTTGGAGCAGTCAGAATGAAGGGAAGAGTTTCTGTTCCATGCTCGTGGGAATATTTTTCTCTTTTCCTCTGGACCTTGTTGTGAAGTGAACCTGTGGCTACCACAGCCGTCTTGCCACCAGCTTGAGAATTTGTGCTGAAGATGGTAGAATAGAGAAATGGGAAGAACCTGGGACCTTGGTGCTGTGGCTGAACACTTACCAACCCCAAACCTGCCTGAATGCTGGGCTTTGGATTCCAGGAGATAAATGTCCTTAATGTTTAAGGCATTTTGAGTTGGGATTTCTCTTGCTTGCAGCAGAACTATCTTAACAGATTCTGCAAGGTTGGACTAAAGATAAGGATGAGCTTTCACAGATATTAATAATTTTTTTTTTTTTTGAGACGGAGTCTTGCTCTGTCGCCCAGGCTGGAGTGCAGCAGCGAGATCTCGGCTTACTGCAACTTCCGCCTCCCAGGTCCAAGAGATTCTCCTGCCTCAGCCTCCTGAGTAGCTGGGACTATAAGCACCCACCACCACACCTGGCTAATTTTTGTATTTTTAGTAGAGGCGGGGTTTCACCATGTTGGCCAGGCTGGTCTCAAACTCTTGACCTCAAAAGATCCAGCCACCTTGGCCTCCCAAAGTGCTGGGATTTTAGACAGGAGCCACTGCACCCAGCCCAGATATTAATAATTCAAAATGCACATCAGTGGAGTAGACTCAAGAAGGGAGCTCTTGTCTCTGTAATATTCAAGTAGAGGTTGACCATGATAAAAAAAAATCCTTGAGTGTAATTTGCACTAAATGATTCTTCAGGTTCTTTCAAATTCTGATCATCTAAGATTCAAAAATAATTCTTACTAAAGTGTGACTGTCTGTGAAGCTGAACCTTCCCCAGAGCATTTGCATCATCCTCAGTGTGATAACTCAGATGAAGCTTTTATTAGTTGAATGTGGAGGTGGGGGAGGTTTTTGTGTATGAGAACCTTCCAGGTGCTCCTTGCCTACTTGGTATTAGTGGGTCGCTCTCCTCTTCCCCTACAGGGGTCTGTGTCTCTACTTTTGGAAGGTTGTTGAACCTGAACAAAGAGGAAATAAACTATATTGTGACTGCAGGGTTGGCAAAACACTACATACAAAGGACTACAATATCATGAAAAGGAAAAGTGAAAAGGAGGAAGGTGTTGAGGCAGTGGGCACAGAGGCTCAGAGGAGTGGTGGAGAGGTGGGTCATAGGTTGCAAGATCCCAAGGAAGGAATTTTCTACCTGTTTTAACCCATGCTCCCTTTTGACTCACACCCTCCTTCTATAGTGCATTTATTAAAATAATAGTTTAAAATTTTAATTATAGTATAGGCCAGGTACAGTGGTTCAAGCCTATAATCCCAGCACATTGGGAGATCAAGGTGGGAGGATCCATGGAGCCCAGGAGTTCGAGACCAACCTGGGAAACATGGATAAACCCTGCCTTTACAAAAAAAATTTTTTTTGAGACAGGATCTCACTCTGTCACCCAGGCTGGAGTGCAGTGGTGTGATCTCGACTCATTGCAACCTCCGCCTCCTGGGTTCAAGCGATTCTCTTGCCTCAGCCTCCCTAGTAGCTGGAACTACAGGTGTGTGCCACCACGCCTAGCTAATTTTTTGTATTTTTAGTAGAGACGGGGTTTCATCATGTTGGCCAGGCTGGTCTCGAACTCCTGACCTCAGATGATCTGCCCACTTCGGCCTCCCAAAGTGCTGGGATTACAGGCATGAACCACTGTGCCCAGCCTACAATTTTTTTTAATTTAAATTAGCTGGATGTGGTGGCATATGCCTGTAGTCCTAACTACTCGGGAGGCTGAGGTAGGAGGATCATTTGAGCCCAGGAGGTCGAGGCTGCAGTGAGCCATGATCACACCACTACACTCCAGTTTTGGCAATAGAGCAAGCAAGACTTTGTCTCTAAAAATAAATAAATAAATAAAATTGTAATATAATATTGGCTATGCTTCTAAAAGCTACACAATTTCTCTATTCTAATTCATCATTCTGGCAAGACCTTTGCAAAAACTCTCACCTCCCTCTGAGGTGATGAGAACCCCTGGGACAGATTCTTCTTGATCCTGATCCCAATGTTGATTAGGTTTCCAGTGGTTTCTATAACTGTACCTAAATGAACAGTGAAAACCATGTTTTGTCCTCACGCTTGTGATTCTAAACCGGAAAGTGTGTTGTCTCACTTCATATCTTGTATTGCACGTGACCAAACTGTGTTTGTTGGAGATAAATGTTTACAGAAGGTCAAAGGCCTTTTGTGTGTGTGTGTGTGTGTGTGTGTGTGTGTGTGTGTGTGTGTGTGTGTATGTGCTTAGTGAGGAGGTAGTTAGCAAGGCCAGTGGACTTAAAGAGCATCGGGGCAGGACAGACCCTCAGAAATCACATAGTTATTTTCCACTCTGTCTTAATACAGAGGAAGACAACTGGACTCTGCCAGGGGAAGTGGCTCACCCAAGGCCAAGT
The DNA here is from genome assembly GCF_000001405.40 of Homo sapiens. Taxonomy (NCBI): domain Eukaryota; kingdom Metazoa; phylum Chordata; class Mammalia; order Primates; family Hominidae; genus Homo; species Homo sapiens. The sequence goes on along the minus strand of NC_000010.11, from coordinate 96,677,420 downwards.
GGTGAATGGTGGGTTTTTGAACAGTTGACCTCGGGATATGAGTGTGAGAACGCCCAAGTTTTACTTCAGGGTATCATTTCTTAAAGAATTTGGATTTGCAAAGAAACCAAACATGATTGGTTTTTCAATTGGTGGGAAGGATAAATGCAAACAAGAGGCAAAAGAAGGTGTTGTGTTGAGGCTAGTTACTGAGTTTGCCAATACTTTTATGTGTCACGGGGGCAGAAGATGGCTGAATCGGTGTTTCTCCCTGATGATGGCAGTTCCCCCTCTCAAACACTGGGCATGTCTGGCATCAGGTGGGCTCAGCCCTTCCTCACTCTGGCTTGGAGGACCAGTGGAGAAAAACAAACCGTGTTCAGAGATGGGCTCGGTGCTCCTGCTGGAGGCTGTGTGAAGAGTGGGCGGCCTGTTCTCCTGCCCTGAGGCTTTCCCTCCACCCCAGCATGACCCCCTCTTTCCTCAGATGGAAAGGCCTAGTTTGGCTTGGTTGGGAGGGTTCAGTCCGTCCTTGAGTCTGTGCCCTATGCTGTCCAATCTCAGGTTGACACCGGCAGCTCAAGGGTTAGATTCCAGCTCAATACGGAAACTTAAAACTCCCTAGAAAAGAAGTCCCTGTGGAATGGAGATGATTATTCTGGAAGATACAACTTGACCAGCTTTGTAAGCTGTTAATTATTAAACAAAATCAATGTTTTTAAGTTTAATTTGGACTCTTTCAGTTGGAATAACTCAAGGTCATTCTTTCAAAAAAAAAAAAAAAAAACCCCAGAAAATCCCCGTGTGTGTTTTTGGTGACCTTCTTGGAAAAGGGAGTTGGAAAAAAGGCCTCTAAGGCAACAGTGAAAGAGGTAAGAGCCTGGCTTCCATGTGTCTGGAGTTCCTTATGTCTGGATTCTTGGTCATTTCTGTCACTAAGACCTGAGGATCAGCAAGGCTGGGAGAGGCCCGAGCTGGCTCAGTTGGGGCCATGAAATCTGTAATGACCTCGGGTCATAGCCAGCCCAACAAGGGGACACTCTGTGACTCTGGTAAGATGTAGGGGCCACCGGCCAGCAGTAGCCAGCAATGACCACTATCAGTTGGCCAAAGTCAAAAAAAAAAAAAAAAAAGCAAGGTCACACAGATAAAGACAAGCAAAGAGTCCTGAGATAGGTGCTTACAATGGATACAGCATAGCAGAGTCTTGTCTCTCAGAGCCTGAGGATGATCCTGTTCTTGGGGTGAAAGTTCCTGAGAATGCTTGCTTTCAGACACAGATGTGGCTTCACAGCTGGCATGGGACAGGCTGAGGACACTGCCAGTGAACCACGGCAAACAGAAGACAGGAGAGGAGTTGTGGTTGTAGGTAGATTCTGGCACAATGCAACCCACCCTGGCAACCCCTCATGGAAAGAGCCAAACTGGGAAAGTCCCTCTGACCTTTCATTTGTAGGCAAACTGGTTTGGTTGTTTGAATTGTGATACTGCCAAACTATGGTTTTAGGCCATGTCCCACGTCCCTATGATGGCCTTATACAATTCTAATACGAGTATGCAACAGTGGGGGCTGTTCTTAGGTCCTAACTGCTAATAGAAGTACTTTGTGAATAATAAATTATTATTATTGTTATTAATATTAACAGAGAAATGACAGCTTCCTTTTATTGAGCACTTACTATGTGGCAGACACAGTGTTCAACAATAACAGTCCTGAGAGGTAGGAATTATAATCTCTATTTTATAAATAAGGAAAATGAGGCTTTAGGAGATCAAGTAACTTGCCCAAGATAGCCATCCAGTAATAGCAGGGACTCAATTCATTTACATGGACCCTAAACTCCATGCTTTGAAGCACTGCCATGTATGTGGTGGCCATGAGAATATGCCTGGCAGATCTCCAGTTGCTGGGAGTAGAACCGACCAAGGGCTCCTGTGCCACCCTCTGAATCCATCATAGCTTTCGACCAAGGCCCTGCTTCCTGCAGGCTGCTCCCAGTCAATAACTGAGCATGGCAGGGATACTAGGCCCATTTCCGGAAGACGCAAGATTTGCCAGTGGCCAACTTCTGTTTGAAGACTCCGTGACAGATTTGCACAACTTTCCTTAGCCTGCTCAGTGGTCTAGGACGCTTCCACCCAACCTTCCTTCCCCCTCTTATTCATTTGGGCTCAGACAGCTACAAGGTTTTCCCACCCTCCCTCCCCATTTTCCTTCCCAGGCACTTTCCCTGACAAAATCCTTATATGGCCGGGTGCAGTGGCTCACACCTGTAATCCTAGCGCTTTGGGTGGCTGAGGCAGGCAGATCACCTGAGGTCAGGGGTTCAAGGCCAGCCTGGTCAACATGGTGAAAACCCATCTCTGCTAAAAATACAACAATTAGCTGGGCGTGGTGACACATGCCTGTAATCCCATCTACTCAGGAGGCTGTGGCAGGAGAATTGCTTGAACCCAGGAGGTGGAGGTTGCAGTGAACCGTGATTGCAGAACTGCATTCCAGCCTGGGCGACAGAGTGAGACTCCGTCTCAAAAAACAAAACAAAACAAAACACCTTGTATGTTTAATCTCATTTTAGCTTTTGTTTCTCGGAAGACTGGGACTAACACAGTGTACCATGCAGAATTTTCAGCGAAGCTTGGTTCACGCTGGTATCATAAATTAGAGGGTTAAACAGTTTCCTGTTTCTCTCCAGATTCCACACTAAAAGCCTCCAGGCACAAAGCCTTACAGTGGTCCTCCCTGAGGTGTTGCTTTCCCTGCTAGTAACTTAGGTGGTTGGTCTTATCTCATTCATCGATTCATCCATTCATGCAAGAAGTATTTATTGATTTCTCACTATATTCTAAGCCCTGGGGATACAAAGATGAATGAATGTCAGGAAATCTGTTCTCAGAGAAATCACAGTCTAGTAGAAGAAAAATTTGGTCAACAGATAAACAACACTAATTGATTTAACTTTGTCTTGCACTTTTCAGTTTTCAAAGGGCTTCTGCATGTTGATCACTTAATTCCAATAAGCCTGTGCAACAAACCAGGCAGGCATAAATAAATCCATCTTAAAGGAGAGGAAATTGAAGCTTAGAAATATCAAGATTACCCAGGAAGTGGCAGAGATGGGACTTGAATCCAGGTCTTCTGTGGCTTAGCTGAATGTGCTTTTCCAGAATCTGTTAGTAATTGCGTTTGTGCTGCTAGGAAATACTGTAGAATATCTTTAGAGTCTTGGCCTTAATAGCCCTGATTTTAATATTGGACCACTAAGGCCAGCAACTCCTGGGTTAAAGGAGTTTTAATTTTGGCCTATATTTATGCAGAATTTGGAATGCCATCTTGTTTCATATTTCTTTAAGCCCTTCGCCAAGAAGCATCACACCCCCACCTCCACCCAGCCTTGACCAAGCCACAAAGCCAGATGCAGCCTTTCACGGTGAGGGATGAGAACAGAAAGTTACCCTTCCTGAAAGTGGAAAGTGAAACTGACCAGCCAGTTCCATCCTTTCAGCTGGTCGGAATGCGAAGGGTCAGCCTAAGTGGGGGAAAGTAAACACCGTTTCAGCCTTTCCTGGGACTTTGACCATTGAGTGGGAGACAGACAAAAGGGAAGAAATTTTACTCTCAATTTCTTCAGCTTAGTTATTGTCAAGAGTTGCCTTCAGCCTCTCAGTTCTTGACTTAGTGAAAATAAATCACATTTATGTGGCCTGCCCCAGACAAAGCCCATTTGTCCGTCCTCACACCAGTAAATCCAGACATCAGTGTCTGTCTAGATAAGAACTGATTCCTGAACCAGGAAACCAAGAAGAGCCTGTGAAAAGGTGAGTTATTAATGGCCTCATGACAAGCCTGCGTTGTGCCATTTGGACGAAATTTACATAGGGAGAGGAAGCACATTTATAAGTGTCTGAAAGAGATGAAGAAAGAGGAAGCCTTTCGGGGGGGGCTGTGGTAGCTCCTGCTTTGTTAGCAACACTGGGGTTTCCTGAACGAGGAAACAGGGGCCTGCAGGCCTCCAGACCTGGGTGCCTAGAGGGGAGCACTTTCTCACAGGTGTGGAGATGGGATACAGGTTGGATAGTGCTCCCTAAGGATCCTGATAAACCCCGCCAAGGAAGCTTACCTGTGCTCTTCTGGTTGCCTGTGCATGGTAGATGCAGCCCGAGACGCTGAATCCAGGATAGAGGTGGGTTTTTGTGCAGCCCATTTACCATGGTGGGGAAGTAGATTTTCCTCCAACCCTTCCCAGGTTTATATCCCAGAGACTGGTTGAGGGAATGTCAGTCTGTGGCTGAGATGCAGCTCACCTAGCAGAATCTTTTCCCCTTTTGGGTCATGTTTTCTGAGAGTGGCTGTTCCTTCTGTTCTTCTGCTAACCAGATCTGGAGTTGGGAGCTTTGAATTCTGCATGTGGTTCTACCATTAAACCAGAAGCTTATGAACTAGGGCCGGTCAGTTCATGGCCCATGCCTCTATTTTTCCATCTGCAAAATGGAGATAGTCATCTCTGTCACATGTGCCTGGAGACACTGAAAGGAGCAAAGGAGAACAAATCAAAAAGTTCAGAGGCACTGGGCGCTGAGACAACTCCAGCTGACCCTTGGCTTCTTGGTTGAGGATAGAGCAGCTCTATTTGGGAAAGCTTCCTGAAGGTTGAACTTGGAAGAAAGTTAGAGGGCCCCAGCCCCAGCTGGGAGAGGACTGGGAGAGCCGCAGGCAGGTTTTATCATTGGTGGACAAGAGTGGGCACCACGGTGCTTTCATTGGTTGTCATGGCAGCCTCAGATGTTTTGCTATTTTTGCTCAAGCTGAAGAGCAGGTAGGGTGGGTTGGGGAGGGGAAGGGAAAAGCTATAGGCCTTTGCTTTAAAAAAAGCAGCAACAAGAAATGAACACTTTGAATAGCTCATTTAGAGCTAATAGTTCATTTATTTAAGGGAGTGGGGAGTGCTGGATAAAAGTCTTAGAGGCCTAAGGTCATCTTTCCTCCTGTCCTGCTCCCTTGATCTTGAACCTCAAGTACATTGAGGAGGGCCAGGTGAATTACCTGATGAATGAAGGAAATACTGTTCCTTGTCTGTGTGAGCTAGAAAAGATTTGGGCTGATGTCAGTAGATCCTTGACCCAGAACCCTCCACCCAGCGCTGCAAATTCACCGATGTGCAGTGAAATCAGGCAGCCTTAGGAGTCTGCGTCTGGCACAGAACACTGGGATGGCAAAACGATTGCATATGATGAGTGAGCCCACCTGCATTCCAAAGTTACCAGCTCCAACCACCTCTGGAAGCCAGCATGGGAGTGTGGAAGAAGTGGATTCATTCCTCCTTCTTCGTTTCTACAACTTTCTCTTTGTTTCCAGGGAGACAGTGTGACCACCATGACTGTATTTTTTTTTCTTTGTTTTTTGAGACAGGGTGTCACTTTGTTTCCCAGGCTGGAGTGCAGTGGCACAATCATGGGCCACTGCAGCTTTGATCTCCTTGGGCTCAGGTGAGCCTCCCACTTCAACCTCCCAAGTAGCTGGGACTACAGGCGTGCACCATGCCTGACTAAATTTTGTATTTTTTGTAGAGACAGAGTTTTGCCATGTTGCCCAGGCTGGTCTCGAACTCCTGGCCTCAAGTGATCTGCTTGCCTTGGCCTCCCAAAGTGCTGAGATTACAGGTGTGAGTAATCATGCCTGGCCATGACTGTATTTAAAGTCTGAATTAGGAAAGTATCTGTAGGACTCTGCCTTATCTTTTTGGCATCATGAGGATGATGATGATGATGACGACGGTGATGAGAACAATGATTGATGTCACTTTAATTAACTCACACTAACACTTCTAAATAATTGTCACCTCCTCCCTCCCCTGACTTCAGTGTCAGTAAGACATCTGGTGGGTAAGAACTTGGCATTCCACTGACCCTCTTACCATCAGTATGATGACTGTATGTGACTTTGGGGGTAGCTGGTGACTTGTGGGTTGGGTATACCTGTCACTCTCTGTTGGGAGCTTTGTAAGTGAAAGGGGTTAGTTGGACGGGAAATTCACTACCCAATGACCAAGGTGGGTGAGCAAAGAAGAAAGACCCATGGTGATGACTAAAATGAAAAAGCAGTCTTGATGTTTGCCAGGAAGGTGGGGGAAGGTGAGGGTTATTGAAACTTAAGGTTTGAGTCCCACCATTGCAAGCCTCTCACCTCCAACCCTGTGAACCCACAAATATTTTCAGTAGAGCAAAGGCTCCTTCACTGGGGTCCACACACTGGGAATCTGGACACAAGGCCAGGTCTGAGGTTTCCTTTTGTGCTTTCTAAGGACATGACAATAGCTGTGATGCTGAATTTCTGAGGAAATAGCCAGTGTAAACAAGATAAATGCAGTGTAAACAAGAGACATGTTTATAGCCTACTTCAGAATCATTTTCTAAGCATACTGTAAACCATGCTTGTGGTACCTTTTCAGACATTGGTTAATTATAGCAACTTATTTGTTCTTGAAAGCAGATAGGGCAGGATGTTGACTTGGTAACACTTTGTTAGCCACTCGTTTGTGTTATTTTATGCATCTGGAGGCAGCGCTTGCTCGGGGTGGGATGGGTGGTCAGGCACTCGTGTTCTCAGTTATGACCAGACTTTACAAAAGAGCTGATACATTCTGCCTGAATGTCTGGAATTATTTCAAAAACAAGCAAAGACAGTTTTCAACTTAAGAAAAATAAACTGCATTTTCAATCTGTATTTTACAGAATTTCCTTTTCTCCTGAATACATTTTGCTGACAGGTCTCCAATATACACCCTGCATGGGAATCAGGGTCCTCTCAGACACCCAAACTCCCTTCCCCTCTCACACAGCCCTTCCCCCATATAGAAGGTGTTTCTTGTGGCCCAGACACATCATTTGCGCTCATGCCTTTGTGCCTTTAATCATGCTTTTCCTCTGCCAGAAAAGTCCTCCCAGCTCTCCTGTGTGGTCTCTCCAGTACCAGTGAGGACAGAAATTTTCTCACTCTTCCATTTCTTGGGGAGCCTGGGATAGGCTTTGAATATTTATTATTCATTGATAAATAATGAGTATTTATTTGTTGAAGGGATAAGGAAATGAACAATGAATTATTTTATTACTTTAAATAGAAAATATCATGCCTTTTTCACAGAAGGGTAAGTTCAACATCCCAGTGCTATTTGACCGAGGGGAGCTTGCCTTCTTCATCTCTTAGGAAGTTTTTCTCAACTTCTGAATTTTTCATGTGCAAGCACTTTTCTGTCTCTCTCTCTCTCTCTTTTTTTTTTTTTTTTTTTGATGGAGTCTTGCTTAGTCACCCAGGCTGGAGTCAGTGGCGCAACCTCCACCTCCCAGGTTCAAGTTATTCTCCTGCCTCAGCTTCCCGAGTAGCTGGGACTACAGGCGCGTGCCACCACGCCCGGCTAATTTTTGTATTTTTAGTAGAGACGGGATTTTACCATATTGGCCAGGCTGGTCTCGAACTCCTGACCTTAGGATCCGCCCACCTCGGCCTCCCAAAGTGCTGGGATTACAGGCATGAGCTACCGCACCTGGTCCCACTTTTCTAAACACTTAGAAACATTAACTTAATTTAGTTCTATTTATAGTCTCATCGTACAAGTTGGTGCCTGGTGATAAGGTATCACATAATTCTCTCTGGTTTTTTTTTTGTTTGTTTTTTGTGTTTTTTTGAGACAGGGTCTTGCTCTGTCACCCAGGCTGGAGTGCAATGGTGCGATCTCAGCTCACTGCAGCCTCCGTCTCCTGATTAGCTGGGACCACAAGCACACACCACCACACCCAGCTAATTTTTTGTATTTTTGGTAGAGACAGCGTCTCATAATGCTGCCCAGGCTGGTCTCAAACTCCTGAGCTCAAGCAATCCTCCCGACTCGGCTTCCCAAAGCACTTGGATTACAGGTATGAGCCACCGCGCCCGGCCTCCCTGTTTTTTCATGTGGGGCCTCATCTTCCCAATTCATTGGAAGCTCCTTAAGGGACACAGCTGTACAGGACACACTTCTGGAATTCTCCTGTGGGATCCAGGCCAGTGCTAGAACGTGGCAGATGTGTTCCGTAGACACTTGCTATGTGACTAGGAAACTTCGTAGTAAGCTCAGGTTTTGGAACATTTTATTCGGGGCTTTGAAAAATAGCTGTTTCGTGGTTTCATCACTGTGGCTTAGGTAGGATGAATGAACATCGTAACAGCTGAGAAATTTCATCCTGAGTGGACAAGCCTCTGGAAGTTTCTCCAGACCTTGGGTAACTCTATATTCCTGCCCCATTTGTGTGGTGGTTAAATTTTATTTTATTTTTGAGATGGAGTCTCATTCTGTCACCCAGGCTGGAGTGCAGTGGTTCTATGTCAGCTCACTGCAGCCTCCGCTTCCCGAGTTCAAGCAATTCTCCTGTCTCAGCCTCCTGAGTAGCTGGGATTACAGGCGTGTGCCACCACGCCTGGCAAATTTTTGTATATTTTTAGTAGAGATGGGGTTTCACCATGTTGGCCAGGCTAGTCTCAAACTCCTGACCTCAAGTGATCTGCCTGTCTTGGTCTCCCAAAGTGCTGGGATTACAGGTGTGAGCCACTGCGCCTGGCCCCGTGTGGTGGTTAAATCTGAGTCCTCAACTTAAAATACAAATGCAGAGGAAACACAGCCCTTTCTTCTGTGAACCCCAATACTTAGGTTGCTCATCTGCATCCTTCTAAGAAATCTTTGAATCTTCTTCAGTCTTTTTTTCATCAGCCACACTGGAAGTCTTGGACATGAACCACGATACCCCCCTACTTTGTCCCAGCACAGAGACACACAGGTTCCCCTGACTGGCCCCAGTGACTGTTTCTGTTTAATTCCATTTTTGAGTAGATTGGTGGCAAGCTCTTAATTCTCAGTTGAAACTTATCTCCTTAGTTTCCTTCTCTGCTCACTTTCTTTTTCCTTGTATCTAAAACTTAGAGAAAGAATCCAGCATGTTTATGCTACAGGCCTTCATCCTGCCTTCCCACCTTGACTTTACCTTATTTAAACTAAAAAATAATTAGTTTAACAAAATGGAAGCAAAATAGCATAATGCAGCATTTCCCAAACTTCAGTCATTTGAGAACCACCAACCTCGTTTTTGGCTTATGTTTGTACCATAGTGCTACTATTTTCTTAAATTCATGTACCATACAATTCATGCATTTTAAGTGTACAACTCAGCAGTTTTTGGTGTATGCGGTTAATTTTTAAAAATTGTGGTAAAATGTAGGTAACAGAGTATTTGTCATTTTAACCAATTTAAAGTATACAATTCATTGGCATTAATTACTTTCACAATGTTGCGCAGCCATCACCACTCTTTCCAAAATTTTTTCGTTGTGCTATTAAGTTAATATTTTCTTTAAGTCAATTCATATTTTCTAAGTAAGTATATTTTAAAAGGAAACTTTGCCACTCTACATGAAAAAACCAGTATCTCTTGATATAGATAGAAGTTAGATATAAAAATATAGATAATAAAAAGTACACATTGGTATTAAATTCTGTGGTACACAGATTCCTACAGAAGCCTGTGGGCTTAAGGCCCTGTTCCCTCTATGGCGCAAAAGGAGAAATGCATGGTAAAGAGGTGTTGAAGGCATTCTTTTACTGGTTGAAGTCTTTTCTTTTTGATTTAAGTGGAACTGAAAGATTTGAAAGGGGACTGCTTTCTTAATGTGTGGTTCAGTGTTTTGGAATGTTTGCTGTACACTTTTATTTTTTTTTTTCTTAAAAAATCCTTTATCATCCAACTTGACGCTGTACACTCTAGAATCATCCTGGTCTCACCAGGGTGCATGGCTCATGGTATGGGAAACCCTGGCAGATGGATGACAGCATGGGTTTGGTTAAATTGTTGTCAGGTTGCCTTACAGCACACACTGGGTGACTTGGACAGTGTACTTAGATTTTGGCTGTAAAATGTGTGGAATGATACCAATGTAGTTGCTGTGATAAAATGAAATCATTTATGTTGTGTTTTGCGTAGTTCCTAGCATATTGTAACCGCTCAAGAAATGGCAGTTCTGGTTGTTTTTAAGAACCATGCTTGTTTATGCATTTCTCAAGGCTTAATACTGCCTTACAAGAGTAGTTTGTGTCCTCTGAAAAATATTCTCCAAGATCAGCAAACGTCATTCTTTTCCACACCCCTTCCAGAGCGCCAACTGAGTACCAGACATTGTATAGTGAAAAGAGGCAGTGAGCACTGTGGTGTGAAAGCTCAGTTGGAAAATGGGAGAGTGCAGCCTTGGGTTGGAGGCCACTAGGGCATGGAAGACCATGGATGGTTCCATTGGCATGAAATATTTCTTGACTTAAACCCCATCCTTGGAATGTGCCCATTTGCCATGGTGGCAGGTCACAGCATACCTAACCAGGGCAGCATTGCTCGGAACAAGGCAGCACCTTTAGGCGTCAGTGACAGCAAAAGCTCCAGGTTGTGTCTCATGAACTTCAGAGTCACAACCCCAGACCAGGAATAGGAAGTGATACCTTCCACTGCCCTGGGCCACATCTAGAAGGGAGGCAGGGCAGTGGCACCTGGGGGTGGGGAGTGGATTCCTACCTCTGCTCCGTGCTGCTGCTTGACCTTGGCTGGGTAATTTCATTCCTTCTGGGCACTGGATTTTCATCTATAAAATGGGAATAAGCATTGATTCCTATTTTACAGGGTTGTTCTGAGGATTAAATGAGATTAGGACTATTGAGCAGTCACCATAATATTTAACAAATGGGAACTTTGATCATTATCATTATAAGTAATAATAATGACTGTCACCAGCTCTTACCTAGCATTAGCTACTCCATGTAGCTTAGTTGTGGGTCCAAATGCATACATATATTTATTACATTTAAAATTCATAGTTTTTTTCAGACCCAAATAGTGTATAGATTCCCCTTAAGGGAAATAAATATTATGAAGCTTTAGTGTCGACTAATTAATGATTTTGATGTTGTTTAAATATGCATAGACATATTTAACTCTTTTTTTTGTTTGTTTGTTTGAGATGGAGTCTCACTCTGTTGCCCAGGCTGGAGTACAATGGTGCGATCTCGGCTCACTGCAAGCTCCGCCTCCCAGGTTCACGCCATTCTCCTGCCTCAGCCTCCCGAGTAGCTGGGACTACAGGCGCCTGCTACCACGCCCGGCTAATTTTTTGTATTTTTAGTAGAGACGGGGTTTCACCATGTTAGCCAGGATGGTCTCGATCTCCTGACCTTGTGATCCTCCCGCCTCGGCCTCCCAAAGTGCTGGGATTACAGGCATGAGCCACCTCGCCCGGCCTATTTAACTCTTTTTTTATTTGTATGTTCTATAGTCATACATATTTAATTCTTTATGTTTATTGTTCTGTCCCAACTCCGAAAGCAAAACAAATGAACAAGACACAAATACAGGTATAAAATAAATAAAATGCAAATCGACCACGTTCATTTTGTCATAGAGGATGCTGGTTTATTGTGGCAGCGTCCTGTGCACTGTGTGGAGGCTGTGGTACTCGCCAATCTGTGGGGAGTCTTGCTCCGTCTCCCCTGTGTTATTTTGGGGCTTGGATCTCCCACCACATTTCTCTATTTAAAGTAGTGTACAGGAAAATCTCCTTGTGTTCAGTTGGCACAAATGTCTCATTTCCATATCATCCTGCCCCCTTCTTTCCTCAGTAACCTCTGACATTTAGCATAGCATGACCTACCTGCAAAGAGATTGCAGACACAAACACAGGCTCAGACTCCTGTGGCAGGACCCCCTTTATAACGTGGTCATTCATATAATCTGAAAAGTTCTTGCATCCCATTTAAAAGGCATTATGATCTAAATGAAGAGCCCAGACACCGATTCTCATAAAGAACGTATCTAAGGACTTTCTGCAGACCAGACACTGGTTTGAGAGACAGTGACTCATATACTGACTGGATCTCCAAAGTATTTGAAGCAGTCTTAAAAATTAAACACAATATAAAAAAGAGAAATAGGCAAGACCAAGGACCTGGACAGGAGTGTGAAAGAGGCTAAGAACCAAATTTGTCACCGAGCAAGGGCCAAAGGTGAAATATACCAATGTTCGCTCGTTCCTTTTATCTGATAAGAGAAAGCACTCAAGTTCTCTGAAGAGACAGACTTTTCCTGCCATAGAATTCAAGGAGTATTTATTACATGGATCCTTTATAGATGACACTTTGAAGAACCAGATGCACACAGAAAGTCTTTTTCAATCATTTCTCCAGAGTTTCTCTAGACTTCATAAAAGCTGAGAGGATATTGTGAAATTTTAAAGCAGTGAGGATGCTACTGGCATCTTAATAATACTTTACACTGAGGAGGATCCCTGGGGTTTTCAGAGTACCTTCGCTCAAACATTATTATTCGAGTCTCAGGACAGCAAAGGTGGTATTATCTTCAAAGCGGGAAGTGGTCCAAGAGGGATCTACATGTTCAGGTGGGAAGGTCTGAGACCACCCCACTCTGTCAGGTGGGTAAGAGCAGTGCTTATGTCTGAGTGGGCATTTCCTTTGAAGGAAACTTTTAATCTGCTGAAGTGCTTGGACCCTGGCCCTGTTGGGACTCTGCCTTCTCCGTAGTGCATTGTGGAAGAGGCCACTGTGGCTTGTCAATCAGCGCCACCAGAATAACCCTGCAGAATGAATGACATCCTGCCTAACTTCCTGAAATGAGTGAGCTGCTGGTGGCTATCTAAGGTGACTAAATGAATAGACCTACTGGAAGGAATTGTTTATTTTGTATGGCCTGTCTGAATGCTGGGAAATATCTGCCAAGTGCCGCACTATTAGCATCAATCTCATTTGTGTCAAGCTGGGCTCTTGGGCAAAATTATTAGCTAATAGATTGCATTGGTTTTGTGCCTATTTTAAAAAAATGATTAGCTAATAGATTGCATTGGTTTTGTGCCTATTTTTAAAAAATGATTAGCTAATAGATTCAGTTGCTACTTTTTCCCTTACCCTACCCCCATTATCAAAGAAATGCTTTCTCACTATGGAAAATACTAAAATACATAAAATGGTAGAAGGAAGGAGGGAGGGAGAGAGGAAAGAAGCATGCAGAATCCAGCCACACATTTTCTTCTGACCTTTTAAAATGCATTTTTTATATAATTGAAATCCTGCAGCATCTGAGATATAATTTTATATCCTGCTTTTTCGCTTCGCATGCCGTAAGCTTTTACCCATGTCACTTAGAACTCTTTGAAAATAATGTTTTTAATAGTCTTTTAGGTTGTTTTCAGTTTTTTCACTGATGCAAAGCCTCTTGGTTCAGAATCTTTATTTTGGACTTTTATTTTCCTCCTTAAGAGAGACTTCTGGAAATAGAATTATGTGGCAAAAGCTGTGAACATTTTCAAGGCCTTCTCTTTCTCTGGGTGTGGACACATGGCTTTCCAGAAAGATTGTGCAGTTTGTACTTCCCTCAGCAGCTGGGGGGTATCTGTCCTCCAGTCACCTTTAAACCCTGCACTGTTTAAAGTTTAAAGTTTATTGGGTGTACTTCACAGCATTTTCTAATTTGAAAAGCTAAAATAGCAAGACAGCATTGTATTTTCATTTGCATTCTCATGATGACTAGTGAGAATGAATGATATTTGTTTGAATGGGGAGGTAATTTGTATTCCTTCTTTTATGAATTGTCTTCTTATTGGTCTTGGGGTATTTTAAAAGAGATTTCGTGACATCTTCGTATATTAAGAAGATTAGCCCCTTATCATTTTTACTTCAAATTTTTAAACTGTTTGTGATTTGCCAATGGGTTTCTTTTTTTTTTTTTTTTTTTTTTTTTTTGACGGAGTCTCACTCTGTTGCCCAGGCTGGAGTACAGTGGTGCGATCTCGACTCACTGCAACTTCTGCCTCCTGGGTTCAAGTGATTCTCCTGCCTCAGCCTCCTGAGAAGCTGGGATTACAGGCGTATACCACCATGCCCGGCTAATTTTTGCATTTTTAGTAGAGACGGAGTTTCACCATGTTGGCCAGGCTGGTCTTGAACTCCTGACCTCAGGTGATCCACCTGCCTCAACCTACCAAAGTGTTGGGATTACAGGTATGAGCCACCGCGCCCAGCCTGCCATTGGTTTCTTTGTTGAGGTATAATTCACATACCATCAATTTATCCATTTAAAGTGTACAATTCAATGTTTTTTTCGTATATTCACAGATTTGTGCAATATTCACCATAATCCATTTTAGAGTATTTTCAATCAATTTTAGAATATTTTCATCACCTCAGAAAGAAATTTCATACCTCTTAGCTATTGTCCCACAATCCTGCCAATCTCCCCAGCCCAAAGCAACCACTAATCTACTTTCTGTCTCTATAGATTTGCCTGTCCTGGACATATATTTGGAATCATATAATTTGTGGTCTTTTATGACTATCTTCTTTCACTTAGCATAATGTTTTCAAGATTCATGCATGCTGTAGCATTTATCAGTACATCATTCATTTTTATTTATCTATTTAATTTACTTATTTATTGAGATGGAGTTTCCCTCTTTTTTTTTTTTTTTTTTTTTTTTTTTTTGAGACGGAGTCTCGCTCTGTCGCCCAGGCGGGACTGCGGACTGCAGTGGCGCAATCTCGGCTCACTGCAAGCTCCGCTTCCCCGGTTCACGCCATTCTCCTGCCTCAGCCTCCCGAGTAGCTGGGACTACAGGCGCCCGCCACCGCGCCCGGCTAATTTTTTTTGTATTTTTAGTAGAGACGGGGTTTCACCTTGTTAGCCAGGATGGTCTCGATCTCCTGACCTCATGATCCACCCGCCTCGGCCTCCCAAAGTGCTGGGATTACAGGCGTGAGCCACCGCGCCCGGCCGGAGTTTCCCTCTTGTTGCCCAGGCTGGAGTGCAGTGGCGCGATCTTGGCTCACTGCAATCTCTGCCTCCTGGGTTCAAGCAATTCTCCTGCCTCAGCCTCTTGAGTAGTTGAGAATACAGGCGCCCACCACCATGCCTGGCTAATTTTTTGTATTTTTAGTAGAGATAGGGTTTCACCATGTTGGCCAGGCTGATCTCGAGCTCCTGACCTCAGGTGATCCACCCGCCTTGGCCTCCCAAAAGTGCAGGGATTACAGGTGTGAGCCACTGCGCCCGGCCTTATTTATCTATTATAATAAGAAAATGTGTCTCTATTTATATAAAACAACATATTGTTTTGAAATTTATTTCTCTTTATTGCTGAGTAATGTTCCATTATATGGACATACCTCATTTTGTTTATCCATTCATCAGTTGATGGACATTTGGGCTGTTTCCACCTTTTGACTATTAGGAATGATGCTGCTACAGCATTTTGATTTTAGTTTTTTGTTTGTTTACTAAAGTTTTAAATTTATATTATCAAGTCTTGCTCATTTAGATTGTGATTTTTGTTTGTTTAACAAATATTTTCCCAAACCACTGATAAAATGTTCACATGTATTTTCTTTTTAATTTTTAAAATTTGTTTATTTATTTTGCATTTTAATCTCTAATCCATCTAAATTTTATTTTGGAGTTATAAGAATTAGGAAGAATCTAAATAGTACCCCTCACTTTCCCCTCTCCTTTCCCTTTCCTTTCCCTTTCCCTTTTCCCTTTCCTTTCCTGTCCTGTCCTGTCCTGTCCTGTCCTGTCCTGTCCTATCCTGTCCTTTCCTTTTCTCAGTGTCTCGCTCTGTCTCCCAGGCTGGAGTGCAGTGGCACAATCTGCAACCTCCACTTCCTGGACTCAAGCGACCCTCCCACCTCAGCCTCCCAAGTAGCTGGGACTGCAGGCACATGCCACCATGCCTGGCTAATATTTTTGAGTAGATTTTATATTTTAGAGCAGTTTTAGGTTCATAGCAAAATTAAGTGGAAAGCATGCAAAGTTCCATGTCTGCTCTGCCCCTATGTACACACAGCCTCCTCCCACCCCCATCAACATCCAGCACCAGAGTGGCACATTTGTTACCACTGATGAATCTACATTGATGCATCATTATCACTCACCCGAAGGCCAGAGTTTATATTAGGATTCACCTACTGTTGTATACTCTATTGGTGTGGACAAATGTCTAATAACATGCACCCACCAGTATAGTATCATACAGAGTAGTTTCATTGCCCTAAAAAGCCTCTGTGCTCTGCCTATTCATTCTTTCTTTCCTCCTAACCACTGGCAATCAGTGATCCATAGTTCTGCCTTTTCCAGAATGTCATATAGTTGGAATCCTACAGTGTGTTTTCAGATTGGCTTTTTTTTTTTTAGATGGAGTTTTGCTCGTTTCCCAGGCTGAAGTGCAGTGGCGCAATCTCAGCTCACTGCAACCTTCACCTCCCAGGTTCAAGTGATTCTCCTGCCTCAGCCTCATGAGAGGCTAATTTTTGTATTAGCCTCTCGGCCTCATGGCTGGCTAATTTTTGTATTTTCAGTAGAAACAGGGTTTCACCATGTTGGCCAGGCTGGTCTCGAACTCCTGACCTCAGGTGATCCAACTACCTTGGCCTCCCAAAGTGCTGGGATTACAGGGGTGAGCCACCATGCCTGACTCAGAGTGACTTCTTTCACTTAGTAATATGCATTCAGGTTTTCTCCATGGCATTTCAGGGCTTGCCTGCTCATTTCTTTTTGGTGCAGAATAGTATTGTATTGTCTGGGTGTACCGCACTTTATCCATTCACCTACTGAAGGACATCTTGGTCACTTCCAAGTTTTGGCTGTTTTGAACAAAGCTGCTATAAACATTTGTGTGCAGGTTTTTGTGTGACTGTAAGTTTTCAATTCTTTTTGGTAAATACTGAGGAGCATGATTGCTGGATTGTTTAGTAAGCTTGTGTTTAGTTTTGTAAGTCTGTCTTCCAAAGTGGCTGTACCATTTTGCATTCCTGCCAGCAAAGGATGCATTCCTACCAGAAAAGGAGAAGAACCTCGGGAAAGGATGCAAGTTCTTGTTGCTCCACTTCCTGACCAGCATTTGGTGTTGTCAGTGTTCTCGCTTCTGCCCATTCTCATAGATTTGTAGTGCTATTTCATGGCTGTTTTAATTTGCGTTTCCCTGATGACATATGATGTGGACCATCTTTTCAAGATATACAGATGGCTTCTTTGCCATCCATGTGTCTTATTTGGTGAAGTGTCTGTTCAGGTCTTTTGCTCTTTTTTAAAATCAGGCTTTTCGTTTTCTGCTTGTTGAGTTTTAAGAGTTCTTTGTATATTTTGGGTACAAGTATTTTATTAGATATGTCTTTTGCAATATTTTCTCCCAGACGATCGCTTATCTCTGCATTCTTTTGACAATGTCTTTCGCAGAACAGATCTGTACTGGTTTTTAATGCTTTTTAAAATCCCATATTAAGTTTTTATGGGAATGAAGCCTTAATTCTGGACCATCTCTTGTATTCAATTGCTCTATCCATTCTGTTTTTTAATAACTTTAATATAAAATAGGACTATCCTTTATTATTTTTTAAAACTTTACTAGAAGACGTAATACCTATATAAATGGAGTTTTCCAGGGTAGGAAATAATTAGTATTATAAAGAAGAACATTGTCCCAAATAAAATGTTAAATTCAATTCAAAGAAGGTTGTGTGGCTTTTACTCTAAATATTATTTTAAAACTGAGGAGTGTTTTTTCATGGTTATTACTTTTTTTCATGGTTATTGATTTAGTCAGGTTTTTTACTTCTTTAAAGACAATTTCAATACTTTATATTTTTCTATTAAAATTGCATTTTGTTTTTTTTTTTTTTGGTAGAGACAGAGTTTTACTATGTTGCCCAAGCTGGTCTTGAACTCCTGGCCTTAAGTGATCCTCCCACCTCAGCCTCCCAAAGTGCTGGGATTACAGGTGTGAGCTACCACACCTGGCTGCATTGAGATTTTCTTAGCACAGAGTTCTCACTTTAATATGAATTCTTACCGTAGACTTTTCACTTCAATGTGTTTCATAAAATTTCTTAAAATATAGACTAGTGGGCCAGTAATTTGGGAGAAATAAAGGATTTGTCTTTGTTGAAACAATGGTAGACTGCACTGTGGGTCCATCCCAAAGAGGTTATACCTGTGTGATATACTAGAATAGGTAATTGGTAAGAGTTTGAGCCACTCCAGCCACTGTGGCCACTCAGAATAGTATCTAAAAAATTCTGGAGCAAGAAATAGTTTCAAGGAGCTTCTTTCTATTTTAAGTAACTGAATGTTTCAAGTCCATGGGATTACTTTCTCATCCCAGAAGAACCTCAGAAATATTTTTTTAAATGGTATGTCCAGGAATCTAATAATAATTAACTGAAACTTCATAAAATCCTTAAGAAGAAGACTGTGTGAATTGTCCCTGATGTTTTTGGCTTTTTCCATTACAAGCTCCTGTGCTGAGTGAGGGTTGCTTGGGTGGCATGTATAGCTCTGTCCAGGGTGATGGGCCCTGGCTGTTTTAGAAGTGATCAGTCAAGGAGAGAAGGGTGTGGGGAAGGGCATATTCAGCAGAGAAAACGGCAGCCTACTGTGTTAGTTTTTGCAGGGATTGAGGGGAGAGCCAGGAGAATTAGAAAGGAGAGTTGGAGGAGACCGATGGTTCTGATGCCCAGCTAAAAACCATATCGCCTTGCGTAGAACACTCTGGGTCCTTTGCTCTACCTCTTAACACTAGATTCTGCCTGACGTACAGACAAGGACAAAGATCTGGCAGCATTCAAACAGGCATTCTGGAGTAGCATGTCTTGGGAAAAATCATGGAGGGGGAATAGTGGCAAGAGTACATGCCTCATTGCCTGTTGCTCTCTAGGGCAGCCCATAGACATTCAGCAGTCAGATGCCAGGCTCTGGGACGGGACCTCCACTCTAGGCTACTGAGATTTTAAGCTGCATGGCTAGGGAAGAAGCCCCGGCCCCTCTGCTGGCCTGAGTAGGCCAGGGGTCAGGGTCTTATAGTTACAGCAATAGGATACGGTGGTACTGAGGCCCTGTAGCCCTGCCCCCAACTCGGCCTTTATGGTTGTGGAAGCACAGCCTCTTCCTAGCATGACCTGGGGTCTAGGGTGAAAGCCTGTGGTTACAGCTTTCCAGGGTGCCTATCAGCAGCTGTTTCGTAACCCTAGCATTCTACCAGGACAGTTGCCACAAACTCTGCAGAGGCCAATTTTCTTCCAGGAAACCAGGCTGCAGGAATCAGCCAAACTAACCCTTGCTTCTCACCTCTCCTGTC